>NC_000003.12:66373636-66676666 GCF_000001405.40 Homo sapiens | reverse complement strand
ACCTATCTAACAAAGGTCTAGTATCTAGACTATAAAAGAATTATCAAAACCCAAATAGAAAAAGCAAACAAGCCAATTAGAAAATGGGCAAAAGACAGAAAAAGATGTATACATTACTGGTGGGAATGTAAAATGGTACTGTCACTCTGGAAAACAATCTGGCACTTTTCCGAAAGTGTATCATTCCACTTATTTAATATTCTTGAGATGAGAATATTATAAAAATGAAAATCAGATTTCTAGTTGCCCGTAGATAAGGAGAGGATAGGGACAAGAGAGAAGTGAATATGGCTGTAAAAAGACAGCATAAGGAATTCTTGAGTTGGTGGAAATGTTCTGTACCTTGACTGTACCAATGTCAGTATCATAGTTGTGATATAATAGTAAAATTTTGCAAGAGAGTACCATTGAAGGAAATTGGGTACAGGGTACACTGAACCTCTCTGTACTACTTCTTATAGCTGCATGTGAATCTACAATTATTTAAAAATAAATCATTAAATTTCTTAAAATGCATTTTATTCCTTTTATGTCTTCTGCACGAATGACTTGTAATTCCATGAACTTTTATATATGATTAAGGGCTACATAATAGTAACCTGTGACTTGTAATTCCATGAACTTTTATATATGATTAAGGGCTACGTAATAGTAACCTCTTAAGTGAGTTATTTAGAATTCCTAAAACTTGCTATTCATTAATTGAAACTAAAAGATTACTTTGGCTCTTAATTCTGAATTCTACTAAGAAGGCTGTCTGCCAGGCAGATTTCCACAGAGCTGTGAAGCTCTTACTGTGTATGTAGGCTCAACTGATCATTGGAATCACTTCTGGGGGTGGTATACATCGTACTTTGCTATCTTACTGGATTGCAATTTTCATTGTCTCCTAGTGTGGTTTCTTTTGTTCTGTTTTGTTTTTACCTGAAATTAATCTTGGTTTAGCTTCACAATTATTAAGTTTGTTGGGATTGTTTGCTTAACTTTACAGTTAAGAAATTCCTATTCATATGAGCAGTATGTCTAGCCTATAACTTTCCAATAACTAAACTTGCACATATCTCACGTGTTGTGACTCTAAATGGGTCATCCTTACCTGTATTGCTAAAACAGATGTACACATAATCCCAAAAGAATTTGCTCAGACACTGAATCTTTATTGTTATCTCTGAAATATTTTTCCACTGGAAAGTGGAGAGAGCTTGGGTGGATAGGCTGGGAGGTCTTTTGCTCCACAAACTGCCATGGCAAAAGAAGTATGAAGGCCTTGAGTTTAGACACTCTGGTTTGAATACACATTTTCCTAGCCGAATTGAATAGCAAGAAGTCCAAACTGGAGTTGCTAATGAAAGCAGGTATTAAGTTATTGAATGAAATGAGACCCAGATACATTGAACATCAAATGCATAAACAGCAATGTGGACTGTTATGAACGTTAATGATTCTGACTTGCATTAATGTCCAGGTGGAAGGTCTTCCTATTTCAGCCCAAGGATGCACTGTTAAGAAAACAATTTTCATTTTCCACAGAACAAAGTGTGCTTTGTACACTTGCTGGTGCCATTTGTGGCTGAGAAGAACTTTCTCGGATTGCTTTGGAATGATGAAGAGTGTGTCTCTCATCCAAGAACTGAAATGATACCTTCAGGTGAGTCCAGAGTCCAAATCCTCAAAGGAGGGATTTAGGAAAGGATTCGAGAGGATCAGGTTTAAACCAAACAATCCCTTAAGAAGAAATTCCATTCAAGTTCTTTCTTTAAAACAGGAAATTAAACAGAGTCATTATAAGGCAAACTCAAGAGAGTGGTAGCACCATCCCTCCCAACTGTTAGTTGCATGAATTTCATTTTGGGTCATCTGTGAATCGAAACTATTTAAATTTGATCCCGTTAACCACGGCTCTTTTAAAGTACAACCATCAGAATTCTAGGCAAAATGCATCCTTTTAGAAGCATATAATATATCCGAAGTACAACTCTTTGCATAATTATCAAGATTTAAGTCTCCTGTAGTATTATTTTAAGTATTTTATTAAATTCATGGGCCTATTCCCAAAACTCTTGTAGCAGTGGACAGGGACAGATTATAGAACGTGAATTCTTTCAAGACCCTAGTTGAGTTAACATACTTTATTAAAATTACTTGAGGCAAGCCAGAAAGTAAAACTGGTAAAGCAGGCATTGGTTGGCATACTTTCCAGATGTTTTTATTTTTAAGTTTTCATTAAGTGATTATCAGCAGAATAGCAACAAGATTGAAATCCCTCCCAGTCAATAACTCTCTCAGTTCCTTTCAACAAAGCGTTCACCCCACGACTGAATTGCACATTGTTCTATATGAACACAAGAAGAAAGACTTCATACACATCTTCTAAAATTCTTGTCAGGGCAGAATGTTGGTGCAAACTCCTCTTGAAACACTAAATGATGAATGCTTAAAATTAATCTGGTTTTACTGGAATGTTTGTGATGTGAAAGTGAGGGATTTGGGCAAAACTGTTCAATTCAATCAAGGTCTTCACTTGTACGATTCAGTGAAATGTTCCCTAACTCTGCCGTCCCCACCCTTATTGGCATTAGGGACTAGTTTCATGGAAGACAATTTTTCCACAGACCGGGGTGAGGGATCGTTTCCGGATGATTCAAGCGCATTGCATTTATTGTGCACTTTATTTCTATTATTATTACATTGTAATATATAATGAAATAATTGTATATTTATACATACAACTCACCGTAATGTAGAATCAGTGAGAACCCTGAGCTAGTTTTCCTGCAACTAGAGGGGTGCATCTGGCTGTTATGGGAGACAGTGACAGATCATCAGGTATTAGATTCTCATAAGGAGTGTGCAACCTAGATCCCTCGCATGTGCCAGACCTATATTGGTCAGTGGCTCTGGGGTTTGGGGACCCCTACCCTAAAAGATCTAGAGAAGGGAAGAGATGGGAGCCTGCCTGGCATATTTGAGAAACAGCAAGGGGGTCATCAGTTTAAAGGAGCAGAGTGAGAGAGTAGGGAAAGCTGTAGGAGACAAGGTCAGGGCAGTATAGGACCAGATGGTGTTGGGCCTCACAGCCCAGTGGAAACTTTGCCGTTTCACTCTTAATAGGAAAGGGAACAAGAGGAGGCCTTGTATCACAGTAGTGACAAGATATGGAGCTGGGCGTGGAATCAGCCTCCCTCGACCACAGATCCCCAAATAGAAATGAACGGCTGTTGGAAAGAGGGGAGGGGAGCAGACGCAGACGCGGGGGCGAGAGCCGACAATGTGCACAGCACACTATTTCCCACAGTGAATGACAGAAAATAAAACAAAGTATGTTTTTGAAACCAGGAATACTCACACATGTGTGACACATACACATACAGAGAGAGAGAAAGAGATTTTACATCCCAAATACCTTTGTAGCGATGACAAAGTGAACAAAGTACAGAGACAAAAGAATTGAACATCACTGAAGTGCTTTGATCAAGACTAATTATTATTATTTTTAAATTAGGGTCACTTTGAAGAGTTCAGACTCCTCAGGAGTATATCTTGTTGGTTCCATCTGTCCAATGTTTCAAGAAAACAGTCTGTTTTGGCAGTTAACTTTGTCTACAATTCTTACATAAAATATGTTAAACATCTGTCCCTGATCAACTTAAATATCACTGCCTTTATTGCATCTACTGCTGGCCCATCAGAATATAACTATATATAAGAGAAGGGTTTTTTTTTCCACCCAGTCTCAAGAACTGCATCTTTGCAGCATAATCATTCTCTCAGGACTAAAAGGAAACATTTCTAAGTATGACAATTATGTATAGATCTTATTAATTTGGGGACCACATGGGATGAATTGGGTCCAACGCCTATTTAAATATATGTCCACCCTCATTTGCAGCTGATAGCTTGGAGATTTTTTTTATTTTTTGTCAGCCAGGACATCACTCAACCCACCTTCCATGAAAGAATTAACTTCCATCAGTACAAATGTGCCTACCAATGTGGGTTTCCACCCAGCCATCATTGACACTCCCAAGACAGCCCCTTAGGAAAGGTTCTCTCTACACAAAACACCATGAATGCTGTCCATGATTAAGATCTACTGTCTGCCAGGTACCAGACTGAGCTCTTCACCTACAATAGTCCAGTTTCACCCCTTAATAGCTGTGTGACCTTGGGTAATGTGCTTTTCATCTCTGAGCCTCAGCTTCCTCATCTGTCAAATGGGGAGAACCTCACAGGGTGTTGTGAAGATCAAATAAGTTAATGCATGTAAGATACTTAGACTATGCCTAGCACATCATAAGCACCAAATGTGTAGCCTATTAATTATCTAATTTAAAAATCCTCACAACAAATTTAAGGGAGAACAACATCATGTTCTCCATCGTATTGATTAAGGGGAAGAGAAGATGAATAACAATAGTAATGATTATAAATAATGCTAATAACTGGGCTAAGCAAGTTAGGTACATTATCGCTAGCAGTGATATATTATCACCATTATAATGGTGACAGTCCTTTCCTAAGGGGCTATTTAGGGAGTGTCAATGACGGCTGGGTGGAAATCCCGCATTGGTTGGCATATTAGTACTGATGGAAGTTAATTATTTCATGCAAGATAGGTTGAATTATGTCCTGGCTGACAAAAAGAAATATCTCCAAGATAGGATAATGTACATTATTACTAGGGGTTAATGTCACATGGCTGGATTGACAGAACCAAGATTCAAACCCAGGTCTTCTGACGGGAATATCTGTGTTCATTCTGTTATACCAGGCTACCTCCATCCTTCAGGAGTTTTGTCTACATGGTAGAAGTCAAGTTTAAATTTAATTCTAAATCAATTCTAAAACCCCACTATAAATTGGCCAGTGGATTATGAAAACCTTTGTTTTTGTCAAGTGAACAAATCAGTAAGTTTGTCATCAAGATTTCTTTTTACTGTTTTACTAAACCTACCTTCTTTTTTCCAAATGCTGTGGGGTTTATTTTTATTTCCTCTTTTGGTTAAAAAGGTAAAGTTATCAAACAATGGACTTCAAAGGTTTTTTTATATTAAAGCCTATCTCAGGAAATGACTTGGCTTTGAGAGGATGGGCAGTCCCTGTGCAACAGAGCCAATATTTTCATACCTAAGCAACCAGATTCAAAGCAATACAACATTGAATGCAAGCATGGGCTAGAACCATGTTTCTTACAGTGAAGTTCAAGGATGATCCTGCATCAAATAAACTGGGCTGGTGCTTAGAAAAGGCGCAAATTGCTGGGGCAGACTGACTGAATATAGTGATTTTGGAATAAGAGATAGCCATCTGCATTTTTAGTAGTTCATCTTGTGATCTCTGTGCATAATATAGGTTGGAACAATAGCTTTACATATATGACTTCCTCGTTCTCATAATCTTTATGCCTGAGTACAGCTATTTTATTCTGTTTCATAAATAATACTACTGGACTTCAATAAAGTAGACTCATAATTATAAAAATAATCCTCATCAAGGCAGAATTTGCAAATGAGCAGCTTATTTGTTTTACTCTTTGGGTACCAGTGGCTTATTTTCAATCATAAATCTGGCCAAGGAATCCTCTTTAAAATAAAAATAAAATAAAAAATACTTCTATAATTTTCGATACATTCTCAGATATAATCTCTTCAACTTTCCCACTCCCTTCCATTCTTTCTTTCTTTCTTTTTTTTTTTTTTGAGATAGAGTCTCACTCTGTCACCCAGGCTGGAGTGCAGTGGCACGATGTCTGCTCACTACAACCTCCGCCTCCCTCCCAGGTTCAAGCTATTCTCCTGCCTCAGTCCCCCAAGTAGCTGGGACTACAGTCGTGTGCTACCATATCCAGCTAATTTTTTGTATTTTTAGTAGAAATGAGGTTTCACCATATAGGCAGGGAGGTCTCGAACTCCTGACCTCAAGTGATCTGCCCACCTCAGCCTCCCAAAGTGCTGGGATTACAGGTGTGAGCCACCACACCCGGCCATTCCCATCATTCTTTCTAATCTATCCTTCTAACAACCTAAAATGAGAACTTATCACTTTTTCCTGTATATCTCTTAAGTCCTTTTCTAGTTAATGTTCTTAAATCTACTTTACAGTTTACTCATTTTTTCCTCAATTATATCCCACCTGCTATTTAATCTATTCATTGTATTTTTAATGTAATGATAATTTTCATTGATAAAAGACTTATTTCCATGTTTTTTAAGCCTGCAGTTTCTTTTTTCATAATTTCCTATTTTCACTATAGTTTTTGATATCTTAAACCATTTAAATCCTATTTATTTTATGAACGGTCATGTCCTTTGCTATTTTTGTTACATTTTACACAGTATTTCTATTTCCTGTAGCATGTGTAGTATCTAGGAATCAACTACACTTAACAAAAAGGTCTTTCATTTGGGGCTTGATAAAGTCAGAAATGAAGAGAATATTTAAAGGCAGAGTGGTAAGTCCTTGAGCTAAGGACATGGGAATCTGAGAAGGTGTAGGCGCAGGTTTCAGACCTGGGTCCCAACACCAGACACTGGATCTTATCAGTTAAAGAGAGACAGAAGAAGCTGGGAAACTGGGAAGGCTGGTCTCTTACTGAAAAGAGGCCTGCAGAACCATAGGCACTGGCTTGTGGGGACCCCTGCCCCAAAAAAGTCATTCGTGTTTTGGAAACCTATCAAATCACTTTGCGCAATGATTCCTTCATAGAGAAGGTAAGAATTTTTCAAGAAGATAGCTTTAAAAATGACAAGTACAGGCCGGGCACGGTGGCTCACGCCTGTAATCCCAGCAGTTTGGGAGGCTGAGGTGGGCGGATCATGAAGTCAGGGGTTCAAGATAGTGAAACCCTGTCTCTACTAAAAATACAAAAATTAGCTAGGCATGGTGGTGCATGCCTGTAATCCCAGCTACTCGGGAGGCTGAGGCAGGAGAATTGCTTGAACCCGGGAGGCAGAGGTTGTGGTGAGCCAAGATCGCTTCACTGCACTCCAGCCTGGACCACAGAGCAAGACTCCATCTCAAAAAAAATAAAAATAAAAATAAAAATGACAAGTACAAACATTTTCCGTTGAAACTATAAATTCCCACAACTAACTGGAAGGAAGTGAAGAACAGCGTAGTTGTTAAAGGCATCATTTAATAGTGAGAAACATCTAGGTTTGAATGTTGATTCCACCTTCCTGCCTGTGTGACCTTGGATAAATTTCTTAACTGCTCTGTGCCTCCCATTCCTCTTCTGTAACATGGGAATAATAATAGTCTCTCCTTATACTTGTCAAGATAGGCTATGTTATTTCCATAATAACCTCACAAAATCAGTGACTTAGCACACAAAAAAGTTTATTTCTCACCCACACTTCATGCCCCTCACACATCAGTAATAGGCTGTATTCCTTGTTATCATCACTCACGGCCCCTGCCCAACAGAAGTTCAATCTCTGTGCTTCCATAGTCGCTGTAGAAGAGGACCAGAGAGCACTGTGTTGTCTCACACTGGCAATTCACTGCTTCCCCTGGAAGTGACCCACATTACTAACACTCTTATCTCATTGGCCAAATAAGTCACATGTCCCCACCTAACTTCAAAGAAACCAAAAAGTGCAGTCCTACTGATGCAGGGCAGTCGAGCCCCAAAATTAGGACTTAGCCTGGGAGGGTTCTTGGCTTTTCCCAGGAAAGAATTCAAGGGTGAGCCAGTGGTGTTAGACGGCAACTTTTATTGAAGCAGCAGTGTACAGCAGCAGCAAAGGTACTGCTCCATGCAGAGCAGGGCTACCCTATAGGCAGTGTGTCCAGAGTAGCAGCTCAAAGACAGTTCTGAAGTCATATTTATACACACTTTTAATTACCTGCAAATTAAGGGACAGGTTATGCAGAAATTTCATGGAAAGAGGTGGTAAGTTTTGGTGTTGCCATGGCCGTGGTAACTCACATGGCACACTGGTGGGCATGTATTATGGAAAGCTGCTTCTGCTCTGTCCCTGTTTTAGCTAGTCCTCAGTTTGGTCCAGTGTCTAAGCTCCGCCTCTAAAGTCAAGTCCCACCTCCTACCTCATTACCACACTTGAAAGAGGCAGGAAATTGTGTGAACAGCCCTAATGACTATGACACTCTCTCATAAGGCCTGAGGCCTTCTGAGATAATGTCTATCAAAGTCATGTGACACATAATAAATAAATCTTACATGTTTGTGGTTTTGATACTAATCATAAGGCATTGCCCATTGTCAAGAAGATGTATTTTACTTTTGGAAGTTTAGGACTGCTGTATATAGTATACAGCAGCATTTAAAGTAGATTTCAAAGGCTCAATAAAGATCATCACTGCATATTTTTTGGATAAATAAAATTTGTAAGACCATATCTGGAGGACAGAATTCAAACACACAACTAACAATGCAAATATCAAACCCGCAGCATTCTACAAATTGCATATGACATTTGTATATCCTGATCCTGATTAGAACCAAGCTCTACAATGAGATGGTCGTGGTTGCAGAGGAGACAGAAACAATGCTAATGGCTCAGTAATTGAGGACATACGATGTGCTGTCTTTGGCTATGCACTTTATGTGCAGCATCTTATTTTATTCTCACAATAACCCAAGAGGTAGGTACTCTTTTACCTCCACTGTATAGATGAGGAAGCAAAGGCACAGAGAAGTCAAGTAATTTTCCCAAAGTTCTAGTAGATCACAGAGTATTCAGGAAATATGATGGAAGTTCAATACTCCTTATTGCTCTACCCTCTGGCCTCAATAGATTTGGCCTCAGATAGTCATAGGACCCTATATGGTGGTGGCCAACCAATTAATTTATTTAGATACACATATGTGGAAAACAACAAAAAAGGAGTATGTTTTTACCCACATGCTTTTGATGTTTGAATATTGCCATTGCTGGGTCTAAATTGAAACTGACCATCAGCAAGTGTCTAAAGAGCAAATAGATGCCAATCTGGTGAAGACTGATCACATTTCCATTTACAGGGATGCTAGACTTTTTTCTGGAGTTGGGGCACCCAGCAAAGCCACAGCCAGCTCTGGGTCTGTGTTGTTAAAGCCAGCTGATGTTTGTTGGGAAATCACCATGTGCCAAGCACAAGGTGAGAACTGCCCATACGTTTTTTCATTTAATCATCAAAACAATCCCAGTACTGTGGCAACTACTGTCCTTCCCATTCTCCAGATGAGGCAAGTGAGATTTAGAGGGGAGGGACCCAGGCTTCAAAGCAAGGTCTGTGTGACCCCAGAACCTCACCTATCCTCCCTTTTCAGCATGGACTGTGTGGGGTTCAGGTTAGTGGAAAGAAAAGGGAGGAATTTCAGTTCTAACTTTGCTGTTTCCACAACTGGCAGTTCTGTGAAGGTCCTTTGTCCTCCAGATGGACTTTAGTTTTTCCCCTTGTAAAATGCAGATAATGCCTCAAATATCTCATAAACCATCAATCACTCTTTCAACAACCTGGAACTTGTGATAGAAATCAAAAGTCTACTTTTTTCTGAGAAACACAATGTTATAGACATTTTGTTGTCATAGTGGCCACACATGAAAAGTTTTGAGGATCAAAACTGTAGTAGTAGTATAGAAATGTATTTGATAGTAACATCTGATTCTGTCTTATAGAATAAAATTCCCATGTTCCACCAAGAAATCTTTTGTCTGCTCCTGGGGTGAGAACTGCTGCACAAAATAACCTTAATAACTTCACCTCTAACTCTAAAATGTGACCAGTTTCTGACCACATTTCTCAATTTAAAGCGCAAAGACGGGGTAGCTTCTGTAATTTGCACATCGTGTTCCATGTATCTTGCCTTCTTAATACAAACAAAAGCTAGGCTGGTAATTACACCTAGAAGATAAAGAAAGCATTGTAAGATGTTTAAAATAGGCTGAGAACCAAGAGCACTAGTGGTAATTAACAAAGTATATCATTGAATAAAACAGGTAATTAGCCATGATAATGGAAATGTACACAGGACCTAATTAACAGAACTTTTCCTTACTATCTCTTGGGACAGACAGTAAACATTTTGTATTTAACTATCACACCCATGTGCATAATTTCTTAGTTGATTTTGGCCCAACTGACTGGGTAGTAGTCAAAACATCCAAAAAGTTGAGGTCAGTCAAAATGCTGAAGTTTTTTTATTCATACCATTTCCAGTGAGCCAAAGACAACATCAGTATGAATTGAAAGTGTTCTAAGATATCAAACCAAGATTCTTGTAAGAATTGCTTTCACCTGATGTCTGTGTTAGCAGTTCCTGTAATCCCAAAGAAATGACCCTTCATCCCACTCCTTCCTTTATTCTAGGATGGAGAAAGGTCTTAATCCCTCAGTCAACTGCAATCTGGCTTCCATGCACATTAGTTTAGCAGATCTGCTCAGGATGGAGTTTCCAATGGCCACCATATTGCCAAAACCAATAGAAGCCAGTTGATATAATTTCTCCTTATCCTTCTTGACCTCTTTAGTACTTTGGACTCTGTTGACCACTCCCTTCTTTAAAACGTACCCTGTTCTGTGATGCCCACCCTCTTGCTTTTCCTCCTACCCCTATAGTTTTACCTTCTCCATCTCTTTTACTGGCTCTCATTTTTTTGCCCTCTTTTCCCTTTATGAATAATCACTATGTAATCTCATGCCCACAACAATTCTAATTAAGCTGTTGCTTCCTTTACATTTCTACTCCCAATGCGTTAGCTCCAGCACTCAACATTTGTCTCCTGGATTATCTCATTACCTTCCTAATTTTTCTCCCTGCTCCCAATTTTCCACCCCCAGCCCAAATCCATTCTGTAGCAATATTTTCAAACTGAAGCTCTGATCCTGTTCTTTGTTCTCTGTTTTCTGGGCTTCTTTTTACAAAGTCATTTTGTATATGAGACAATTACGGTAGTTTGTAACTCCTCCGGGCTAGGTAAGTGACTCTAGAGGCTGGGGTGATAGAGGCAATAGCTGCTTTCACAGACATGTGCTTCCCAAGGGGAAAGTTATACCAAGGCCAGACTGAGGGGCAGGTGACTCTCCCAGGACTTTCCAGAAGCAGGGGTTTTGCCACCTGAAATACAATTGCTGGAATACATTCTGATCATTCATAAGCCCAGTTTCCTAGTCAAGTTTCATTCTGGCTTAAGGACAGTATATGGATAAGCATCATAAGCAGGCAGAACCAGTAATTCCCTGACTCAAGTATACCAGGAAAGTCACTGGCTGATATTCTTATTTCCTGTTATAGTGCCTGTTTCATTAGGATTAAATTAGGCTGCTAGTAATACAAAACCTAAAGTCACAAAACCTAGATTGAAGTTGATTTCTCTCTTACACAAAGTCCAAAGGTAAGCAGTCCAGGGCCGGTAAGGTGCTCCCTGATCATCAGATACAATCTCCTTCCAAGTTCCTGCTCCACTATCATCAGCACACTACTTCCAATCTGGCCGCTTGAGCCCCAGCCTTCATGTCTGTGTTCTAGCCAAAAGGAACAGCTATAAAAAGACACATCACCTTTCTTTCAGGGCATAGTTCCTGGCGGTTGCACAGACCGCTCTTCTTGCATACCGTTAGCCAAACCTTAATCACATGGTCACCTTAGCTGCAAAGGAAACTAAGAGATGTCATCCATGAGGGTCATGATCTCAGCTAAAGAATGAGTGTTCCATTGCTAAGGAAGAAGGAGCAAATTTACTTACGAAAAACCATCTTTGCTGCAGCACCTGAAAGCCCTTTGTCAGAGATGCAGACTTTTAGTTCTGAAAGATTTTCATTGACAGACTCTACTCTCTCTCTGTTTGGTACCATCATAGGTCCTTGCAGGCACTGATTTATCAGTTCTCTTCCAATGTGACATCAAGATCAAGGGGATGTCGGAGCAGATGGTGAAAATTACCACCAAGAAACAGAGGAGATTTTAAACCAGAAGGAATAGGACTGATGTGATAATACGCACAATCCACTAAATAATTTCAAGGGGAAAAGCAAAAAAAAACAAAAAAAAAAAAAAAAAGAGAGAGAAGTTAGGGCCTGGTCTGCTGTGTGGGCTTGGAGTCAAATTCCCTCCTCTGTGTACTGGGAATAAGTGGGTTATTATGAGGATGAAATGGTGAGGACATCTTTACAGCCCTACGTACCTTCCCTTGATGAACAGTAGATATTAGTCAATGTTTCTGTGACTAGCTACAAATATTACTTTGAACAAAAACCACCAGAGGCCAGGCATGATGGCTCATGCTTGTAATGCCCACAGTTTGGGAGGCTGAGGCAGGAGCATCACTTGAGACCAGGAGTTTGAGAACAACCTGGGCAACATAGTGAGACCCTGTCTCTACAAAAAAAAAAAAAAAAATTAAATTACCAGGCATGGTGGTGCGCAACTACTCAGGGTACTAAGGTGGGAGGATCACTTGAGCCCAGGAAGTTGAGGCTACAGTGGGCCATGGCCATGCCACTACACTCCAGCCTGGACAACAGAGAGAGATGCTGTCTCAGAAAAAACCACACACACACACACACACAGACAGAAAGAAACCAGGTTAAATATATAGATCTGATGTCTTCTGTTAGCCCAGTTGATGACCAAGTACCTATTATAAGTTTCATGAAGACCAGAGCAGGACCTGTTTTGTACACCATTGGATCCTTGCTGCCTAGCACAGCACCTGGCATGTGGTAGATACCCAAGAGATATTCATTGAGTTAAGTAAGCGAATGACCTGATAGAATAAGATAAATTGTACAGCAAGTAGTCAAGAACATCATAGTACAGACTGCATATGAGTTCTAAATCAAATTAAGGGAAAAGTAGTATAATGAGCAGCAGCATTTGGAAGGGAAATGGAAAGAAGAACTTACCAGTACCCTTGGTGCTGGCAAACATTTGGCAAATTTGTTTGTTTGTTTGTTTATTTTGAGACGGAGTCTTGCTCTGTTGCCCAGGCTGAAGTGCAGTGGCGTGATCTCAGCTCACTGCAAACTCCACCTCCTGGATTCAAGCAATTCTCCTACCTCAGCCTCCCGAGTAGCTGGGATTACAGGCGCACGCCACCATGCCTGGCTAATTTTTGTATGTTTTTAGTAGAGGCTGGGTTTTACCATGTTAGTCAGGCTGGTCTCAAACTCCTGACCTTGTGAGCTGCCCACCTCGGCCTCCCAAAGTGCTGGGATTACAGGCTTGAGCCACCACGCCCTGCCAAATTTGTATTTTCTTTACATACACTTAGGAGTTTGGCCTTTTATTGTTTTTGATTTTTTTTTTGAGCTTTCTAAGTCTTAGCTGATGGTTTCTAAATTAGAATAGGATAAAAAATGTAAACTGGAATTGATTTAATTAATCTGTCAAATACAGATAGGAAAAACCTGTTACGTGGACCCATGTTAAACGACACACATGAAAAATTTTAGTCCCGTGAGCTATTGGCAACTTCCTCTAGTCCGGATGATTGCTTTTCCCTTGAATTAAACACATCTAAATGTGTGTAAAATTCTCTAGCAAATACGGTGACCACATGAATAAGTCAGTAAAAGCTTTCTTTTTTACAGGTTGGGGCAATCTGTTAATGAGATATTTACAGTGTCAGTACCATCATTCCAGGTTCGTCACAGTCCATTTAATATCCACCTGGACATTGCATCATGTAACCACTAGAATGTGTAAATATTTCTCACCAGAATTACCAATAGCCCATACTGGAAAAGATTTATAAATCTTGTTCTTTTTGTTTTCACTTTTTTTAAATTTTCTTTTCTTTTTTTTTCGAGACAGGGTCTCTCTCTGTCACCCAGGCTAGAGTGCAGTGGCGTGATCATAGTTCACTGCAACCTTGAACTACTGGGCTCAAGCAATCCTCCTGCCTCAGCCTCCCAAGTAGCTGGGACTAAACGCACATGCCACCACAACTGGCTAATTTTTACAATTTTTTTTTTTAGAGATAGGATCTCACTGTGTTGCCCAGGCTGGTCTCGAACTCCTAGCCTCAAGCCACACTTCCTTCTCAGCTTCCCAAGGCACTGGGATTACAGGCATGGGCCACTGTGCCCAGTGTGTTTTTACTTTATAAGAAAATCATATATATTTGCCATTGGACATTCTTTTTTTCTCATATACATCTTGTACCCAACTTTATTTAGCTTGCTGTATAATAAAGAGTGAATCTCAATCTATAATTCAGGTATGTAAGAAATAAAATTTTATTTTTCAATTCTTTGCCTTAAGTACTATATCAAGTCTCCTATCAACAAAGATGGGAAAAAATTAATTTCTACTGACTTAGGATCTTCCCTCTTTCCCGAGAGTTGTTGCTCAATGCCAAGGATGAGACTTCCGTTGTGCCAAGGCAATGGAAGGGGGTTCATGTACTCTCCCGCTGAATCCTCTCCATGTGGCAGATGCTGTGGGTGCTCAGCACAGTCCTCTTTCCCCAGACTCCTGCTCTCATCCCCTGGCTGCTGAAGGTCTGCATCATTCTCAGGAGTATTGTCCTCCGCTGAGTGGAGCCACTTCTCTTAGAAAAGCCTGGAAGATGATGAAAAAGGCCCCTTCAGGTCCCTCTGTAACTAATGATGGACGGAGCAGCATTAAAGCTCGGCCTTCGTGCCTCAAGATGGAACAAATTCTGTGATGCAACTTCACACTGCAGGGTTCTCCATGGGATCAGGCAGAGGCTGCTTTACTCCTGAAGCCATGTCTCTGCCTAATTTCTTCCCCTGCCCTATTCTGTTTGCTTTCCTCTCTTTCAGGTTTCTCCTGCGTACACTACCTCAAGCAGTCACTTTCACAAGAATCCCCATCTTGGGCTCTGTTTCTAGGGAATTTGACCTAAGGCAATTTGCACAGAGACTCCCATCATCCTTTATCTTCTTAGGTTGTCAGTCTGTTCAGATTTCTGCTGAGTCAGCCCCTGATCCTATCTGCGAAGCTTCTTTTTTTTTTTTTTTTTTGAGGTGGAGTTTTGCTCTTGTTGCCCAGGCTGGAGTGCAATGGCTCAATCTTGGCTCACCGCAACCTCGGCCTCCCAGGTTCCAGTGATTCTCCTGCCTCAGCCTCCAGAGTAGCTAGGATTACAGGCATGTGCCACCATGCCCAGCTAATTTTGTATTTTTAGTAGAGACGGGGTTTCTCCATGTTGGTCAGGCTGGTCTTGAACTCCTGACCTCAGGTGATCCGCCCGCCTCGGCCTCCCAAAGTGCTGGGATTACGGGCATGAGCCACCATGCCCAGCCAAAGCTTCTATAAATCTAGTAGTTGCTCTGCTATGTCTGTGCCACTCTGGGGATGTGTAGAAATTCTTCTCCTGCAGCGTGGGAAATGTAATGACGCTGTTAAGGCCTGGTTTGCTGGGATGACCATACAGTCCTCTCTTCTGGAATCTTGCTGCCTCATCAGAACTCTGCCTGGCACAGGAGGCACAAGTACCTTTCCCTCTGATCCCAAAACCTTATCTGGGGAAAACGCCATCTCCTCTCCAGGGATAAGGCTAGAGAGTTAAGGGTCATGCAGGTCACAAGAATGAACCTGCGTCTTAGCTCTCACGTTATGCCTTTGACCCTCCTCACCCAGTCCAGGAGTTCTTTTCTAATTTTAGGAGCAAGAAACCTTGCTCAGACTGACTATGTTTTCAGCTAGATTAATTGTCTATACCGTAAGTCTTTTCTATTCCTTCATTGTCTTGGCCAGTGATGTTCCAAAGAGATATAATGTGGCTATAGTCGTAAACTACATATGTTTATTCTCTGTAGCTACATTTAGAAGAAAGCAAGCAGATAAAATTAATTGTAATAATACATTTTACTTAACTCAAAATATTTTCATTTCAATGTGTAATCAGTTTTAAAAATTAATAATTATTTTAACTCATTCAGGCTCCTATAACTAAATGGCATAACGCAGGTGGCTTATGAATCACAAAAATTTATTTCTGATAGCTCCGTAGGCTGGAAGTCTAAGATCAAGGCACTGGCAGGGGTATCTGGTGAGGGACAGATTCTTGGTTCATAAGTGGCAGAAGGGCACAGAAACTCTCTGGAATTTCTTTAACAAAGATACTAATCCCATACATGAGAGCTCCATCCTGATGACCTAATCACCTCCCAAAGGCCCACCTCCTAATACCATCACACTGGGGGTTAGGTTTCAACAAGTGAATTTTGGGGGGGACTCGAACATTCAGCTATACCGGTAATTAAGTGCTTTACATTCTCTTTTGCACTAAGTCTTTGAAATCTGGTGTGTGTTTTATACCTACAGCACACAGACTAACCATATTTCAGGCACTCAATGGCCATAGCTAGCTGGTGGCTACCATGTTGGGCAGTCCAAGTCTATATCATGAGTCTTCCTTTTTATTCCTTCATTGTCTGACTTTTGAAACTCAAAGTCCGAAAGAGGTTCTTTCTTCTTTGCTTTCCTGCTACTTCATCTATTCCCTGAGGCAATAAGCCCAGAATGAACAACTTCCCAAATACTGAGCAAAATTATAAAATAAAAAGAAATCCTGAAAGAGGTATAAGAAAACAAAATTACTCAAATTTTATTCTGCCATTTTTTTACTGATAAATATTATTTATTATAAATGTATCCTTTACTCATATTTTATTATAACATTTTATGTTAATATCATATTTTATATTACTGATAAGCATTATTAATTATAAATGCTATCCTACTATTGTTTATTGAATAACTACTACATACACTTCATACGCTTTGTAAACTTTACTTCTAGGACTTAAAACAACCCTATGCAGAGGTATATTCAAATTTCTCAACTGAAGGCATGGGCTCATAGAAGTTAAGTAACTTGCATACAGTCACGGATGACAAAGCCAGTATTCAAATCCAAATCTTTCTGGTGGTCCCCAAATCTTTTGCCTCTTCAATGGAGCTATACCAGCTTTTTTCTCTTCTTGCTTGAACTAGTGACTTTGGCAGAACACATAGGAAAGATTGCCTGCTGCCACTTCATGACCTGGGATGAATTAGCTCTTAGATTCAACCAACAGGGGAACCCAGCAAAGCGTGGAGCAGCTGCTGGAATGGCTGGTTCATCCATGATTGCCCTGGCCTTTGGCGCCATCTCAAAGCAAGACCATTCCTGCTTCCTGTGTCAAGAGAACCTTCATTTCTGATAAATAATGGTGGCTTGGATTGGAAAATTCATGCCCAACATTTGGCAGCCAGCTATGGGTTCACTCCCTCAAACTGACTGCCTGCGGTTCACAGACACAATTGGACATGAGTACTGGGTTCTCAGCCATCACTCGGGGTGCAGTAGAGACCTGACTTGGAGTTTTAATCCTAGCTTAATCTTTTCTATAACAATTTTCATTTTTTATCTGAAGACAGCTATTCCTTTCTGTTCTGCTCTGTGCTACACAGATCTAATTTTCTTTGTTCCTTTCTGAAAGAGGGCAGTCCACAAAGTTCAAAGGGTGGCTTGAGTAACCTGGCCTAGTTCTGTTTAATTCTTAGGTTGGTTTTCAGCATTTGGATTTGATTTTCTCCTTATTAACAATCCTAGCTTAGATCACTTTGTAATTTATCTAGTAGTATAAATAATTATTTACACATATGTCTTATTCATTTTTAGCAACTTGAGAGAAGTAACCTTGCCTTATCAACTTGGTTTTCCTCTTGTTTAATGCATTCATTCAACATGTGTTTATGAAGCACCTACAGTATCCCAGGGACACGCCAGCCACAAAAGATACAAAGAAGGACACAATTTGGTTCTTGCCCCAAGGACCCTAGAGCAATATTTTTCAAAACGTGATGTTAATTGATTTTATAGGAAAAGGAATTCCACTGGCAAGTAAATCTGGAAAATGCCATGTTAAATTACCTCTCCCCACTCCTACCCCATGCCACACACAGGACTTGTCAGAGTCTTTAATAAGCTAATGCACACTACTGCAAATCTCCAATAGAGAGAGTAAAATATGTAGTGTTTCCTGAAATGTTTTGACCATAGAACTGTTTGTATGTGATGTAATCTCATGAGACAAGTGTTTTGTGAAACGTGCTTTAAGGAATGGTGGCTTAGAGGCTGGTAGAAAAAACATGGAAATGTCATTGAAATAATGTCAGTCAACAGTTACGGAGTTCCAGCTCTGGGCCAGACTCTATATAGATGCTGAGAAGGGGGAATCAATCCTTGTGAGGAAGGTAGAGAAAATAACATCAAGGAAGAGCTCTTCTTGAGCTGACAATGGAAAGATTGGGCAAAGCTTTGCATATAGATATTTAGGAATATTTGTTGATGAAATGAGTAAAAAAGATATATCTGCATTCAACTTAATATATACTCTTATAAATTTTAATAGTCATGTTTTGTTTTGTTGGCTTTTTTTTTTTTGAAACAGAGTTTCTCTCTGTCACCCAGGCTGGAGTGTAGGGTGCGATCTCGGCTCACTGCAGCCTCACCTCCTGGGTTCAAGCGATTCTCGTGCCTCAGCCTCCTGAGTAACTGAGTTTATAGGCACACATCACCACATCTGGCTAATTTTTGTATTATTAGTAGAGACGGGGTTTTGCCATGTTGGTCAGGCTGGTCTCGAATTCCTGACCTCAAGCTATCCACCCTCCTGGGCCTCCCAAAGTGCTGGGATTACAGGCATGAGCCACTGCACCTGGCCTGTTTTGTTTATATATTAAGGATCCACTTGGTAAATATCTCAAAATGGAATTTTGGTGACCTGAGGAGTGGCTTCCAAGATGCATATGTCATATTCCCAGAACCTGTGAATATGTTATCTTAAATGGTAAAAGAGATTTTGCAAATATTATCAAGAATCTTGAGATGAGGAGATTGTCCCAGATTATGTGGATGGACCTAATGTCATCACAAGAGTCCTTATTAGAGGGATGTAGGAGGCTGGTGCAGGTAGGTCATGCTGGTAATCCGAGCTTTTTGGGGAGGATGAGGTGGGAGGATTGCTTGAGGCCTGGAGTTTGAGACCAGCCTGGGCAACATAGTGAAACGCCATCTCTACAAAAAATAAAAGTTTTTAAAAGCAGAGAATGATTTGAAGATACTACACTGCTAGCTTTGAAGAATAAGGCAGGAGGACAGACCAGGGTAAAAAATGGTTGAAATTGTGGAAATTTTGCAGTTAGCTAGTGAGGGAGACATCTTTGGTCTCTTGCAGAGATGATGTCCAACCCCATTACCACAGTAATCTCAGCCCCAAAACCAGTGGGCACTTAATATATATTTGTTGGATGAATAAATAGATACATCACTCCACCCTCTTATTCCACCTCTGTTTTTTAAAGTCCTGTCTGTAGATATGCGGGTGATTTTGTCCTTCCCACTGATGGAAGCCAGCAAGGAGTCTCTCACAAGCAAAAATGACCATTGAGATTCCATGGGGTAAAAGCAGTCTCCTGCTTTTTGCCTTCCGTTTCCCTTTTAAATTCCTGCTCGTGACCATGGCCTCCACCCTCTCTGCCAGAAAAGAGGGAGGGAACTAAAAAACAGAAAAAGAAGATGATGATAAAGTGCCTTTGTCACAGCTCAGACTTTATCTACAGCTTCCTCTTAAAGCAACCCAGCCCTTCCCCTCAGATTGTAATAACTGTACCCTTTTTGGTTGTTCTTATCAAGGGGAAAATAAGCAAAGAATCTCCTTTTCAAATGCTTTCGGAAGTCATCAGATCACATCCTGGAGAAAGGGAAAATGTTCAGACATTCGGGGAGTCAGGCCCAAAGAAATTTCACCTCCTCCTAGTTAGGACACACACCTGCTAACCCGAGAAGGTTCTGGCTCCTGTGTCTGGGGACAGGGGGGTTTACTGAGCCTCGGTGCAGCTGTTTGCTTTAGCAAAATAGCTTACACTGTAAATACCCCAAGGTATTGTGCCTGGTGTACAAAAATCTTGATTGCAGAGCAAATACATAAATCTGACCCTGACGAGGGCAGCTGAGCGGACCACATGTTCGGAAATGTTCCGTGTTTTCTTTATAAGAGCATATTGCCTTGCCCGTGGACTTAGGGGATTCTATTTTCTCTTTTCATTTCAAATCCTCAGGCTCTCAGAAGAATTGAAAGCAAGCAGGTTATACCAGGTGCTTTGAGAACAATGAAAAACTGTGGCTGGACCTAAGAACATCAGTCATTTGGGGACTTCTTCCCCCTTTTTCGAAAGAGACCCAGTGGACTGAGCCGCAGAGCAGTTATTACAGTTTTGCTGGACCAGGTGGTTTTTTGGGCAATATCTGTCATGGACTGAGTTCAGTGGGTGTTGTCAAAGATCTGGCTTATTTCATGAAAAGAGAGATAGCCAAACAGACATCTGAATTCTAAAAAAAGAAGGGAAAATAATCAATTAGGTTATGGAATTATAACAAGACCTCCGTTACACAGCATTTCCCCTCTGGTAATCACAATCTTC
Source organism: Homo sapiens (assembly GCF_000001405.40). Classification (NCBI taxonomy): domain Eukaryota; kingdom Metazoa; phylum Chordata; class Mammalia; order Primates; family Hominidae; genus Homo; species Homo sapiens. Next base: position 66,656,280 of record NC_000003.12, on the reverse strand, counting down.
AATGGAGATGCAGTTTAAAATAGGGTTTCTTTGTCCCAAGAAATACTCCAAACCAAAATTAGTGCTAAAATCAATCAACCCTAAACCAAGGACCCAACAAATTACTCAAACACTTGCTATTCTGACAGTTCTGTTCTTTATAGCCACTTCCCTTTGTTTCTTTAATTTCTTTCTCCTCCAAAAAGAATGGTTGAAATATATGGCGAGGAGAAAATAACTGATTACTGCTGGCAAGTTAACTGAACAGGCCAATTGTTCCATACGGCAAGAATCAGAAGGCCGGGAAGCCATTCACCAGGAAAGACTGATGTGTGAAAGGGCAAAGCAATGTTCCCTCTATTGTTGAGAAAGACTTTTCATGTTTGGTTCCAAATTCCTCAAGGCAGCCTGGTGTGTGGCAGTCCGGGCCATGGGGAGAGCATGCAAAAGCTGAAAGTCTATGCTTCACACACAGGATCAGGGTCGGCTTCCAGGAGACAAAGCACTCCTGTTCACTTGTGTGAGAGCAACGGAGGCCTTCCGCACAACTGTGAGCACAGAGCAACAGAATGGCCGTTTTGCTATGTTCACATGTAACCTGAATGGCCTCGGGCCTCAGCACATTCCAGTGAGGAATGGGGTCAGAGAGACACATGGGAACCCCTCCTCTTCATATGCGTGCGTGTGCACACATACACATACACGCGCACACACACACACACACACACATATATCCCAAAGTGTTTCTGGGAACCCCAGGGAGGCTCATATGCACTTAAACCAGCTTTAACTGGGTGATAATCATACAGGCAATTGGTTATTGCCAAAAGAGGATATTGCCAAAACTTCTCTGCCATGTCCTGCCAGGAAACAGAATCTCAGCCACCCTTGCCCCACTATTCCACCAGACACTCTCATCAACGTATAGGGATTCCTGTAAGGCCAGGGCAGGGCTGAGTTCTACCCAGAACTAGCAGAATGTTCTACTACCTCACACTGCCTGATGATCCTAAGCAGCGCCTTATGTGCCCACATCTCCCAGAGCCCCCCTTGCAAACAGCTGCAGCTTTTCCATGCAGCTCTCCACAAGACTTGGAATGCATACATGGGGCTGAGGAACAGACCCCACCTTGCCTGCTTATCCACCCCCAACTCCTGCCCCAGTGCCTGCTTACAAAGCTTCCCTTTGAGTGAATCATTTTTCTGTCAAAGTCTATCAATTCATGCAAATAATACACTGAGAAGCCCCTGACCCCGAAGTCAATGACAGGCAACTGGACACGCAGCCCCACTGAGGGTCAGCCTATAGGTCCAAGTGAGACCTCAACTAAAAGGGGTTCAATTTGTGTGTGGGTGGCTCTCAAGCTGACATAATTTTTTTATTATTTTACCAGTCATTTGATGTGTTTATTGTACTTGTTACTAAGAATGAGAAAGTCCTAGAATAAGAAAATGTTATAAAGGAAACAGAGCTACAAGATGTTCTAGTTCAGCGAACTTAGGGAAGAAGAAACCTCGATCCTCCGTATGCCCCTCTGCATGGTTGCAATAACAATAGCAGCTGTAATCACTAACAGGCAGCAATTGCTTTAGAATTTATGAAGCGTTTTACATACATTATTTTATTTAAATAATGAACTGAACCCAACACTGTGGACCCCTAGTTATTAAATAGCAATGAAATGGAACTTTCTGTTTCTAAGTAGGGAAGCTTTAAAAAAAAAAAAAACCTTATTAAAAATAGCTGCAAAGGCAACTTGAACATCAAAGAGCTTTTTATGAAACAGCATTTTGATGAGTTAAGTGTAAATGAATCAGAAACATGTGGATTAAATTTAAGTTAAAATAAACAAGGGTTTAAAAATTAAGAGACAAAGTAGTTTGAAAACACATCTTGTTTAATCCAAAGTGTCTGAGAAATGAAAGGGACTGAGGGTTTTACAAACCGGGGAGGTAAAAAAATGACCACCTTGTTACCTAGCGTTCTTGCCGTAGGTTCTAGTTAGAGTAAAACTCTACAGACCTTAAGTCCTAAAGGAGTGGAGACCTACAAGCTAACTTTGAAATTTTCCTTTAAGTTATGAAATTTTGTATTAATATCACATGACTAAAATCATGAATTAAGCTATCCACAGATTGATTATGCCATTGAAAGCTCCTGTTTTTCTGGTTTTTTAACTCTTCTATGGGATAACTTTCAGGAGCAGTGTGCTCAGTTTTCAAAGATGTATTCAAAGTTTGTATCTCTTTCTCTTTTTTAACATCCAAATATTTACTTTGAGACATCTCGTGATTTTTTTCTTCCTTTCAAGATTAATAGCCCAGAGACTATCAAATTTTTGTTTCCATCTTAGTTATCGAAGAGGGAATCTCTCTTCGATAAATAAAATGGAAACAATTAAAATGTTGCTAAACATTCTAAGATACACAGCTTCAAAAATCTACCTGTTTGGGGGTCCATTGTTGTTTCCCAGAGTTACATAAGAATCCTGGATTCTAGCCAGTAACCAAAACTGAGAAACTTTTGGTTTGCACAAGATGATTTCCTTTTGTCATGAGAAATTTTCACCTTATTGACCGTCCTCTACGTGTCTTCAGTGAACACTGCAATTTGGCATACCTTGCAGATGTTCCTCATGTTAGAAGATAAATGTTTCTTGCTCCAGCAGCAAACCCCATTGCAAACCTCAGGTTTCCTATGTGGAGATTCTCTGTCTCCTGGTAGTGAAATCCCCAAAGCAATTGCCACCGTTAGTCCAGCCTCAGCAGCTAATAAATAAGTACTGCTTCGTATAGTCACAATAATTTGTAGATTTCTAGGGAAAGTTTGAGGCAATGTCTGAGTGTCTGTGGGAGTTTTGTAGTACCAGTTATCCTCATTAATATTTTCTACCACATCATCCCATCATTAACTGGTTTCCAGAAACCAGAGCAGCCTGAGGCAAATTGTCAAATTGTCAAAATTTGTATTTAGTGCTTTTCCAACTTCTCATAGTAGATTCTACAACTTCTGTGCCCACACACAGACTTGGTGCCTTCATGGGGTACAGTGGAAAACACTGTGCTTCAAGTCACACAGACCTGAGTTCAAGACCCACATCTACCACTTTCTGGTGGATTCAGTAAGAATTTGTCCCATAAAATAGCACTTTTTAAATTTTCCAAGTCACTTCTCTCCACTTCATGTCTGAGTGTCCAGGGCTTACAGCAGGTATGTTGTCGAGTAACTAGGTTTTTTGTTTGTTTGTTTGTTTTTGAGACAGAGTCTCCTTCTGTCGCCCAGGCTAGAGTGCAGTGGCACGATCTCGGCTCACTGCAACCTCTGCCTCCCAGCTTTAAGCAATTCTCTGCCTCAGCCTCCCGAGTAGCTGGGATTACAGGCGCCCACCACCATACCTGGCTAATTTTTGTATTTTTAGTAGATACGGGGTTTCACCATCTTTGCCAGGCTGGTCTTGAACTCTTAACCTCATGATCCACCTGCCTCGGACTCCCAAGAGTAACTAGTTTTGACATTGCCTAGTTGGAATTGTGTCCGGAATTGGTGGGTTCTTGGTCTCACTGACTTCAAGAATGAAGCTGCGGACCCTCACAGTGAGTGTTACAGTTCTTAAAAGTGGCGTGTCTGGAGTTTGTTCCTTCTGATGTTCGGATGTGTTCGGAGTTTGTTCTTTTTGGTGGGTTCGTGGTCTCGCTGGCTCAGGAGTGAAGCTGCGGACCTTCGCGGTGTTACAGCTCTTTAGGCGGCACGTCTGGAGTTGCTCCTTCCTCCCGGTGGGTTCGTGGTCTCGCTGGCCTCAAGAGTGAAGCTGCAGACCTTCACAGTGAGTGTTACAGCTCATAAAGGCAGTGTGGACCCAAAGAGTGAGCAGTAGCAAGATTTATTGCAAAGAGCGAAAGAACAAAGTTTCCACAGTGTGGAAGGGGACCTGAGCAAGTTGCCACTGCTGGCTGGGGCAGCCTGCTGTTATTCTCTTATCTGGCGCCACCCACATCCTGCTGATTGGTAGAGCCTAGTGGTCTGTTTTCACAGGGCGCTGATTGGTGTGTTTACAATCCCTGAGCTGGACACAAAGGTTCTCCACCTCCCCACCAGATTAGCTAGATACAGAGTGTCAACACAAAGGTTCTCCAAGTCCCCACCAGAGTAGCTAGATACAGAGTGTCGATTGGTGCATTCACAAACCCTGAGCTAGACACAGGGTGCTGATTGGTGTGTTTACAAACCTTGAGGTAGATGCAGAGTGCCGATTGGTGTATTTACAATCCCTGAGCTAGACATAAAGGTTCTCCAAGGCCCCACCAGACTCAACAGCCCAGCTGCCTTCACCCAGTGGATCCTGCACCGGGGCTGCAGGTGGAGCTGCCTGCCAGTCCCGGGCCCTGTGCCCACACTCCTCAGCCCTTGGGTGGTGGATGGGACTGGGTGCCGTGGAGCAGGGGGCGGTGCTCGTCAGGGTGGCTCGGGCCGCACAGGAGCACATGGAGGTTGGGGGAGGCCCAGGCATGGTGGGCTGCAGGTCCCGAGCGCTGCCCCGCGGGAAGGCAGCTAAGGCCCGGCGAGAAACTGAGCACAGCAGCTGCTGGCCCAGGTGCTAAGCCCCTCACTGCCCGGGCCGGTGGGGCCAGCCGGCTGCTCGGAGTGCGGGGTCCGCCGAGCCCACGCCCACCCGGAACTCGCGCTGGCCCGCAAGCGCCATGGGCAGCCCCGGTTCCCGCCCGCGCCTCTCCCTCCACACCCCCCCACAAGCTGAGGGAGCCGGCTTTGGCCTTGGCCAGCCCAGAAAGGGGCTCCCACAGTGCAGCGGGGGGCTGAAGGGCTCCTCAAGTGCCGCCAAAGTGGGAGCCCAGGCAGAGGAGGCGCCGAGAAGGAGCGAGGGCTGTGTGGACTGCCAGCACGCTGTCATCTCTCAGAATGACAGTTGTTGTATGGTCTGGTATTGTTGTCTTATGACCTGTCCTTCATCCATGCAGACAGGCCTGCTGTCTCCCTATGTCCCTGCCTATGTCTTTGACCACATGGCTTCCCCTGCCTGGAATTTGCTCTCCCTTACTGGTCCCATTTTCTGCTATCAAAAACCTACTCACCTTGGGCTAAGCTTTCCCAGTGTCTCTTCCATGAAGTGCCTGGTCAGAAGTGATGTCTTCCTCCCCTCATTTCCTGTACCCCAACTGGGACACCCCCCCCCCCGCCATCCCCGCTGGTCCAATGTCATGTGTTGTCAATATTTCATCTGCATCAACACCATCTCCTCTTCTAAACCTGCTCTGTCCAATATCGTAGCCACTAACCATGTGCAGTATCTTAATTTTAATTCATTAAAATTAAATAAAATTTAAAATACTATGAGTGGATCAAGAAAAGGTGATATACATACATAATGGAATACTATTCAGCCATAAAAAGAATGAAATTGTATCTTTGCAGCAACACGGATAGAACTGGAGGTCATTATCTTAAGTGGAACAAGCCAGGCACAGAAAATCACTCATAACTAGGTGCTAAAAAATGTGTACACATGGACATAGTGGAATTATGGACAGTGGAGACTTGAAAGGGTAATGAGGTAAGAGGGGGATGGATGATGAGAAATTAGTTAATGGATACAGTGTACATTATTCAGATGATGGATACCCTAAAAGCCCTGACTTAATCACTATGCAATCTTTGCATATAACAAAATTGTACATGTACCCCATACAATTTTTGTAATTAAAATTCAGTTCCTTGGTCACACTAGCCACATTTCAAGTGCTCAGTAACCATGTGTGGGGCTACCCTATTGGACAGTAGATACGGAACTTCTCTATGGTTACAGAAAGTCCTACTGGACAGCACAGTTCTAGACTCCGTACAAGACGAAAGGCCACATCTTTATACTCTGTCTCTTTGACAAACTCTCCCAACCATTGGCCATACATAACTGCACTGCCTGGCATGTCCAGGTCTATGTGCATCTGTCAACTTCCTGTCTTTCAGGGGCAAATTCAAGCACCTTTTACGGAGCAATAATAGTAAAGTTGCATCATTTTAAGTGCTTTATATAGGCTCTCCTGACTTTTGGGGCTAGATGACGCTTTGCTGTGGAGGCTGTGCTGGGCATTGCAGGTGTTTGGCAGCATCCCTGGGCTCTACCTGTCACATGCCAGTAGAACCTCCCTGTATTGTGACAACGTATGAATAAAATGTCTGCAGACATTGCCCAATGTCCCCTGTGGGAAGCTGGCAACATCATCCTCAGTTGAGAACCGCTGGTCTAGATGGTAAGTTAAAGTTGGTTTGATGGATGAATACATGCCCCTCAAAATACTGACTTCTTGCTTCTAGCAAGTAAGATGCAAGTTTACAACTATGCTTAAGGGAAACCAAAAACTCCTTTTAATCCACTGTGTCATCCTCCTGGCCCAGGCCCCATCTGGGAAAGGTTCTGCCACCGCTTCATTTCATGTTGGGTGGAGATAGAGCCTTGGGTTTGGGACAGCCCAGATGCTACAGCCCACATCACTTGCGTTAACCTTGCCTTCTGTGCTCCAAGTGGCCGGCTTTTTCTAGACCATCTGCTTTAGAAAAACAGTCTCAGCAAATAGCACCTCTGTGGGAGGGGGCAGGGTGGGCCTTGAAGAAATGTGGGAGGAAGACGAGAGAGCTGATATGTATAGGCCATTCAGTATAGCTATAGAGGCCAACCTCAGAGGTGGGGCCACAGTCCTGAGTGGTTCCAGAGGACCCAGGGCCTAACAAGTGGCTCTGAAACCACAGCAGGCCACCTGGGAATGTTATTTAACCTTTATAAACAATCCCAAGTTCAATAAGGCAGGTAAGATGATTTTTTTTTTTAATCCGTGGAATCCCCCTAGGGCAGCTCTGTCCCCATTCTAGATTCAGCCTGTCATACCCCCTACTTTCCCTGTTTTTTTGTTGTTTGATAATTACAGTGACTGTAAACACTTCCTAAGAAAAATGTTTCTCTTTAAAGTGTTTATCTAAGGTAGCATTTTCTCACTAGCCCTATGAGAAATTCTATAGATAAAAAAGCAGGTCACACAAGTTTGAGAAGTGTTGACTACTTTGTCCCCTGGCTGGACTTCCCAATTCATATTACCATACAGAGGCTCTGAGAAGTCCTGCAGCAAAGAAATGTACATTACAAGCAAAATGCACCTTCTCTGGCTAACTCAAGCAAAAGTTGACCACATCAACCCCGTAAGTCCTTTGGGGAGAAGTAGAGATAGGAGATATGAAAATATTTTAAATGTCAAGAGTATAAATACAAATACCTTGCAGAACTCAGGAAGGCTGCTTTTTGCAAGGAAGCAGACAAACCCTGAATTATGGAACCGTTGGATTCAGGACAAACTTCACAGGCTCAAAATTCAACCAAAAAAAAGACAACAAAGATTTTTCCCCAATCAGTATCTAAAGATTTTTTTCTTAGAAAAATAATCCATTTAAAGAGTTTTATTTTAGATTCAGAATTTCAGATGTTTTCTGTCTCTCTCTCTTATGCATCCAACTCCTGACTCTAATTAAAGATGTTACACTCAGCTCTTAACAAGCAATAAAATCCAGAGAATGAGTAGTTATAGTTTATAAATAATGATCTGCATCAGGCTGGAATGATAACTGGCAGGATGTGTCCAGAAATGGTCTCCTCCTTTTCTCCTGGCTCTTCCCTTCCATAGCTCTCCTGTCAGGGTCTCCAGGAGAAGCACCATGAGGGCACCAAGCTCAAGGAGGCACCTGCCTTGCCCAGGTCACAGTGCCAGTATGTGGCAAAGCCATCTGCCCTAAAGTAGTAGAAAAACTTCATGATTATCCGTGCCACCTCCTAAAATGATGACAATGACCATGGCAACAACAATAACTAAAGTGGCTTTATGCCAGCTGTTATTAGAAGAACTTTTGTCTAGAAACAGGGGTTTTTACCCTGGGATCCATGGATGTCCAATGGGTTGGTGGTTAGAATTCAGAGCGTCCTTCAACTTGAATGGGAGGTAGAAACACATCTTTATTTTCAGTAACCTCTCACTGAAATCTAACATTTCCTTCCGTTAAGAATGTATGCAACAAACCACACCATTGAATTAGTGGTACCTGAGACTTTATAACCTGGAGAAGTTAATTTTTTTTGGTATTACATTACAGTTGTTGTAGATGCCTTGAAATATCATCTTTTTCACATCACAACTTCAAAATTATGGTAGTTTTTTTTTAATAGAAAGAGATGGATTCTCACTATGTTGCCCAGGTTGGTCTCAAACTCTTGGCCTCTAGTGCTCCTCTCACCTTGGCCTCCCAAAGCACTGGGATTACAACCACCATGCCTGGCTGATAACTATATTGAGATATATTTGGGTTTTTTTGGAATCCTATGTATTTTATTTTATGCATTAAAAATTTTTTTTTTCTGAGAAGGCTTCAGCAGACTGCCAAGGGATTTGAGGCATAAAAATGATTAAGAACACTTAGTGGGCACTATTATTACCTCCTTTCTGTGAGGCACAGAAAGCCAAAGTCATTTGCCCAAGGTCAAAGAGCTTGTAAAAAGCGGAGCAAGGATAGGAATCCAGGCAATCTAGCTCCAGAGTTCATGCCCTTAATGAAGACTCTGCATCTGCCGCTCTGAGATTCTGTGAAAGCTCCTGTACTCGATTCTAGAGGTTCCACGGTCTCCCTGTTTGTAACCTCAGCCCCTCGTCCATGCTTTACATAGCAGCCAGGTGTGCTCCATTACACCCTTTATTGGCTTCTCATTGTACCATCCTGCTGGCTGTGGCCTTTGTCTACCTCTCCAAGCCCATGTCCTTCCTCTCCCTCACTTTCTGTCTTCCAGTCACGCTAGTCTCTGATCTCTGGTCTCCACCTCAAGCCTTTGAATTTAATTTTTTCTCCAACTGGAGTGCTCTTCCTCCCTTCTTTTCCATCTCATTCTTGTGATCTCTGCTTCCATGTCACTCCTCAAAGAGGGCTTCTGTGATTAACTTATCAACATAAGTTCTCCTGGGTTTGCGTTCTATATTTTGCATATTAACCCCTTCTTGGTTCTGGGTATTGCAAATATCTTCTTCCAGCTTTTCGGCTTGGCTTTTCACCTCCTTGTTGCTCATTAAAATGAGCACAATTCTGATTTTAATGAGTCAGATTGAGCAATCTTTTTCTGTATATTTTGTGCTTTTTGTTTCTTGCTTAAGAAATCATTCCCTACCTCCATGGGTCGTGGAGATACACTTTTTTTACTTCTTCCTAAAATTATTAAAGTTTTGCCCTTCACATTTAAGTCCCCAGTGCATCTGGAATTGACTTTGATGCAAGTTGTGAGGTAGGCATGCAATTTCTTTCTCTTTCCATATGAATAAATGTCCTAACATCAATTACTAAATAGCCCATTTCTCTGCCATTGGCCCCACATGGATGCTGTCTGGTACATTTCTGTGGTCTGCTGGCCAATCCCTGGTTCAATAATACACTGTCTTATTTCATAGTGTTTGTTTGTTTTGTTTTTTTGAAACAGATTCTTAGTCTGTTGCCCAGGCTGGAGTGCAGTGGCACAGTCTCAGCTCACTGCAACCTCTGCCTCCCAGGTTCAAGTGATTCTCGTGCCTCAGCCTCCCAAGTAGCTGGGATTACAGGTGTGTGCCACCATTCCCAGCTAATTTTTGTATTTTTAGTAGAGACAGGGCTTTGCCATGGTGGCCAGGCTGGTCTCAAACTCCTGGCCTCAAACGCCTTGGCCTCCCAAAATGCTGGGATTACAGATGTGAGCCACCGTGCCTGGCCTTATTTCATATAGTCTTGATATGTGTTGTGGCAAGTCCCCTTCACTAATTTGTTTCTTAAGTAATGTCTTGCTAATTCTTGGCCTTTGCTATTCTAGGTAAGTTTCTGAAACAGCCTGTCAAATTCCACTAAAAATAAATAAAACATAAAAATAAACCTGCTTGGACATTTTCATTGGAATTACTTTGTATCTACATATTAATTTAGGAAGAATTACCATCTTTAAAATATTGAGTGTATGCATAAATAGGAACTAACTCTGTATTTATTTAGGTTGTCTCATGCATTTTCCCGACAGCTTTATTGACAAATAAGAATTGTACGTGCAAGGTGTATATACAATGTGATGATTTGATATATGTATACATTGTGGAATGATGATCAAATTAATTAACATATCCATCATCACACTTAGTTATCGTGTGTGTGTGTGTGTGTAGACACTTAAGATCTACTCTTAGCAAATTTCAAGTAAGCAATACAGTATTATTAACTATAGTCATCCTGCTGGACATTAGATCACAGAATTCATTCATCTTAAGACTGAAAGTTTGCACCCTTAGATCAACATTTCTTAACTCCCCACCACCACCACCTCATTCAATGCTTTTAATGCTTTCAATTTATAATTTTCTCCATCAGATCTTATATATATTTAATTATGTTTGTTGCTAAAATATGTAGATAGTTAGAAGATACCTTGCTATGATAATCAGGACTTTGCTTACATTTTTTGTTTATTGCTATTGTAGAGAAATGTAAATTAACTGTATATAGATATAATATTCCACAAACTTGCTAAATTCTTATATCTAATTATGGGTTTTTTGTAAGTTTGCTTTCTGCATAGACATATAATATCATCTGTAGATAATGAGAGTTTGGTTTCTTCCTTTCTAATATTTATATGTTTATTTACTTTTCTTATTTTATTGCATAAGCTAGGACCTCCAAAACAATGTTTAATAAAATAACTGTCAGTTTTTTATTCTGGTTTTAAAATAAATGCTTTTAACATTTCAACATGAAGACTGATGTTTGGTTATAGGTTTTGGTAGATACTGTTTTGGTTTGTATTAAGAAGTTTCCTTTCTGTTCTTTTTTTCCTAATTTAAAATAAATGTTTATATTTTTTTTAGAGGCAGAGTCTCAGTGTTGCTCAGGCTGGTCTCAGACGACTAGCCTCAAGCCTATTCTTAATATTTACCATATTTTTTAATCATAAATGTTTGCTGAATTTTATTTAGTCCTTTTTTTAATCTAGTGGAGTTTATTTCCTATATTTTATTAATATAGCCAATTAATAGATTTGTCCAAGGTTGAACCAACCTTGCTTTCCTAAAATAAACTCTTGGCTATTGTGCATCCTCTTTCTTTATACTTTGACAGATTTAGTTTCTTTAATTTGTGCTTTGAATTCTGTGTTTATTATCTTTAATACATTTGGGCCATTATTTTCTTCTTTTACACTGTTCTTGTCTAGTTTTGGTGTCTGGGCTTTAATAGCCTCATAAAAATGAATTATGACATGGTCCTTTTTCTATTTTTGAAGATATTTCATATGATTGGATTTGTCTGTTCCTTGAACATTTGGTAGAACTTGCCAGTAAGAAGCATCTGGCCTGGTGTTTTCTTGGTGAGAAGACTTTCTAACTGCTGAATCAACATCTTTGATTATTTTAGGATGTGGTAGATTACAAGAATGGTTGCAGTTCTCCATTCTTCTCTATATCCATGCCCTCTCACTAAAGAGAAAGTATCTATTTCCTCATTTTTTTGAATCTGGACTAGCCTTGTGAATTTCTTAGCCAATAGAATGCAGTTCTTCCACTGTCCCTGTTTCACAAGAGGCCTTTTGTGCTTCTGCTCATTATGTTAGAACCCTGCCACCAGCAAGAACAAGCCCTACCTAGCCTGTTGGAGGATGAAAGACCATCTAGTGGTCAAGCAGTTTGTCTCAACTGAGGCCACACTTTACTGCTGTCCTATAGCCAACTTTCCTTGAAGCATATTTGAGAGTGAGCCCAACTTCGATCCGCAGAGCCACCTACCTAATCTGCAGTCTGCTAGTCAGCCTCACTGAGACAGAGAAACAATCCAACTGACCTGTGGATTTCTGAGCAATAATAAATATTTGTCATTTTAAGTCATCGACTGGCAGGTTGGTAGTTAAACGGCAATAGATAGCTAACGCATAGGACCATCTATATTTTCTGATTCTTGAATCACTTTGGGTAACTTGTACTTGTCCAAAAATGTATCTATTTCATCTGAATTATTTAAAGTTATTGGCATAAAATCATTCATACTAATCTTATCTTGTATTTTTTAATTTCTGATGCATCTATAATGCCCCTTTCTAATTATTTTGCTTGGGTTTTCTTTTTACTTGATCGACCTTATAGGAAGTTTAATTATATCACTTTAGTAAACCAACTACTATCTGTTGATGGGGAGGGTCTCTATTATGCATTGTGTTATCTTTCGTTGAAGTCTGCCCTTTCCATTATTATGTCCCTCGTTTTATTTTCTTCAGCTTTTTTAGCCTATTATTTATTTGTGTTATTTTATTTCAGTTGAATCTTAGTTAATTTGTTTTCTACTTTTTCTATTTTTAAATGTAATCATTTAAGGATGCAAATTTCCCTTGAAGTAGGCCAGGCGCAGTGGCTAACACCTGTAATCCTAACACTTTAGGAGGCCAAGGCAGGTGGATCACCTGAGGTCGGGAGTTCGAGACCAGCTTGTCCAACATAGTGAAACCCCATCTCTACTAAAAATACAAAAATTAGCTGGGCGTGGTGGTGCACACCTGTAATCCCAGCTACTGAGGAGGCTGAGGCAGGAGAATCGCCTGAACCCGGGAAGTGGAGGTTGCAGTGAGCCGAGATTACACTATTGTACTCCAGCCTGGGTGACAAAGAGTGAAATTCTGCCTTAAAAAAAAAAAAAAATTTCCTTGAAGAATATTTTTGTTGCATCCCATGAGTTTTCCTATACAGTGTGTTCACTATCATTCAGTTTGAAAACCCATTATAGTTTATTTGACATATGAGCTAGAGAAGTATGCTTTTAATATCCAAACAAATGAGGGGGAGGGCCAGTTAAACTTTTTAAATTCATGGCTAGCCTTATTTTTATAGTCAGAAAGTACTACAACCAATTCATGTTGACTCACAATATATGATTGTTAAAGATTCAGGAATTTTGCAAACCCATCGTTAAGCCATTGGTAGCTTGAAATCAGCTGTGGTGGAAGTATTAATACCATGAATACTTAATGGTAATTAAGTATTACATTAATGGTAATACCATTAATACCATGAATAGGGAATCGCTGCAAATCAAGGCTTTTTTATTTCTCTTTCCCACAGAGGTAGTTTACTAGCATACCATTTGCCAGCGTGGTACCAAATGCTTAAAATTTGTTTGACGCTTGCTTTATACTCCAGTATGTGTTCAAATTTTATGCACATTGTGTGTATGCACAAAAAAGTTTATTTCAGTTATTAGTAATAGTGTTATATACATGTCCACTAGATTATTCTTGCTAATCATGTTGTTTAAATGTTCTATATTTTTACCTCCTTCATCTACAATCTTTACCACTGTTATCTTTAGCACCTACCTAGCGTTACCAGCCACTCAATACATTTTTATTAAATTAAGATGTAAATTATGGAATGACAGTTGAAGGAGTGGAAGGACTTGGTACATAGTGATAAAGAGAAGGCAGGTCCTTGGAGAAGGTATTTATTACACATCTTACATTCGAAAGGAAGGAGCAGGGGCTCTGCCCAGTCAGTGTAATTAGTGTGAACTGTGGAGGAAACTGAAGTCCAAGCCATCCGTGGAGTTGCCAAATGGAAGGAACCTATGGTCCGCACTCTCAGGGTGTCAGGCCAGCTCAAGTTTCACAAAGGAGTGAGGAAAATGGATTGAAAAAGCCTGAAAAGGCTGAGGATATCTAAAAATACTCACCATCTCTATGCAATGTCATCTGCATGTTACAAGTTTAATATTCATTTTGTAAAGTGTTTCCAGATCAGTTGTGTCTCTTAATATACATTTTTATTTTTTAAAAGGCTTAGTGCACTAGTTTAGGTTAGTGAATGGCTAAACGCCCCAAGAAATCATGAGCAATGTCAGAACAAAGTACTAGCGATACCGTTTACCCTTTGACCACCCTATTCTCAGTTTCCGCTCCAACAGGTTTTATTTATCTTAAGATTAAAGCAAATCACCAGTGGACATATAGTTATTGCTTTATGGTGAAATGCAAACACATAAGCCAGAGGCATCAGTGGTTTCTGTCACCTTTGAAAAATGATTCATTTTTATGAGCTTTGTTTTTCACTATTGGGAAACTTGATAACATTTCAGAGCCTGAAATCCTTCCCTAAGCTGAAATAACCTGTTGAAAGTAAATATAAGCCAAGCCTAGGCTAGAAGTGCAGAGGTTTAAAAAAATAAAATCCTTGAATCTAGAAACAGGTCTGTTCATATTATTGCAATAAGGAAAATAAATCGTAATTGGATTTCACTGAGTCGCAATTTACCCTGAAACTAATTGTATTATATCAGAGAAATCTAAGACTCACAAATGCACTGATTAGTACATCTGCTCCATTACTCGGTGCCATCTTTAATCAATCATAATGATCCTCCACTGGGCCTCAGAATCCTTCTCGACACAGAGCAACAAGAGAAACCTAAATACCGTTTCTCATTCTCACTGAATAAAGACGTCACCACCATTTCCCATTTTGCCATCAAACAAATGCTAAACTCATCCCCTTGATGTAGGTTCTGGGTTTTATGTTGGTTAGCTTACTCTAGGCAGTTCAGGGGTAGACCTCTAAAATTTGGTGACACCGGCGTTCTATTTCTCTTTCACAAATAATCTGTTTTTCATTTATTCTGCTTCTGTCTTACCATAACTTATTTCCTTCTCTCTGTTTATAATAGTTCATATGTATATAAGTCCTTAATCTTATAAACTTCCTTAATCTTATAAATTATATATATAAAGGAAATTTATTAAATTTCTTTAATCCTAACATATATATAATATGTAAATTATATATTAGATTTCCTTACTCATAAAATTTCCTTAATCTTGTAAAAAATATATGTAATATATAACATAAAGATTAAATTTCTGTAATCTTATAAAGCATATATATTATGTATATAATTTACAAGATTAAAGAAATTCCTAGCAGCAGAGAAATGTGCAATCAGATAAAATAAAATTGCCTTACTTTCCTTGAGATGAACTTAGTGGCTATGGTCCCCATAGAACACACTGGAAGGAGATAAGCTCTATTCTGCAGCAGTAAAAGTTGTGATAATAATCAGCAAGTGATTTTTCCACAATGGTGAGATTTTCCATCAGATTTCATTTGACCTTGCACACTGTGTTTGCAATGAATAATTAATGGTACCTATTACAGTAATGTTCCATTTAACTGGCATTGTCAGGGAATTAGATGCCCTAAATGAGTGAACTGGCCAGATACTAAGACTTACTTCCTGTAAGCGCTAAGAAAATATTTATTATAACTATTTCTTGTGCTTATTTTTCTAAAATGTATAGCAATATTTTGTGACTTATTGACATTCACTGAAACACTAACGTCTATTCATTCAACAAATGCTTAGTGGAAGGCTAATATGTGCCAAGAACTATGCCAGGTATGAGCACTATAATGGTGATTGAAAGAGACAGAGACCCTGTCCTTATTAAACCTGTGTTCTGGTGAAGAAGAGAGATAATTAAACAAGGAATCCCACTGAACTAAGTGCTAGGATAAGAGAAGTAGAGACTATTATGAGCTACATTGAACTGAATGGCAAAACAGTTGAATTCAAAGTTGTTTGAGTTCTCCAAAACGGTTTGCCTCTCCACTAAATAACCTCTGATTGCCGTGTCTTGCATCCTTGTGATTGATCTTGGTAATTTGTGGATTATTTCTTTTAAATTCAGCTATATTCTTGCTGCTTGCTATGTGTATGATGCTGCTCCTACTATTTTTCGGCTACACAATAAAGTACATAAAGTGATTAAACTAAAATTGGTAAATACATGACGTATTAGTTACCCACTGCTGCATTAACAAATTACCTCCAAAACTTATCAGCTTAAAACAATGCATAATTATTTTTGCACAGTTTCTGTGCATCAGGAATCCACAGAAATCCAGCGCACTTTGTTGGAAGCTCTACCTTAGGGTCTTTGGTCTCTGACATGGCTGTGTGCAATGAAGTGCTAGAGTCTCGCCTGAAGGCAGGATACCATTCCTCAAGGGCTGTTGGGTGGAGAGCTTCAGTTCTTTGCTGGCTGTTGCCTGGAGGCCACTCTCAGTTCCTTGTTACATGAGCCTCTTCAGCATGGCAGCTTTCTTCATCAAAGCCAGCAGAAAGAACATCTGCAGCAAGATGGAAGTCACAATCTTTTGTAACCTAACCACAGAAGTGACATTCCATCACCTTTGCCACATTTTTTTATTCCAAGCAAGTCATTATGGCCCGCCCCCATGGAGATGAATACTAGGAAGGAGATCACTGTGAACCATTGCAGAGGCTGCTTACTCCACACACCAAGCATGTATCATTGTCTTTCTTCTAGAGGCTGTAGCAAACATCACTAAACAATCATGGCACTCTTTCCCATTAAGCCCAGAAAGGGCATCAAAATCTTACCTAGCAGAGGACCCCAAGAGGTCTGTTACTGATCAGTTGGTGATATAAAACCAATTTGCCTTCTTTTATTTAAACAGTAACAATTCCAAATCATTGCCATAGGGAAAACATTTAGGTAAGGAATCTGGACAGAAACAGAGGACTCTAGTTGAAAACAGAACTACAGCATGGTACAACTATATCCATCATTTTCCAAGTCAATGGGAGCAAAGCAAAGTCTGCAGCAGAAATCAATTGATAAAGACAAATATTTTACAGTAAAGGCCATGAATCAGGAAATGCACATCACAGAATACAAGAGAAACCAGATCATATTATGGTTGAAGATATGCAAGAAGAATCCAGTCCTGACCAGGACAGAGATTATTCCCTTGGCTACACTGAACAAGAGTCATCAATGTTTTACTCAATGAAAAATACTGGAGATGGATATCAGACACCATGGACTGTCTTTTTGTTTCTGTTTTATCTCTGTCTCAGATTGGGGGATTTCCTGATATATATATATATATACTTCTTCTATATGTATGTGTGTGTTCTTCAATGTAAAGTTTATTTCTAAGTATTTTTTACTTAGTACTTAATGGGTAATTCACTAATATTTTGTGGGGAGATAATTTGAGGCTCTGTAATTATCTTATTCCTCATTAGAGTTCTAGCCCTTGTTGATGATTCTCACCTGAATCTGTTATTTCTTTGATAGTTGCTGCCAAGATTTTTAAGAGTGACTTTGGCATGAATGGTTTAAAGGAATAATTTCCAGATTATCAGCTCCTCTTTAGGTACTCCTAAAACTGCTATGTCTGAGAGCATGACTGCGACATGCGAGTTCTCCTTCCAAGGCCTCAAGGGGCCTGAGCACCTCCTTCAGGACATGCAGAGACACAACATTAAAGATGATGATCCTTCGGTTGTGTGGTAGGCTTCAGCGGGTCCTCTGCCACTTCCCCTTTCACAACTACCTTTTCCCCTTTTACAAAAGAAACGCCCACCTCTAACTCATCCTGAATCTCGTTGTGGTGTATTGCCCCAGGAAAAAGAAAAAAAAAAAAAAAAACAGGTCTCCCAACAAAGGAGTGATTCAAAATCTAGCTGTTTCAGTGTTGAGAAAGTGAAACATTCTAATGATTGGGTTACAAATCCTTTTGTAAGTCAACCGGTTTTCAATTCTTTGCTTTCAACAAAATTGAATGAGGATCTGATGGAGTTGTCAGCTGGTAGAGCATTAAAAATATTTTTGATGATAGATCACCACATAATTTTTGGCAAATAATTTGAAAGAATTGAGTGATGTTGCTATAATAAATCTCTTTCCATTCCCATCTACTAATGTGGACAAAATTTTTCAGTCCTTACAGCTATGATTAAAAGCAAAGAAAAGAAATAAAATTGATGCTGAACCCTGTCTCTTTTGGAAAGTAAAACATATTTAGAAGTTAATGGGAAGGGAGGGAAAAGCCCCATCCATCTCATTTAAGATATGCAATTACAGCCTGGCGTTGGTGGCTCACACCTATAATCCCAGCACTGTAGGAGGCCAAGGGGGGGAGGATCACTTGAACCCAGGTGTTCAAGACCAGCCTGGGCAACATAGTGAGACCCCATGCCTATTAAAAAAAAAAAAAAAAGATATGCACTTCCAATAAAGTTTTATTATAGTCTAGTTTCACAATTATCTACAAATAATACATTTGTTGTTTTCAGCAAATTAGTACAAATAATAGTTGTAATGGTAACAGAGAAGAAATTTTTAACATCTAGAATAGCAAACTCACAGAAAATATTAAAAATTTAAATATTAACTTTATAATATCTTGATTCAGGCAAGTGTGACAGTGACCAATAAGAAACCTTTCAAGCATTAAAATATACTATAGTAAAGTCTGTGCAGGAAGTAGAATGGAAACAGGAAAAGGACTGACATATCAAATCCCTAGGATATTTAATTTCCACTAGTTGAAGCTAAAAGAGTTAATCAAACCATTTTCATTTTACAGCATCAAAGTTTGCTAGAAATTATCCAGCTTTTATACAACTTGTTAACCTTATGATGAAATATTTTAGTTCTCAACTTTAAAATATGTAAGGAGTAAATAATTTTTCAAAAACATTTTAAGGGCAATGAACAACATTTGAAGAACATTGCTTTAAAAAGATACCTTTTTTTTTTTTTTTTTTGCTTTAAAAATTTCTTTGGGGGACGGGACACCACACTCTACTGAAAAAAAGAGACACATTTTTTACAGTCCAGAGGTCTTTTATTTTAACACCTATCGTGCCATCAATTCATAGGGACTAGGTGCCAGCAGCTCAGGCTCCTTCCCAATGGTTTTTACAAAGCATGCTTCTCTAGGTGGAGCAGGCAGGCACAGTTGAACCCAGGTACTTTCTCTTTGGCTTCTCTCTTTTTCTTGGCAAGAATCTTCCCCTTAACTTGTTTATTTACAACAATGCCAACAGCATTCTGGGTAACATTGTAGACTCTTCCGGTTTTGCCATGGTAACACTTATGGGGCATTCCTTTTTGAACAGTACCCATTCCTTTGGTGTCTACAATATCATCTTTCTTATAGATTCACATCTATGTGGCCAAAGGAACAATTCCATGTTCTCTAAAAGGCCTGGAGAACATATATCAGTGCCTCTTCTCTTTCTCTTTGTGTTCATCATTTTGGCGAATTACTGGAAGATGGTGGTTCCAGCCAAAAGGAAGGCTTTTTTTTTGAGACACAGTCTCACTCTGTCACCCAGGCTGGAGTGCAGTGGCATGATCTTGGCCTACTGCAACCTCCACCTCTCGGGTTCAAGCGATTCTTGTGCCTCCGCCTCCCGAGCAGCTGTGATTACAGGCACTTGCCACCATGCCCAGCTAATTTTTGTATTTTTAGTAGAAACGGGGTTTCTCCATGTTGGCCAGGCTGGTCTCCAACTCCTGACCTCAAGTGATCTGCCTGCCTTGGCCTCCCAAAGTGCTGTGATTACAGGCGTGAGCCACTGTGCCTGGCAGATACTTTTCTTTTGTATGCATTACTTCACAGAATTTCTGTGGGTACCTTCTGTTTTCTACAGCAGACCTTTGCTTGCCATCCAGGGTCTCCTCTGCCCTATCCTCAGTGTCACTTCATCCCCCAAGGCGAAGACCAGCCTTGCCCACTGGCAGTAAAGGAATCAGGATCATCTTCATAAATTATCAAGGTAAAGATCGTCCTTTGGGTATCATATTTATTACACTTAGATTCCTAGAACACATGGCCCCTCTCTGATGATAGTCAAGATCTCACGTCCAAAGAGGGAAAATATGCCCTAGTGGCAAGTCCCCTTCACCATAATTCTGTTTGAATGAGGGCCATCTGGTTAGGGATATGCACACCTTATCGAGGCCCAGTAGATTCTGGGTAAAGCAAGAATAAATAGACTCAGCATGAAGAGGAAAGTCAGCAGTGATTTCTGAATTCCACAAGCCTTAGTAAAATGCAGATTCCTTACTACTCAGCCTTAAAAAGGAACAAAATAATGGCATTCACAGCAACCTGGATGGAATTGGAGACCATTATTCTAACTGAAGTAACTCAGGAATGAAAAACCAAACATCATGTGTTCTCACTCATAAGTGGGAGCTAAGATATGAGGATGCAAAGGCATAAGAATGATACAATGGACTTTGGGGACTCAGGGGAAAGGGTAGGATGGGGTGAGGGATGAAAGACTACATGTTGGGTACAGTGTACACGGCCTGGGTTGTGAGTGCAACAAAATCTCACAAATCACCACTAAAGAACTTATCCATGTAACCAAACACCACCTGTTCCACAAAAACCAATTGAAATAAAAAAATTTTTTAAATGCAGATTCCTATACCTTGACAACAAGGTATTCTGACTTGGTGGGTGTTGGGTAAGGCCCAGGAAGAGGTGCTTTTAATGAACACCCAAAGCACAACCCCTGCCAGATGATTTTGTTGGGATTTGTCCATGTACCATACATTTAGCTGATCTTTGACCATGATTTAGCCTTTAAAAATGCATTTCTTTCTATTTCTCTCTGGTATTTAGTATTCTGAAAAGTTAAAAAAGAGTCAGTAAATTGGCTCATGGTTAAGCGAGCTGTTATTATATCAAATGACTCTAAATACTATACTTAAATATTACTTTTAGTTGGAAGCATAATCAACCACCTAGAAGATATCAATTATTATTTAAGTTTGATTGAATTTTAAAGTACTTAAGCTCCAAAGAAGAATGTGGATAGGGAAAATAGGTTTATAGGAAAAGAGATTTAATAATAAACATTTTAACTGATGCTTTCTCATTAAAAATAAGTATTATGTGATAGTGAAACTGGAAAGTTTCCCTTGTCCCCCTCACACGGCATGTGATGGGGGTGTGGCTTGCTTCTTCAATGC
The DNA here is from genome assembly GCF_000001405.40 of Homo sapiens. Lineage (NCBI taxonomy): Eukaryota > Metazoa > Chordata > Mammalia > Primates > Hominidae > Homo > Homo sapiens. The sequence goes on along the minus strand of NC_000003.12, from coordinate 66,635,416 downwards.
CCCTCCTGCTCAAACCTCTAGGGGAGCATACAGATGGGCAGGCTGTGGGTCTCCGACCCCTCGGCAGTGTCTAGGGGTGAATGTTTATAGCTGAAGCCCCAGGGCGTGTGTTACAGGGAGCTCTTGTAGTTTAGCTGTCCATAGGCAGTTTGTGTTAGTTAGCTCAATTAGACCCCTGCCTTATCACAAGGACAGAGGGCTTTCTGTATCCCAGGGTTCTTGTCTTGGTGTACCAGAAGAATCGGATCACACATGGGCTTGGAGAATGAGTGCAAGGTTTTATTGAGTGGAGGTAGCTCTCACCAGATCGGGGAGCCAGAAGGGAGATGGTTTTCCCCTGGAGTCAGGCCACTCAGCAGTCTGGGCTCTCCTCTAACTGCCCTGGCCAAACTTTGCCTCCTTCCACCCGTTGATGACCTGCTGGCGTGCCCGTGTGCTCCTACGCTGGTGTGTTCCTCTCAACATCCAGCCAACCCCCATCCCTGTTCCTCCACTCTTCTGATCCTCTCAACGTCCAGCCACCTGTGTATCTGCCTGCTAGGGTCTCAGGGTTTCTATAGGCCCAGGATGGGGGCATGGCAGGCCAGGGTGGTCTTGAGAAATGAAACATTTGAGCAGGGAAACAAAAATGCCTGTCTTCACCTAGATCCATGGGCATAGGCTTGCGGGTGTAGCCCTAGCCAGGGACCATGTCCTCCTCTACCCAGCACTTCTCTGTCCCCCTTCTGTATCAATAGCAATGTAATAATATTGAAGAAAGTCTATGGTAAAATAGGCATGAGGCTAGGACTGTGGATCTATATCAGTCCCACAGAATTAATTTGGCCATACCTGTAAACAATAATGTAAAATTTTATATTTTTAGCCAATAATTCTACTTCTATAAATCTAGTTAAAAGAAAGGCAAAACTACCAAATCTGTCCACTGTAGAACTGTGCATTAGTTAATTATAGAGTGATAACACCAAAAAATAGAAAACAACTCATATGGGGGATTGAATAAATTTCCTGGAGTAAATTTCTGGAATATTATATAGTTCTTTAAAATGTTATTGTTGAAAAAAATTAATGTTATGAGATAATGTTCAGGATATAATGCTAAATAGGTCTCAAATGTATCGGAAAAAAAGAAGAAATGAATGAAGGAAGAGAGGGAGGGAGAAAAGGAGGGAGGGGAAGGGAGAGGGAAGGAGAGAGGAAGAAAATCTAAAATACGTATAGGTAAGACAAAATACCCGGTGAAATTAAGGGTAATTTTTATTTTCTTATTTATATTTTCTTTAGTTTTTAAATTCTTTGCAATGCGTTCATCAATTTTATAATCCAAAACAGTATTGCTTTAAAAAACACATTAAGTAGATATTCCAACTTCTGAACTGCTGATTCTAAGGAAAAACAGATTTCACAGTCCACTGGCAGCGTATTTGTGCAAAGCCCCATAGAACTAGTGCATTCCCTTATTCCCCAAGTCCATGGACAGCAGCCCGACCTGCAGGCTAATACATATTTCTCTCTCTCTCTCTCTCTCTCTCTCTGTCTGTCTCTCTCTCTCTCTGGCTCTCTCTCTTTCTGTCTCACACACTCACACACACACATAGACACACACACACAATCAGAGGATATTCTAGCATCTCCCTTGAGAGCCTACTTCCTTTCCTTTGTCCTGAATAATTTAAATGGAGCTGAAGGAGGCTATTCTTTTCCATGAGCTTGATATTAAAGGGTGGAGAGAACTCTGCAATGAGTTACTTTCATTTATCAGTATTGTCATGATTAAGTGTCCCCTCTTACATTATTCATTCATTCAACAAATAGTGTTGAGTGCCTGTTAGACACTCAGCTAGTCACTCTGATGGAGACAAAGATTTAGTCAGTCTGTCATCTGTTTAGTCAGTAAATAGTATTTCCTATAGTATTTACCCTCTTTGTGACAGACACTGTGAGAGACACTGCAAATCAAGAGCTGTGATGGCACCACTGCACTACAGTTTGGGTGACAGAGCAAGACCCTGTCTCAAAAAAAAAAAAAAAAAAAAAAAGACACTGCAAATACAGTAGGAAACTAGATAGATAACGTTCCTGCCTTCAAGGAACTCACGGTCTAGTAAGAGAGAGAGAGCCAAACAGATAAATAAAAATAATTACAGCTTGTAGTATGTGTCATGCAGGGATACACAGGTGTCAGAACAGAAACTAGCACCAGTACCTAAATAGGTAAGGGGGTCAGGGAATGCCTCTCTAGGTTGGGGAGTTGGGGTGTGACTAGGAGGACAAGAAAAAACCATCCTGAGAGAGCTGAGTTCAGGCGGAGACAGACCGCAAGCTCAAAGCTGAAGCAGGAAAGGATGCGAATGGCTCTGGGAATGGGAAGATGCTCTGTGTGGTGGCATTCGGAGGTTCTCAGGAGGGGTGGGCAGCTTCTTTTGCCAGGATAGTGACTTTGACTGGATTCAACACAGAGTTTGAGTCCAAGTTTGTATCTTAATGAGCAGAATAGTAAATAGGTATAATTATGATATAAATCAGGAGAGAGCAAACTTTTTCTGTAACAATCCAGATAAATAATACATTTGGCTTTGCAGGCCTGAGGGTCTCCATTGCAATGCTCAACTCTGCCATTGGAAGGAGAAGGCAGCCATAGATGATGTGTGAAAGAATGGGTGTCGGCTGGGCACAGTGACTCACGCCTGTAATCTTAGCACTTTGGGAGACCGAGGCAGGTATCGCTTGAGTCCAGGAGTTCATGACCAACCTAGGCAACATGGTGAAACCTGCCTCTACTAAAAATACAAAAGATTAGCTGGAAGTGGTGGTGCACATCTGTAGCCCCAGCTACTTGAGCGGCTGATGTGGGAGGATCGCCTGAGCCCAGGAAGTCAAGGCTGCAGTGGACAGAGATTGCACCACTACACTCCAGTCTGGGCATCGGAGTGAGACCCTATCTATCTATAAATAAATGAATAAATAAATAAATAAATAAAAGTTGTCTTCATCTACAGAGACAGGCAATGGATCAGATTTGGCCACGGGCCATAGTTCACCAGCCCCTTATATAAAGGATAAAGAAAAGTCTTCAGGAGTGGCTGGGCGTGGTGGCTTACACCTGTAGTCCCAGCACTTTGGGAGCCCAAGGCAGGCGGATCACCTGAGGCCAGGAGTTCGAGACCAGCCTGGCCAACATGGTGAAACCCCATCTCTACTTAAAAAAAAAAAAAAAAAATTAGCCAGGTGTGGTGGCAGGCGCCTGCAGTCCCAACTACACGGGAGGCTGAGGCAGGAGAATCGCTGGAACCTGGGAAGTGGAGGCTGCAGTGAGTCGAGATTGTGCCATTGCACTCCAGCCTGGGCAACAATACTGAAACTCCGTCTCAAAAAAAAATTCTTCAGGAGTGTATGGGAAAGCAGACAGGGAGAAGATGACTTCCTGGGGTGAAAGCTGAGTTGAGTCTTGAAAAATGAGGAGACTTCAAAAACAAAATAATGGGGGAAAGGGAAATCCAAGGAGAGGGGACAGTAGGAGCTAGCCCCAGAGGCAGAAATGGCCAGTGACCATAGAGGAGTCTGAGAGGTGGTGGGAAATACATTTGCAAGTGTAGTTGTTTTATTCCTCAGCTATTTTGAGGGCTTATGAAGTAGCAGGCACTGTGCTAGACCACTAGGGACAAGGATAAGGGAGGAATAAGGAGCAATCCCTGAATTCTAGGACAGTAGAGACTGGAGGGGGTGACAGATACATGAACAGGACTTCACACAATCAACTCGGTAAGAGAAAGTCAGGGAAGGCTTCCCAGCAAAGGTAAATTTAGAAATTAACTTTTTCCTTCATTATAAATGCTTCATTTAATATTTAATTGAACAGAGAAATATATTCATATGCTACAAAATTTAACAGGCACAAAATGGTTTACAGTAAAGTTTCCCTCTCTTAAAGTGTATCCCTCAGGCCTACTCAATACTCCCTCCCCAGAGATAACCAATGTCACCGAGTTGTTCTGGATTCTTCTGGAGACAGTCTATGCAGATCCAAGCAGATGAGTATGTTTTCTAATTATTACTCAGATGATCAGAGCTGAACTTTAAGAATGAATTTTCCAGAGAAGGGAATATGGAGAATGAAAAGAATAGAATAGCAGTTGAGGCAAAGGGAAAGATGTCGTAAAGATGGGAAGTGGGGAGGGCAGGAGATGGCACAATATGTGTGTTGGGGAGCATATGACAAGCTGTCCTGTGTTGCTGAGACACTAAGCATGAAGCAGAGGCCAGGCACAGTGGATCATGCCTGTAATCTCAGCACTTTTGGAGGCCAAGGCAGGAGGATTTGAGCCTAGGAATTCAAGACCCCTGGGCAACATAACAAGACCCCATCTCTACAAAATATTTTAAAACTTAGCCAGATATAGTGGCATATACCTGTGGCCTCAGCCACTCAGGAGGCTGAGATGAGAGTATCGCTTGAGCCCAGGAGTTTGAGGTTGCAGTGAGCCATGATCATGCCACTACACTGTAGCCTGAGCGACAGAGCAAGACCTTGTCTCAAAAAAAAAAAAAAAAGAAAAGAAAAGAAAAAGAAAAATGTAAGACAGAAAGGTATGAGGGGCCAGGTCATGGCAGGACTTGATGTTGTGGAACACAGATTTAACCTAGTTGGCAGCCAGAATTGAACAGACTTTTATAAGCACAAGAGTAACAGGCTAACTGATATTTTAGGATGATCATTTTAACAGTTTATAGAGGGCAAAAAAGTTGAGCTTCTTTCATTCAGTCAGTGGGAACCAATGAAAGTTTTTAAATTGGGGAAGGGTGATATCAGAGGTGTGGCTTAGCCAAATGAATCTATCAGCATTGTCGGCAGTGTGCTGTTCTTAATACCACGCCATGTTAGATGAAGAATGACTGAAATAAACCCAAATAAGTGACAGTCCACCCATCAACCCTCAGCAGAAATGTAGGTCTTTTGTCTGCTTTTTAATTTTAAGGGAGAAATCTATATTAGCTCTCTATTGCTGCACAACAACTTATCCCAAAACTTAGTGGCTTAAAACAACACACATTTATTAGGTCAGTTTCTGTGGGTCAGGACTCTGGGCACAGCTTAGCTGGGTCCTCTGCTCCATGGTCTCTCACAGGCTATAATCAAGATGTCAGTCAGGACTGGGGTTTCACCTGAAGGCTCCACTGGGGAAGGATCTTCTTCTGTACTCACTCACATGACAGTTGGTAGGATCCAGTTCATTGAGGCCCTCAGTTCCTTGTTGGCTATTGGCCCACAGCCACCCTCAGTTCCTTGGCATGTGGTTGTCTCCCACATAGCAATTTGTTTCATAAAATGTGCAAGCTGAGAAGGCAATAGAGAGTGTCTGCTAGCAAGATGGAGGTTAAAGATTTTTATAACCTAGTTAGAGAAATCATATCTTATCACCTTTACCATTTCTGTTGGTTAGAAGCAAGTTGCTAGGACCAGCCCATACTCAGGGACAGGGCATACACAAAGGCATAAATACAAAAAGATGGGATCATTGGGGAGCAACTTGGAAGCTTAACGGGGGCTGCTCCTGCAAGTATTTTGCAAACCAGGACAAGGCCGGGAGGAATAAAGCCTGTATTGTTCCTCAGCGTGACCCAGCCAGGAAATCACCTTGCTCTCCCCTGGCCTGCTGGCTACCACCCTCATTACCATCACTGCCTTGTGGCTGTCATTTTTGTCCACTTCTCCTAAAAACAAAATGCCTCCCTCTTGCAGTTACAGCATCTGGGAATATTTAGATGCAAGACGTGTTGGGCTGACTCTCCCTGCTGGAGTCGGATTGTTGTGAGAGGCTTCCTCCCCGCTGCTGCTGCTGCAGCAATTTCTGACATGCACTGACTAAAGGAAACATCTTTAAACGTGAAGATAAATTCTGAACTGGTCCTTTACTTTTTTAAACAAAGTGGACTAGTTGATTTGGTGAAGGATTTGCCTCCACTCCCAGCAGTGCCTTCCAAACTGTAGTGTTGCCTTACATCAAACAATTCACAAAAAGCCTGGAGAAACACAGCACTCAGATCCCAGGGTGTGTAAATGGCAATTCCAAACCACTCCAGGCAGATAGACATGACAACAGCTGCCACTGAGTGTGTATACGGTGTGCCAGGGATTGGGGTAAGAGCCTGACCTTCATTATCTTGTTTTAGTTCACTAACTGAACAGAGTTCATGCTACTATCCCCACATGAGGGAGGAGAAAACTGAGATCCAGAAAGATTAGATGCCATGCATGGATACTCCCAGCTAGTAAGTAGCAAGCAGTATCAGGATTCAAACATAGTCAGTCTGATTTGAAAGTCTTGCACTTCTAAATTGGGGGTCAGCAATAATTTATCATTATGAATAGTCATGTTTTGTCCTCAATTATAAGGAGGCCTCATCAGCTAAACATAATTTGGGGAGTGGTAAAATAAAGGTATCCACCTAAAATAAATCCACTTAAAATGGAAATTAAAACGTCAATGTAAAAGTGGAAGGAATTATTTTTATTAGAACTGTATCTTTTAAAATAAAAGTAAAAATAGAAAAAGCTTATTTAAAAAAAGAATCTTAGGTCAATTTTCAGCAAACTTTACTGGAAGGGCTAGATAGAATAACTGTCACCAAACTTTTTCTGGAAGGGCCAGATAGCAAATATTTTTCACTTTGTGGGCCATGAGGCCTCTGCTGCAACTACTCAAGTCTGTCATTGTGGTATATAAGCAGCCTCAAATAATAAGTAAACGAATGGGCATAGCTGTGTTCCAATAAAGATTTATTTATAAAAGCAGATGGTGGCCAGATTTGGCCCTCAAGCTGTAGTTTGCTAACTGCTTATTTAGATTATAATGTAATTTATACCAATTGTTAGGAGAAGCAAGAATCATGTAGTTTTAACATAATATGTCTGACAAAATATATGATAACATTTTGTGTGTTTACAATCATGATAACATAATATAACATAATCCCTTCCTATTGACACCTGTAGTTTTATCAAAAGAGAACCAATTGTGAAAAACTATTTGAGGGCCTTATTGCTTTTCTCAAGGTCTCTGTCAATCCTTGGATAGTCAAATAATTATCTTTTGAAGCCATTATAACATCATCCTTCTGGATTTTCTGTTCTTCAGTTGTAAGCTGCTCTTCTGCTAGAACCCTGTTTCTACGTAACTCTGCGTAATTCTCTAACATCTTTTCATCGACTTTAGGAAATCTTGTGCATTTGTAAGATTTGCTGTTCACTTTCAAGAAGCTTTTTATTGGGTTTGCCTGTTTGCTCGGTGGACATCCAATGGGCAACAAGAGAGGAGAAACAACTAAAACTGTAACATAATGAGCAAAAAAGATGCTGAGCCAGGAAGAATTTGAGTAGGAACCAATTTTTGGTGATCATATCATTGGTGAATATTTCCTGTGTTACTGTAATCTTAGCTTCCCTCCACAACTGGGTACCTATAGGCTCTCAAATAACAAATTCTCAGGTAATGAAGATCTTCCCTGTATAATTTATCCATCTATTTTATGCATACATTATTCTCTGGCATTCAGTTTTTCTGTTATATCTATCATTTATTGAGCATCTACTCTGTTAAAAAAAAAAAGTCATTTTACTTATGTAAACATCCCTGTTTCCAAATTCTTACTATGCACACTGAGTAACCCAGTAAGTTGAGATGAATTTTCCAAAATAATTCTCATTATCTAAACTCAGGAGCTGAATAGCTTCAGAAAACACTATATTCCTTGCTAGACAAACTTAATGTTTTTAGTCTCAAGATCCAATTTGTCTTTGGCTAGGAAGGGATACTTGTTTGTTTTTCCTGTTTCTTCTAGCAACTGAAAAGAGTCTTTTACTATGCTCATCTTATAGATGAAGATTCTGATACCCTAAGTAAGCAAGTAACTTGCCCAAGGTCTCCTGGGCAGTAAGTGGTAACGTGAGAATCAAAGCCAGGTCTTGCTGGCTCCAAACCCCATGATCTTTCTTCCACATGCCTTTTATTTTTTTATTCTTATTTTTTATTTTTTGAGACAGTCTCGCTCTGTAACCCAGACTAGAGTGCAGTGGCGCAATCTCAGCTCACTACAACCTCCACCCACCAGGTTCAAGCAATTCTCATGCCTCAGCCTCCCGAGTAGCTGCGATTATAGGTGTGCACCACCCCACTCAGCTAACTTTTGTATTTTTAGTAGTGATGGGGTTTCACCATGTTGGCCAGGATGGTCTCAAACTCCTGGCTTCAAGTGATCTGCCCACCTTGGCCTCCCAAAGTGCTGGGATTACAGGCGTGAGCCACCGGGAATGGCCACTTGCCTTTTAAATATGGAATTCACGTGGATGAAAAGCCCAGCATAGTCATCTATCACAAAGTCAAAGTTACAGATTCCTGTGCTCTTTAAATCACATTTAAATTAATAATGCTAATTTTACATCATAAGCGGTGATGTTGCCATTTTTTTTAAATTATGCGATGCAGATTTCAGTGTTGAAGGAAATGTAATTTGAGCATAATTTCTCTATTTATTATTAAAGTCGTTCTCGAATGGTGGTCCCAGAAGAGCAGCATCGGTATTACCAATAAACATGTTAGAAATGCAGCTCTAAGGCCAGGTGCAGTGGCTGACGCCTGTAATCCCAGCACTTTGGGAGGCCGAGGTGGGTGGATCACTTGAGGTCAGGAGTTCGAGACCAGCCTGGCCAACATGGTGAAACCCCGTCTCTACTAAAAATGCAAAAATTAGCCAGACATGGTGGCAGGTGCCTCTAATCCCAGCTATTCGGGAGGCTGAGGCAGGAGAATTGCTTGAAATCAGAAGGCAGAGGTTGCAATGAGCCAAGATCGTGCCACTGCACTCCAGCCTGGGTGAAAGAACAAAACTCCATCTCAAAAAAAAAAAAAAAAAAAAAAGAAATGCAGATCTAGAGCCCCAGCCCAGATAAGCTGAATCAGAAACTCTGGGAATAAGTCCCATCGATTTATAGTTTAGCAAGTCCTCCAGGTGATTCCAGTGAGTGTTCAAATTTGAGAACCACTGAATTATAGGATGAACAACCATAGTCTTTGGTGATTCTTGCAATAAGAACCAGAATGTATGGGTGTCAGAAGTCTGGATGACTTGTTGACTGTCAGAAAGCTCTGATTAATGCTCATATTTCCCTTCTAGTCATGTCTTCATTCATCTAACAAATACGTCCTCAGCCCCAACTCTGGGTCAGGCATGATGCCAGGCACCGGGAACAAGGTAGAGAAGAAAGACAGGGCCCTAATCTTCCCAGGTTTACAGTCTAATGTGGGTGACAGACCAGAACACAGTCAATTCCAGGACAGCATCGTCTGTGCCTTGCAAGATAAACACAGGGTGCTAGGGGCAAGAGGTTGTACCTAATCCAGCCCTGCAAGTCAGGGAAGATTTCCAGATTAAACAATTCAAGAGGGTAGGAGTCCACAACATTCTGAGAAGGCCTAGTGCCATGGGAGGTTGTTTTGTCTCTCCCACACATGCACAGCCTGCTTGAAGCAGCTTCAGATGGAAGAAGGGGGGATGCAGAAAACTCAACCTGTTGCTTCCAACTTGTTGGAACACTTATCTCCAACACGCATTAAAAACATATGGAAGGTCAAAGCTCCATGTGTTCTCTTGGTAGGGGACCAGAAAACTGGATATGCAAATATGCATACCTCCCCGATCCCAACTGCTGGACTCTTATTGCCAATTTATGTAATTTCCTGTGCTTACTTCAAAATAGTAAGGGGGGAGGAGACACTGTGAACACCATAATCAGGCTGCTTAGGCTAGCGGCTGCTTAGACTAGCAGCTGCTAGCACATTCATTCCCTTCTTCCTTGATTAAAAAATAAAAATCCATTAGAACCTGAGGGGAAATGCATCATTTAGGAAAGGAATGAATAGTTTCTTCTTAAGAGAAATCAGTTTAGGTCCAACAAGCCATCCACAAAACAGGATCCCACTTACTCCTTCATCCAGCAAAAGTGCTTTGAGTGCCTACTCTGTGCTGGCACTGAGCTAGGTGCTGGAGAAAGGACAAGTACAGGAAGGGCCCTGACTGCAAGGAGATTAAAGGACAGAAATTGAACACCACTTTCTTTATTTTTACTCTTTTAGGCAGGTCTCAGTCTGTCACCCAGGCTAGAGTGCAGTGGCACAATCAGACCTCCCTGCAGCCTCGATCTCCTGGACTCAAGCAATCTTCCCACCTCACCCTCATGAGTATTTAGGACTACAGGCATGCGCTGCCACACTGGCTATATATATATATATATTTTTTTTAATTTTTGTAGAGACAGGATCTCACTATGTTGCTCAGGCTAATCTCAAACTCCTGGCCTCAAGCAATCCTCCTACCCTGGCCTCCCAAAGTGCTGGGATTACAGGCATGAGCCACCATGCCTGGCCTGAACACCACTTTAAATGTGATACATATTTAAAAGAAAAATGTTATTAAATAGTTCTATCATAAAGGCACATGCTGATACATGTTTAAAAGAAAAAATTTACTAAATAGTTCTACCGTAAAGACACACCCACACATATGTTTATTGCAGCACTATTCACAATAGCAAAGACATGGAATCAGCCTAAAAGCCCATCAGTAGTAGACTGGATAGACCAGGTGCAGTGGCTCATGCCTATAATCCCAAAACTTTGGGAGGCTGAGGCAGGCGGCTCACTTGAGGTCAGGAGGTTGAGATCAGCCTGGCCAACATGGTAAAACCCTGTCTCTACTAAAAACACAAAAATTAGTAGGGCATGCTGGTGGATGCCTGTAATTCCAACTACTCGGGAGGCTGAGGCAGGAGAATCTCTTGAACTTGGGAGGCCGAGGTTGCAGTGAGCTAAGATCGTGCCATTGCATTCCAGCCTGGGCGACAGAGATACTCCATCTCAAAAAAAAAAAGAGTTGCACAACAGATCTTTGTGGTGACAGAGCAGTCCTGTGTCTTGATTGTGGTGCTGGATGCACAAATCTACACATATTGTATAATTGCATAGAAGTACATGCACACACACAATATACAAATGTAAAGTGCATGTAAAACTGCCAAAATCCAAATAAGGTCTGTGGATTATACCAATACTGCTGTCCTGGTTTCATATCGAACAGTAGTTTTGTAAAATGTTTCCACTGGAGGAAACTAGGTGATGGGTACACAGGGCCTCTGTTTTATTTTTGCAACTTGCTGTGAATCAGTAATTATTTTAAAATAAATAGTTTTGCTGGGCACGGTGGCTCATGCCTGTAATCCCAGCACTTTGAGAGGCCGAGATGGGTGGATCACCTGAGGTCAGGGGTTCAAGACCAACCTAGCCAAGATGGTGAAACCCCGTTTCTAGTAAAAATACAAAATATTAGCCGGGCATGGTGGTAGGCACCTGTAATCTCAGCTACTGGGGAGGCTGAAGCAGAGAATTGCTTGAACCTGGGAGGCGGAAGTTGCAATGAGCCGAGATCACGCCACTGCACTCCAGCCTGGGTGACAGAGCAAGACTCCGTCTCAAAAATAAATAAATAAATAAATAAATAAATAGTTTTCAAGGTAGTTTTAAACAGTTTTAAAATATATGGAAATTTTAAAATAGTTTTAAAAAGTAATTTGGAAATTATGGGAATGACCTGATGAACAATTTATGCTGCAATATATTACTCAGTAAGCAGATTTGTTCCACATATTGTTTCATTTATTTAGAATTAAAGGGTGCTCTAGACAGAATTGTGTCCTCCCAAAACTTCATACATTGAAGCCCTAGCCCCAAGTATGACAGTATTTGGAGATAGGGCCTTTGGGAGGTAATTGGGTTCAGATGAGGTCAGGAGGATTGGGCCCTTGTGATGGAATTAGTGCCCTTACAAGAAGAGACACCAGAGATATTCCCTCTCCTTCCTCTCTCTTTCTCTTTGTCATGTGAGGATATATCAAGACGGCCCTCACCAGAATCCAACTATGCTGGTGCTGGATCTCAGACTCCAGTCTTTAGAACTATGAGAGAAAAAATGTCTGTTGCTTAAGCCACACAGCCTATATGGCAGCCCAAGCTGACCAAGCCAAAGGGAAATTATTGCTCTTTCATTCATCCATTTGCTCATTCATTTATTTGTTCATATTACGCAGCAGTGACTGCATCTTTGGACTATCACCCCTGGTCCTTGAGACCATAAAACACACAGGGTTTATGGTCCAGGGCCTATTTCCCTGTAGCCACTCCCTATTGCTGGGGAAGGATAAAAGTGACCTGGATCCTTTCAAGATCAATTTATTCTAAAAAGGAAATAATAAAAAATACTCAAAATGCACAAGACTTGTGAAGAAAATGAAGAAAATCCACAGAACATGCCAAAGGCTGAGGGAGTCCATCCTTGGAAAGGTGTCCCCCAGGAGGCAGAAAGAAGTCTCAGCCCTCCTAAAAAGGTATAAGCCAGGAAGCAGAAGGAAACCCCAGACGAAGGCTGACTGGGCCTGGCTGGGGATTTAAAGAGGATGCTCCCTTTAGGCATTTGGATCCTGGAGAAATGATAAGAGCAGATGAGTTGGAAAGACTTAGGGAAGAGATAGGAAGAACAAGAACAAGTTGGTGAAGATGCAGTGGAGGCAAAGACATTCTCACAGCAAGCCATAGCCTGTGTGCTTTAGGCCTTCCATTCATTTTTGTCTGATATTAAAATCTGATCCCTGCTTTCTTTCTGTTAGCAAAATAAAATAAAATAAACAAAACACAACACAGAGGGCTTCCCCAGATAGAGCAGGGACTCTAGGAGAGACCCACAGACAGTAGCCAGGAGAGATGGATAAAGGGGAGTAAGCCAGGCAGAGAGACTGGAGTGCGTGAAGGCCCTGAAGTGGGACAGGGCACGAGAGACAAAAGGAATCCAGCATCAAAGCCACAGAGAGAGCAGAGGAAAGTGGGAGATCAGAAGAGGCTGAGGAGAGAGGCAGGGGCCAGGTCTCCAAGGGCCTTTTGGGTCAGTGATGTTGCCCTAGCATGATTTCCCTGCACCCATCTTCACTTTCAAATATGTCCTTTAACCATACTTCAATAAAGTAATTTTTAAAAAAATTTTAAAAAAGTCCTTTGGTTGATCGTTTCAAGAGTCACCCCACATTTGGGCCATGGGGAGGAATGTAGGTTACCTTGGGATGATGGGCAGCATTGCAGGATCTTCAGCTAGACTGTTAGGTTCTCATTTTTACTTTAGAAAGACCTCTCTGCCTCCGGGGTTAGAGCTACTGCTGAAAGGGAAAATAAGCTGACCAGAAGATACTTGCTTATTCTCCACAGGGAGAGGAAAAAAAGGGGGGGTGAGGTGGGTAAGGGATGGAGAGAGGCTGCCAGGCCTTCACCACCTGTGGGAATCTATGGGCCAAACTCTACCCCAACCCCAAACCCTCTGGCAGCCCCCTACCTTCCCACATCCCAACCCCACCTCTCCCAACTCCTACCCTGCCACCTCCCACTTCCACTCTCATAACAATCAGCCTAACAAAGGACAACCCTGGAAGGGGGTGAGTAGAAAACAGGGTTTCTATCCTTTATTGCTTCTGCTGACTTGCTCCTATTCAGACCTGGGGCTAAAAAGCCTGTCAGTCTTCTATCTGGACACCCCTCCACCCATCCTTATGCTTGAATTTTCCTCTGCATAGCAGTTAGAATCTAGTGTTATCTTTGGGATGAATGTACCAATGCTTGAAATGATCATTATGAGCAGAGATTCCCTGCAGGGTTAGAAAACCAGACTTTCTCGCAGTTTCCCTCCTGTACATTCTAACCAACTCAGTCGAGTGGCCCAATCTTCCACTTCAAAGAATGCTCTGCTCCCTTTGTTACAGAACTTCCTATGGATCAGTAAAATGTCTCTAAGAAATTCTGCTTTCTCTTCTTTATCCTTTTATCTTCATCCTCACCCCACCATCCATTTGATTTTGCCAACTACACAAGTTGTTATGGATTGGTGATTTTTGTTTTGTTTTGTATTTGTTTTTGTTTTTGTTTTTCAGACGGAGTCTCGCTCTTTCTCCCAGGCCGGACTGCAGTGGCGCTATCTGGGCTCACTGCAAGCTCCGCCTCCTGGGTTCACGCCATTCTCCTGCCTCAGCCTCCCGAGTAGGTGGGACTATAGGCGCCCGCCACCGCGCCCGGCTAATTTTTTGTATTTTTAGTAGAGACGGGGGTTTCGCCGTGTTAGCCAGGATGGTCTCGATCTTCTGACCTCGTGATCCGCCCGCCTCGGCCTCCCAAAGTGCTGGGATTACAGGCGTGAGCCACCGCACCCGGCCGGATTGGTGATTTTTTTAACATCCCCAAAACTTTCCTCTGTGACCTTGTCTACAGCTCCTGTTCTCAAGAATTTGTTATAGTGCGATATTCATTGTTGCGCAAAGCACCGTCAAAAAAGGAAACATGACTAATTTTCCATCTTTAATCCAACTTTAAATTTCAATCCTTTTTTTTAGTGTAAAACCAAGGTGGTTTCCTGTCCCTTTAAGTCAGGCCTTGCAGAGAGTGGATCTGAGTTTGTACTGGCATGATCTTGGAAGGAGAATTATTTCCCGACCTTGCTAGGGAAAGAAAGCTTTCTGGCTATTCGTTGGACAAGGCAATTTTGATGTAAACTGACATTTCTCAGATGCCCATCTTGGGAATATTCTATGTGAAACCCAAAATTTTTGGCAGCTGAAACCTCAGCCCAACTGCCAGGCCCTGGGCAGAGATAAAAGAATGTGGATGAGTGGCAGGCAGATGGGGTTACAACAAGAGGCCTTTTCTCTGGACCCAATGAGATGAGCTGGGGAAGGGGTCAGGGAGGATGATGGGGGAAGAGCAGTGCCTCACAGTGAGGGAAGCAACAAAAAAGGCACTTTTTCGGCTTTTCATTGAGAGGGCCCGTTTCCCCTGTTTTCCAGCCCATTTTGAGCACCATTCATTGAGAGGCGCCTTTCTTCTGAAGTCTTTTATCCCAGAACGCTGAAAGCGTTCCCGTGTCCTCCCTGCAAAGAGGATTCTCCCACACTCCAGCCCAGACCCGGACAGATTGGCCCCCATCAGTTCCAGGCCTGCTGAGCGCAGTGGCTTCCTCCTCGGCTTCAGAAGAAGTTTTTGTCGTTTCTTTTTCTTACATTCTTCAAACCAGGAATTTAAAAATTGGAAAAGGTAATTTCAAAAAGTAGAAACAAATAAAGGACTTTTCTTCTTCTTTTTCTTTATTCTTTTGCTCTTTGGGAGAGGATATAGAGGTGTTAAAATAGGGAAAATGTGTTGGAATTTTTGTTTGTGTTTGTTTTTGTTCTGTTTTGTTTTGAGACAGAGTGTGGTTCTGTCGCCCAGGCTGGAGTGCAAGTAGCACGATCTTGGCTCACTGCAACGTCACCTCCCGGGTTCAAGTGATTCTCGTGCCTCCACTTCCCTAGTAGCTGGGATTACAGGCATGTGCCACCAAGCCCAGCTAATTATTATT
Organism: Homo sapiens; assembly: GCF_000001405.40. Taxonomy (NCBI): domain Eukaryota; kingdom Metazoa; phylum Chordata; class Mammalia; order Primates; family Hominidae; genus Homo; species Homo sapiens. Next base: position 66,619,942 of record NC_000003.12, on the reverse strand, counting down.
ATTTTTTAAAAATATTTAGTAGAAACAGGTTTTCGCCATATTGGCCAGGCTGGTCTTGAACTCCTGGCCTGAAGTGATCCGCCAGCCTCAGCCTCCCAAAGTGCTGGGATTACAGGTGGAAGCCCCCATGCCTGGCCTGGGAAAATGTGTTTTAATTCACTTTGATTTGTTTTCTCATATCTTCCATATAATTGGAGAATTGCATTTATCTTTTCTTTAATAATAAGAATCAAAAGGAAAGTCCTCAAACACTTTCTTTCGTCATCAGGTTTTTAGAAGTTCTGATACCTGAAATATGAATGTATCTAAATCTGGACCTCACAAGCCAGGGTGCGTAATGGTAACACACAGTAGAACTCTCTCCTTCTCCGCAGGCAGCTGCCAGGATGGAAACCCCAGCTCCCCTGCCTCCTGGCTGTGTGACCTTGGGCAAGTTGCTTTATCCCCCTACACATCGGTTTTCTCCATCAAGAAATTGGAATACTAATAGTACACATTTGATAGGATTGTTATGAGGATTAATTGGGGTATGGACTAGGAGATGCTCAAGAAATATTAACTTTTATGTGTACTATATTACTATATATTTACTGTATATTAATGCACGGATTAATGTACATCCATGCATTGCTTAACAACAGGGATATGTCTTGGTCAAAGCAGTTTTGCTATTGTGTGAACATTCTAGGATGCACTTACGGCACCAACCTGGACGGTATAGCCTGCTACACACTGAAGCTATATGGCATAGCCTACTGCTCCTAGCTACAAACCTGTAGATCATGCTACTGTCTTGAATACTATAAGCAACTGTAACACAATGGTAAGCATTTGTGTATCTGAATATATCTAAATACAGAAACGGTACACCAAAATTATGGTGTTATAATCTTATGGGACCACCACCATACATGTGGTCCATGTTGACCAAACATCATTGTCTGGTACGTAAGTGTGCATATACATATATATATATATATATATATATACACACACACACACACACACACACACACACACGGGTGTGTGTGTGTGTGTGTGTGTATTTCTTTCTCGGCAAAGATTGATTATCTTTCATTTTTCTAATAAAGGGAAAGCTGGGAACCCTTGCATCTGAGGCCAGTTCACTTCTTTGTTTCAATGTTTGACCCCACCTGAGGCCCTTTGGCAGGGATAAGCCCCATATAGCGTGGCTCACAGGACAGAACTCCAAACCAATGGGTATTGGGAATTGCTCACTTAAATAAATATGAGTCTCTGGATTTTTTTTCAAAGCAATTTCCAGAACAGGACATCTTAGCTAAAAGGAAAGTCCCAAAGCCTCTGTGCACACTTCTATCATTGCACTGAAGAGCAGTTGGGTGGGACATCCCAATTCTGTGGCCTGTGGAGTCCTTACTCCTTCCTTCAGGGTCCCAAAGTCATTCAAGGTCAGGTGGGCCTCCAGGAAGCTAATGATCCTTTGCAACCAAATCTAAACACCCGTCCTGAGGGAGAATGGATTTTCCAAAGCCCTGCCCATGGGTTTTCCAGTGTCCCAATTTTATGCTTGTTATTATGACTTAGAAAAGCTTGCTGGGTTTGTTTTGAAGACAAGGGAAAAAATAACATTACGCTATTTTAAACGGCTGCAAATATTTGAAATATGACCCAAGGCAGTAAAAATGCTGTATTTCTCAAACCACAAACCCTACTCCTTGTTAAAATCCAATTGCCATCTGAGAGTGGGATGAGGAGTAGGGATGCCAAGTCCACAGAGCATCATACGTTTCATCTTTCTTTGGGTCACTGAAAAATACTGTTTTCTCCACCACTTTCATTCCTGCATTTCACAGCCTGAGTTCATAAAACTGCTGAAAAACCATACTCCAAATGTGATTTGGGCTTTACTCTCGTGATGTTTGAGACCCTGCAGCTTTTAGATCTCATTATGACTTGGTTTGGGAGGACAGGGCTTGGAGAGGACTGAAAAGGAAATGCAGATCATCTCTGATACTTCTTTGGACATTGGAGATGGAAAAGCGTAGGTCATTTGAAGAGCGGCTGCCATTGTTTTCTTCCTGTTTCTCTATGGTGCTCAGAGCACAAGAACTAATGCTGGTTAATTTGGGGGTATGCTGTGCCAAGCACGGTGTCTGACACTGAGCATTCAACAGACATTCGTTGAATGAATGATCTATTTAAAGAATGAGGCCTAAAAGGGAAACGAAATTGGCATCACTAGCTTTATTTTTACTGTATTTAAGAAAGTGGACTGTTTTATGTTAACTGTATAGTTTGAAATTTAAACACAATATTTGGGCCTACATAAATAGTTGGAAAAGGTAAAATGTCATAACACTGGGTGTTTGTTATTAAAGTTGGAGCTTGCCTTTGGATTATGACAACTTGATTTAAAACAAGGAATGGATTGTTCCTTGCTCTGCTTGCTCTAAATTTCAGGATTTTGCAACATCAAATCTTTCCTTGGGATATAAACAGATGGTGACAAAGGGTAGGTGTCTTGAGGAGTCGTTGCATCTGAGCATTGACCTTTCTGGGTGGTTGAAGATAAGATGGAGAGAAGCTGACCCCAGACCCAGCATAGAGCAATTCTGATGGCAAACCCACCCAACCTATGGTGTCCCACATTAAAACCAGCTACTTCTCTCAAAGTTCCATAAGTGGAAGACTGGAATGTAACCAAGCAGTAACAGGGAAAAGAGAAGTGACTTTTTTTCTCTTAACTTTTTAATTAAAAATTCAAGGATATATGTGTTGGAGTTTCATGACCTTTACCTCAAGAGGATAGTTTTTTTCTCTTCACCTCAGCACCCCACCAAAACACACATAAGACCTGCTTAATGTCAGCCTTTATGATTATCACAGAGCAACAAAGCTTGAGTATGAGGAGGAAGACCGTCCTCCACTCCAGGAGGCTTGGAATTCTAGGGCCCCACCATGTTGGTGTAGTCACATTTTATCTTCTATTAAGCCCCTTCTTTATAAGCTCGTGATAACTGCCTATCAGCTGAAGTGTCTGAGATGTGCTACATCCTTAAAATTAAGAGTTCTGTTGAAGGGTGGGTTAACAGATACAAAATTACAACTAGAAGGAGAAATGAGTCCTGGTGTCCTACAGCACTATAGAGTGAATGTGGTTAACTATAATTTACTGTATATTCTCAAATAGCTAAAAGAGGGGATGGGGGGGTTGTTTGTTTGAGAAGGGTCTCACTCTGTCACCCAGGCTGCAGTGCAGTGGCATGATCATGGCTCGCTGCAGCCTTGACCTCCCAGGCTCAAGCAATCCTCCCACCTCAGTCTCCTGAGTAGCTGGGACTACAGGTGCACGCCACCACACCCAGGTAATTTTTTGTATTTTTGGCAGAGATGAGGTTTCGCCATGTTGCTCAGGCTGGTCTCAAACTCCTGGACTCAAGTGATCCTTCTGCCTCAGCCTCCCAAAGTGCTGGGATTACAGGTGTGAGCCACCATGCCCAGCTGAGAGGGGATTCTGAATGTTCACAACACAGAGAAATGATAAATGACTGAGGAGGTGGATTTGCTAACTACACTGATTTGATCATTACACATGGTATACATGTGTCAAAATGTCACTCAGTTTCTCATTAACGATGTACAATTATTACATGTCAACTAAAACTACAAGAAAAAAAAGTTCTGTTAAAGGAAAACAAAACAACAAGCAAACCAAAAGTTTAAGGGAAAGAGACTTTTGGAAGAATGAGATCAAGTTCAGATCCCAACGCACCACTTGCTGCCTGTGTGGATTTAGGCAAATCACTTGTTGCATTGAGCCTCCCTCTATTGCCTCATATATAAATATAGAAATAACAAGAATACCTTCCCCGTGGAGTGGTTGTGAGGCCTGAATGAGATAATGCATTAAAGCACTGAGCAAACTGCGTGGCACACAGGAAGTGCTCAGTGCTCAAGAACAAATGTAAGTAAATGAGACATATTAAACTAAAAATCCAGGCCTACCCTAGGACCACAACAGTGGAATTTTCTGCAAAGAAGCATGGCAGAGGGAGGCACTCAGCCTGTTTCCGCCCGGAAGAGGGTTGATACTGTTCTGACAACAACCAAGCCTCAAGGAAAAAAACACCCAAGGCAAGCATCTGGGCTTCCACCCTCTGCTCACCTGGTTTCCAATTAGCACCTTATTAGGCTGCACACCTGGGGTGAAACTTTAAGCTCTACCAGCAATTCTTTAACCCTATCCTGGGCTTTTCTTGCAGATGGGCAGAGCTGTGTAAGAATCTCCTCCTTACCATTTGGAGGGATGAAAATAAGGGAAGGGCCCCATTTATGAACTCTAGACACTTAGTGTGGTTTTCTCCACCATTTCCTGGGTGTGAACTTTTCACCAGTCTGCTGAAGCCTGGGGACCCCTTCTCAGTTCAAAACCTTGAAGCTTTTGAAATGCATAAAACAACATATACAGAACTATAAAAGAAAAAATTATATTAAAGCACAGTATTTAAATTTTAAAATCATAATTATAATAACATATGAACTTCTTTGGTAATACATCCTATAGCATGATCTAGCAGCCAGTCTAATAACTACCATAATTTTGAAGAAAGGATGAGAAAAAATGCTGTTTTAGACATGTACCACTCTGATCTGAAAATACCAGTCATTTCTACTGGTGACCGAGTAGCATGTGCTGTCAATGCAGTTATGGTTTTTTTGCCTACAGTCATAATGGAATGAAATGTTTAATTCTAGTTAGAGATTGTAGAAAATTGAGAACATTTTTCCCATGCAAGTTTATCTAAGTTAGGAACCCCCAACCTTGATGCTTCCAAACTTCCTCTTTCCCCAGCCTCTCTTTCGAGCTTTGGAACCAGAGCCAGCTTGCCCATTATAGGTACAGCAGACACAATGCCCAGGGCCCATGATACTTTTAAAGGCTTATGAAAGCATTTTCATTTTAATTTCTTTTAAAACTGGAAGAATGACCGGGTGTGGTAGCTCACACCTGTAATCCTAGCACTTCGGGAGGCCAAGGCGGGCAGATTGCTTGAGCCCAGGAGTTTGAGACCAGCCTGGGAAACATAGTGAAACCCCATCTCTACCAAAAAATTCAAAAATTAACTGGGTGTGGTGGCATGCACTTGTGGTCCCAGCTACTCGGGAGGCTGAGGTAGGAGGATCACCTGAGTCCAGGTGGTTCAGGCTGCAGTGAGCCATGATCACACTACTGCACTCCAGCCTGGATAACCGAGTGAGGCCTCGTCTCAAAAAAAAAAAGGAAGAAAAATGAACATAATAATAATAGATCTATAATAATAAATTCAGACTGGATTATATTCCTCTTTATACAAATGCAGTCTTCAGTGTAATTTTTAAGTTTTTTTTTAAATAAAGGAAGGGGCTTATGAAGACGTGAGGTCCTTGGGCCCTTGAAAGTCACATGCAGCCCTGCCTGGTGTTGATGGTATTTCCTCAGTCTGCTCTGTCTTTGAGAGTCTAAGTATAAAACAAGCAATGCCGAGGAGATAAGGCATGTCCTTGGTTTGGCAATCCCCTTGTCCACCTGAGTACTAGCCTACTAGGACTCTGCTCTTTTGCTACTGGAGCTGTGTGGGTTGGAGTCTCCATCGAGTGTCACCTTTTCCCATTCCAAGCAGCACCAGCAATTCCGCCAGGTTTGCCCAGGACTTTCCCAGTTTGGGCACTGGAAGTGTCATGTCCTAGAAAACCTGTCAGTCCTGGGCAAACCAGGATAGTTTATCACCTTGTATCCAACGTCAAAACATCTAGGAACCTGCTGTGGTATAAATGGGATTGTCTGCCCTGGGTTCCTCGCTGAGCCTCATCTTCAGAGGGAAAAAATGCAAACCCACAAAGTCACCAGGAGCACTGAGCATGATCCACTGTGGCCAAACGCACAAAGTGAGCTCTCTCCATCTTAATTTGGCTGCTCTAATACAGAAAACAATAAAAATTAAAAGGCCTATACCCTCAATGACAAGATGAGCCCTGATAAGTTTTTCGTTTACTAAAATATTATGTACACACTGGTCTTTTTTTTTTTTTTTTTTTTTTTTTTTTTTTTTTTTTGCTTCGTATAATACAGAAAGATTTAAATACAGAAAAAGGAAAAATTTCTTCTACCCCCCATGTCAACTCCTAGGCCTTCTTTGCAAAAGTAGCCAGTGTTAACACTTTCTTATAGATCCCTTCTCCAAAAAGATTCTAAGTCACTAATGTTGTTAGCCTAATTCCAGAGTCCTCATTTCTAATTACGTAGCATCCTAGCTTGACAGTGCACTGTTGCACATATTTCTTAATGGCTGGGTACTTCAGTTTCTCTGTCTGAAGACAAGAATAATGACTGGACTTAGCCAATGAGTGACGGTCCATGTGAAATGCTTAGTACTTGGCACATACTCAGTTCTCCTCAAATGCTGTTGATTGTAGTCAGTAACAGTAATGTAGTAATTGCCATCATCGTTGTTGTTGCCTCTGTTTCTCTCTTACCCTCCCCTCACACTAGGTTACTAGTGGCCTAAGAAAGTAGAATGGGGCCAGTTTCAGTGGCTCATGCCTGTAATCCTGGTGCTTTGGGAGGCCAAGGTGGGAGGATTGCTTGAGCCCAGGAGTTCAAGACCAGCCTGGGAAACATAGGGAGACCCCGTGTCTACAAAAACTAAAGTTAGCCAGGCATGGTGGCATATGCCTGTAGTCCCAGCTACTTGACAGGCTGAGGCAGGAGACTGGGAGGTTGAGGTTGCAGTGAGCCATGATCATGCTACTGCACTCCAGCCTGGGCAACAAAGTGAGACCCTGAAAGAAAGAAAGAAAGAAAGAAAGAAAGAAAGAAAGAAAGAAAGAAAGAAAGAAAGAAAGGAAGGAAGGAGAGAGAGAGAGGGAGGGAGAGAGGGAGGGAGAGAGGGAGGGAGGGAGGAAGGAAGGAAAGAGAGAGAGAAAGGAAGGAAGGAAAGAAAGAGAAAGAGAGAGAAAAGGAAGGAAGGAAAGAGAAAGAGAGAAAGGAAGGAAAGAAAGAGAAAGAGAAAGAAAGAAAAGGAAGGAAGGAAAGAGAGAAAGGAAGGAAGGAAAGAAAGAGAAAGAAAGAAAAGAAGGAAGGAAGGAAGGTAGGTCGGTTGGTCTGGAACAGGGCACCAGTTAGCCTGTCTGGCACGTGAATATGGGTGAGAAGTAATAGGGATTCATGCCTAATCATTTTCCAGGAGAGCAGTGAGCCCACCATCTCTCAGTGTGTCCTTGGAGAGCCTGGGACCTAAAGGCATATGGCTTCTTTTAGACCTGTGTTGTTCAATACAGTAGTCACTAGGCACATGTGAGCTATTTAAATTTTACTTTAATTTAATTTAAAATTCAGTCCTTCACACTAGCCACAATTCAAATACTTGGTAGCTACATGTGGCTAGTGGCTACCATATTGGACAACACAGATACAAGACATTTCCATTATTGCAGAAAGTTCAACTGGGCAATGCTGCTCTAGAGCCTTCCCGCATCCTAGCACTTAAAGATCCACCCTGCTCTGAGTGGTCAGTTGAAGCCTTATCTCCTTCAACTGCATTGCTTCAGCCCTCCATCTAAAGGCTTCTACCCCAAGCTCATGGATGGTCTTCACGGGTTTTGTAAATGGAGGAGTAAATAATACACTCTTAGCCATACTTCAGTCCTTCTTGGCGCACAAGCAGACAGCATACGTTCCTACTTAGCTTCTTGCTTCTTCCAGGCTGTAGCAATCATTTCTACTTAGCACAGAGCCCACCTGCAACCTCCAGCTCCAAGAAATTTCAAGCTCGTCTCCATGCATCTGGATGCCTACTTAAAGTTTTGCATTTAGGCCCCTTTACACATCCCCTGGGGTTTTGCGTGGCTTCTCTCCCCTGCCCCCTCTTCCACCTGAGGTTGTGGACTGAAACCGGGAGAGCCCTAGATTCAGACTGCAGTGCATAGGCCAGCAATCTGGGAAAGGTTCTTAATCTTTCTCTCTCATATCTGGACACTGGAAGTTCCATTGCTAAGCTTCTTCCTTTCTTCCTACTTTCCTTCCTCTCTTCTTGAATTCAATGTTTATTAAGTACCTCTGCTAGACATTATTGTTTTGTTTTGTTTTGTTTTAAGACAGAGTCTCACTCTGTCGCCCAGGCTGGAGTGCAGTGGCACAATCTCAACTCACTGCAACCTCTGCCTCCCAGATTCAAGCAATTCTCCTGCCTCAGCCTCCTGAGTAGCTGGGATTATAGGCGTGCACCACCACGCCCAGCTAATTTTTGTATTTTCAGTAGAGATGGGGTTTCACTATGTTGGCCAGGCTGGTCTCAAACTCCTGACCACAAGTTATCTGACCGCCTTGGCCTCTCAAACGCTGGGATTATAAGCATGAACCACCCCGCCTGGCCTAGACATTATAGTTTAAAAAATAAAAAGACTTAGTCTTTACACTCAGAGAGCTTACAGTCTAGGAGCAAAGAGTAAACAAAAAATCATGATGATTATGATAATAATAAGAGTTTACACTACTGAAAGCTTGCTATATGCCAGACTGTGTTAAACGCTTTAAAATATTTATTTACATATATGTTAAACTTTTTAATCTTCACCATAACCCCATCAGGCAGATACTATTATTATCTCCATTGTACAGGTAAGAAAACTGAGGCACAAGAGAGGTTAAATAGTGTGACTAAGGTCACACAACAAAAGTGGTAGAACCAGAATTTGGACAAAACAGCCTGACTCAAGCCAGGTGCGGTGGCTCACACCTGTAATCCCAACACTTCAGGAGGCCAAGGCAGGTGGCCTCCCAAAGGAGGCCTGAGGAGTTTGAGACCAGCCCAACACAGTGAAACCCCGTCTCTACTAAAAATACAAAACTTAGCTGGGTGTGGTGGTGCACGCCTGTAGTCCCAGCTACCAGGGAGGAGGCTGAGGCTGGAGGATCACTTGAACCCAGGGGGCAGAGGTTGCAGTAAGCCAAGATTGTGCCACTGCACTCCTGCCTGGGCAACAGTGAGACTTCGTCTCAAAAAAACAAAACAAAACAAAACAAAACAAAAAACCTGGCTCAAAACCTAGGCTTTAACCGTTATAATCTACTGCCCTTTATTATAGACCAGTGGCTCCCATCCGTGACCAGTGTTGCACCCCCAAGGAACATTTGGTCATGTCTGAAGATATTTTTGGTTGTCACAATTGAGGGGAAAGAGGTGCTAATGGCATTTGGTGGGGAGAGAGCAGAGATGCTGCTAAGCGGCCTGCTGTGCGGAGTTCAGCCCCTCACAGCAGAGACTCATCCTGCCTAAAATGTCAAAAGTGCTGAGGTTGAGAAGTCCCAACACAGACTAATCATCAAATATAAAAGACTTGATAAAAGGCTGTATGCGTACATTCTTCAACAAAGAATTCAGAAATTGATACCGCCATTATTATTGTTATAATTTTCACTGGTTTCATTCTTTAAAAACGATGTCATTTTCAAGCATTTCCCTCAAGTGTAACCCGATGCCCCAAATCCAAGCTCCCCAATACTGTTCCTTCAATTTGAGACTTTGAGGGGGAAAGGAAGATGGATGGGCTGCTGGTCACCCCTCTTCACTCCCACCAACCAGCCCCCACTGGGAGGCCACAGACCCCAAGCCCCAGGCTTCCATGCACATCCTCCTGCCCCTGTAATCACTGGGTCTCCCAGGTGCCCTTCTGTATACTACTGTAGGAAATAATTATCCTCCCTGGACACATGCCAGTTAAATTCTCCCATGGTTGCTTGTTAGCAAGAGAGTGCGGGCAGGCAGGCTGGTTGGCAAACATTTCCTGTTCATCTCATCCAGGCTCCTGCGTCATCCAAAAGTGAAGCTTTTTCTCAGGATGCCCACAGCTGCACTCCCAGCCCAGCCAGCCAAACATTCCTGGCCCCCCGCAGAGGCTGATCATCTCATGAAGAAAAGGGGAAGAGCCCTTTTTCTAAGAGAAAAGGTTTTCAAAAAAGGTTTTCAAAAAAAAAAAAAAGGTTTCCCACTTTTGGAGAGGCCTTGTCTGAAGGTCCTGCTCCCTGGCACTGAGAAATCTCCCATCCAGAGAGTTCTATTTGGCTGTTGGCTCCATGCCAGGGAATGGCAGCTAAAGCTACTGGATCCATCCAGAATAATAATAAGGGACAAGACCCTTGAGACTACACCAGCCAACATTTCTCAAAGCATATTTCATGGAACACCTACTCCAGGGTACCTTGAAAGATGTTAGGGATAAAAAAATGTTCGCGGGCAGTGAAGTCTGGGAAAGCCTGAGCTGAAGAAAGCTGGATGGACAGGTTAGTTTGCAACAGGACTACTGAGAGCCTTGACTGTGTTGGTGTGTATCGTGAATGTCTGAGAGAAGAACAAGCATATAGTGTTTCCCCAAATTATTTGACATTGTAACTTAATTTAGATTCTCCCAAAAGCAGAGACAAAAGCTTGGTATCAAGTGTAGTTTATTTGGGAGTTGATTCCAGTGATCAGAAATGAGGGGGTGGAAAGTATGAAAAGAAAAAGCAAAAGGCAATAAAAGTGCATAATGGGCTGGTTTCCACGGTGATCAAGTAGAAATCAGTATTGCTGGAAAATCTAAGAAGGACCATATAAAAAATACGTAAAAATTGTGCCACTAAAAGGCGAAGCAACCAGGGCTTACATTCTCTGTTGGTTATAGGTTGCCCCTAAGAAGTTAAGTGCCCTGCACTTCCTGGGTTACAGCTACATGCTATGGTTTGAGTGTCCCCTCCCAAACTCGTGTTGGAATTTAATTGCTATTTTAAAGTTTTAAGAGGTGATTAGGTCATGAGGGCTATACCCTCATTAATGGATTAATGCCATTATTGCAGAAGTGAGTGAGTTATTACAGGAGTGGGTTCCTGATTAAAGAATTAGTTTGTCTTCCTTCCGATATCTCATGCACTTGTTCGCCTTTCTGCCTTCTGCCATGAGGTAATGCAGCACAGAGGCCCTCACCATTTGCCAGTCCCATGCTCTTGGACTTCCCAGCCTTCAGAACCATGAGGCAAAGAAATTTATATCCTTCATAAATTACCCAGTCTATGGTATTCTGTTATAGCAGCAGAAAACAGGCTAAGACACTGGTGGAGCTGCTCTCCATGTCTTTGGAGAAAGCTCTGAGGCAGCAAAGAGATGCCAAAAGAAGCATTTGACAAAGAACTCTGGGAACATGCATGGAACTTTCCACATGGCTACACTGAAATAATGTAAACCAGAGGGATGTGGTATGGAACACAATTCTTCTCACCACAAAAGCCTTTATTTTCCCAGAACATATCAGAATTATAGCTCTTCTTAGAACACATAGAAGAAAAAGTTACTCTAACCAACCTGACCTTCTTATTTTATAGATGAGGGACAGACGTTTAGAGGGAGCATGACTTACCCAAGGTACAACACAATATTCCAAGAGGGGTGCACTGTGTTTTAAATTCCTCTTCTGTAAAATGGCACTTATTACAATATTTACCTCCACAGTGAGTTAGTACACCGTGTGCTTAGAACAGTATCTGGCATGTAGTAAGGGTTCAATAAAATGTACTTGTTATTTGCCTAAAAATGAGAGCGATTGCACACACGTGAACTGCTACCACAATGCCAAGTTCACACCATGTTCATAGAAAGACATAGCCCTTCAGTTCAAGTAGGTTACATTCTTAAAATGAACAGGGGCATGGTTCATTTATTCAACAAATATATTTGAACACTTGCACCGTGCTGGATGATGAGGGTATAATAATGAGTAAAATAGAAGTGATCCCTTCCTTTATGGAGCATATAGCCTGGTTCAGAAGACAGAAATAAAACAGATAACCTGGTAACTAATTAATTACTTCAAATGTGATGATGATTTTGAAAGAAAATTATATATGCTATAATATATATGCTATATATGTGGCCTCTTAGCGGAAATAATCTCTCTTTTGCTCTATGTACACACATAAATATCAGCCCTGCTGCACCCACTGGGGCTGCTAGGGAGGTACATAGAGAACCAATAAATGAAGAGACTGAGGCTATGTCTCCACAATGCCCACAGTCCCAAGTCAATTTAGAAAGAAAAATAATTAAGTTTCTTATCTGACATTATTGCCAACCCCCATCTACCAACATGTATCCAAGAGAGGGTCACTTGTATTTTTCCCATGTTTTGAACAATGTCCTTGGGCAAAATAACAGAAGACCCTGATGAAAAAAAAAAAAATGTTGGTTCTGGCATAAAAATGTTTAACCTTATGATTATATTAGCCACTATTTGTTAAACATCAACCCAAGTGCCATTTTGTAGGGTACTTTATATGTTATTCATTTAATATTCAAGAAGTATTTATCAAGTACCTACTGTGTGTAAGGCTCTGTTCTAGGCACTGGGCATGGCTCTGAATAACACAGGCAAAAATCTCAACCCTCTTGGGACTCACAGTCTAGATGGGGGAGAGAGAGACTACACGTAACAAGTAAGTAAATTAGATGGTATGTTAGCATATCAGGTAGCCTGTGCTATATAGCGAACCACCCCAAATTTCAGTGGCTTAAAACAATAATCATTTATTTAGCTCCTGATTCTGTAAATCAGTGATTTAGGCTGGACAGTTCTTCTGGTCTCAGCTGGGTTTGCTCCCAGGTCTGGAAGGCAGCTGGCAAAGTTGCAACTGAGGGCTCATACATCTGGGGTCAGCTAGACAAAACTAGGCCATTCTGGTCCATGTCTCTCTCCTATCCCTCCAGCCAGCTAGCCCAGTCATGTTCCCATGGTCAGACAGGGACAAAGGCAAACAACCCAATCCTGCAAGAAGGCAAACGGAAATGTACACATGCTTTTCAAGTGTTTGCTTACATCATGGTTGCTAACATCTCATTGGCCAAAGAAAGTCACATGATGGAGTCCAGCTCCAGAGAGGCAATAGTCTATAAAGTTACAGGACAAAAGATGCAGTTACAGGGAAGCCATTAGTTGGGACCATTAAAGAAATCACTTTGCCACAGATAGAAAATAAATGCTACAAGCATAAAGCAGGCTTATGGAGATGGAGAGGGTTGAGGCTTAGAAATTTTAAATAGGAGGGTCGGGGATCCCTCTCTAGGAAGATGACATTTGAAAAGCATTTGGTTTTCTTCACGTATTACTATATACTAGTATTATTTCTAATTATCACAATAAAACTACACATTATAAATTATCCCCCTTTTTATTAAAAAAAGAGAAAACTTGAAAAACAAAAACAAAATAAATAAATTAAAAAAAATTAGTTATCCCCATTTTACAGATGAGAAAATTGAAGCTCAGAGTTGCTAAGTTACCCCCAAGATCTCATAAATAACTGGTTTTAATATTAAATAGGACTCTTTCTATTACAAGCCAAAGACAACCCAACCCAAGCCAGCACAGGCCAGAAAGCAGGTATGAGAGAGCAGACTAACTGGCTTACAAAACTGAAAAAGCCATCAATAGATTGGCTTTCAGGCACATTTGGAGTCAGGCCTCTGACCCCGTCATTAGGATCTCATTTCTCTCTATGTTCCTGAGCCCAGCTTCTCCTGTTCTTGGGAAGTGTCTCCTGGAGTGTCAGGACAGTCAACAGCAGCTGCTCCTGATGTCAAATCCAGGAGGAAACAATGAGCCTCTTTTCTGGTAGTTCCCACCTCAGTTTAGAGATTCACTCCAGTTGGACCAGTTTTGATCCTAAAGACCCTTGACATTTTCAGTGGCCAAAAGAATGTGATGCAAAACCTTCCTTATGCAATCACATGCCCTCCACCAAGGGTGGCTGTCTTTTGACAGCTGGGCAACATAAGTGGTTGACAATTCTAAAATAAATGAATGAATACATAAATAGATCTTAATGAGGACTTAGTAACTTGACATGCATGAGTAGTATAGTCTACACAAGGCTATCTTCTTACCAAATAATGTCCAAACCCCCTCACTTCTTTATAATGAATGAGAATAACTTCTATAGTGTCTTCCACCACCCCAACACACACCCACCATCTTTGTGGATATCATGCAGCTTTTAAAGAATTGTTGATTTAACACTGCAATGCACACAGGTGGCTAATGGAGCGCCTATGGCACAGAGGAGGCAGTCACTTTACCTGAAGTCACAGAGCAGGCCAATTCTAGAGCAGAAAACAGACAAGTCTGATGTCCAAAGGCTACCAGGCCATCACAGAAACTCAATGTGTTCATCTATGAAGGAAAATACAAGTGAAATGTCAAAGGTCTCTTTCAGAAGAATCAAGGGTGATTTCTCCTAAAGAAGTGGCCAATATGAAAAATTTCATGCAACCATCCTAATGAAAGCCTTCTTTTAAGAATAATGTACATCCTCAACTGCTTTTCTGAATCTCACTGTTGGCAGTTTTGCAACATATCCTTTGAAAAATTTGTTTACATTGGATATCAAAATACATGATAACATGTGAGATCGTAATGTGACCCAAAGGGAAATGTGTTCTTTAGATTAATTCAGGTCAACAAACATGCAGTGAGCTCCTACATTGTTCTTGAAAGTGTGCTAATATAATATTATAATACAAAGATAACTAAAGCTTAGGCCATCTAAAGGAGTCAGGCATGTTCAATATCTAACCATCTTCCCTGCTGTCATTTATGAAGTCTGTGTGCCCAAGCACCTGACATGCATTATCTTTTGTAATCTCCAGAACAACCCTTCAGGTAGGTATTATTATTATCCCCATGTGTCAGATGAAAAAACAGACATAGAGAGGTGAAGTAATTTGTCCAGTTTCACTCAGGTAGGAAGGCAGAGAGCTGGGAATGGGACCCAGGCAGTTTGACCCCAGAGCCTTCCTCCATCTCCCATCTATACAACTCTGCTTCCTTCTAATTCCTGCAAGCCTTAAAGATGGTATATGAGTCATATTCACCAAGTGCCCATATTCTAACCATCCTTTCTTCTGGGCCAACACACTACATTAGGATAGTTATGCCTATTAGCCCATTTAGTCTGCTAGCAATTATGTGAAGCTGGTATTATTACCCTCATTTTTCAGGTGAAAAAAATAAGATTCAGACCAGTTAAATAGCAAGACTGAATGATTAAACATTGGTGAGGTGATCAGAGCAAGGGAAATTCAAGCAGGACCTTTCCCAACTCCCCCCAAAAAATGATTAGAGTTACTATTTATGGTGCACTTATTATTTGCCAGACTTTGTGCTAAATAAATTATGTAAGTTATCCTCACTTCTCTTTTTGAGAAAACTGAGTCATAGAGCATTTCACTGACTTGTCCAAAGGTCATACAGCTAAGCGGTGACAGGCCAAGAATCCAATCCTATTTCTGATCCTAAAAATTCTGCTCTTAGCCCCTGTGAGTGCACAGCATTTTCATATAAGAAGAGATGAGAACATGCCCCTCCAGTGGAGAGTAGATGAACAAACTGTGCTATATCCATATAATGGAATACTACATGGCAATTGAAAGGAACTAATTAATGATACATACAACATAGATGAATCTCAAATGCATTATGCTAAGTGAAAGAAGCCAGATTTAAATGGTTCATACTATAAGGACAGAAATCAGATCAATGGTTACCAGGGGTAGCGAGGGGAACTGTGGGAATGATGGATCTATTCCATACCTTGATTATGGTGGTTGCGTGACTGTATGCATTTATCAAAACTTTCAGACCTGCACACTAAGGAGGATGTACTTTACTGTTTGTAACTTATAGCTTAATTTTTTAAATAGAAAAAAAGAAAGAAGAGATGAGAGTGGAAGATCTTTTAGGAAGCTCAGCTGACACTGAATCTTCACAGAGCACTAGCTTTCTTCCTAGAAAGTGTGTTGGATGGAAACGTGTTGATTTCCTCTGCAAATATTTACTGAGCACCTACTATGTGCCAGGTACTGTATTAGGCATAGAGAATACTGTAGTGAACAGGACAGCGGGATTCCTCAACCTCTTGCAGCTTATATTCTGGTCGAAGTTTAAAAAATAATAACACAAGATAATTTCATCCGGTGGTAATAAAATAAGAAAATAAAACAGGGTCATAAGAGACAGTGAATATATGGTAGGTCAGAGGATATGACTTTAGTGATTAGTCGTGTGCAGGACACTGGAATCACCACATTAAAACTATCAATGAACAGGAATGGATTCAAGGGTTTTTTTAATCAAAATTAATACACCCAGTGAACTCTCATTGATCACGCATATATTATCTGCAGGAATGTTTTGGCCTCAGGGAGGTTTCTTCATGTCACCCAACATACAGGTCACCTTTCCCCAGCCACTCAGGGAGTGCTCATTAATTTTAACAATAAACTACAGGAAACATACTTAGAAAGAGAAATATGCTGGGGCAAGCGATCCCATTATTCATTCTCGAGACTTGGAGCAATGCTTTTTGGATTATTCACACGGCTGCTCCCGTCAATTCTAAGTGGATTTATCATCTATTCTTTTACACAATATTAAAACATTACAATTCCTTTCCAACCTGCACTGTTTGCTTAGCTTTGTATTTTATGAACAAAGCATTCCTCCCTTCCCCTGGACTCTTTCCTGTGCTTTATACCCAGGAAAACCACACAACCTTAAATGCTTTGGGGTTGGGTGGCTTCTTCCTGCAGCTCAGCCCCTTATGTCTTGAGAATACAATGCCAGAAGTCACCTCCCACATTTACAAGGTGTGTTCCTTCTTTGACTAGAGCATATCTTTTCTCCCTTTGTCCTTTGCTCACCTGGAGAATGCTTCAAGTTCAAAATGTCAGTATACAGTCAGCAATTGTCAAAGGTGAGAGAGGGAATGACTTTGGTAGTTTTGCAAATATACCATGTTGTCACCAACACCTTCATTCCAACCCCACTTGCTCCCCAGTGCCCCAAATGTATATCTGATGTGGGGGGGCCGGTTCCATAGCCATCTTTAGCTTCCAGGTTAAAGAACCTGGTTAGTTTGGTGATTGGCTCTGTAATGGCTCCAAGAGTAAGATCGCTATGTTATGATACCCAAACTCTTGCAAAGGTTGCAAAATCTGACACAGGTTGTTCCTGAATTTCCAGTGCTCAGAAAACAAAACACTTTGTCTTTTGTGTCTGTAAGCTGTTTACTCAGGGCTTTGATCGGGCTCCCCACCTCTCATATACAGAAATGATGACTCCCGGCCAGTTGGCATTGTCTATTTTAATTTGTCCACAAGCACATCGTTTTCTTCTTTAACTCTCTGTAAATGTCAAGACTCTTCACTGGGAACTAAAAAAGAAGTTGAGAATTTTGGGAAGCCTCTGGCAGAAGAGACAATAAAGTTGCTCCCTGCTAAAGGCTGATGTGCCCAAACAGGTTTAGACAATGTGAAAACCACATCTCAAGTGAGAATTGGCTATCCTGCCTTGCTTCTCCTACAACCTTACTCTCCCACCGGTGTTACTAGAAGGAGTAAAACGCATTTTTCCACTTGAAATGTCTGTGTGTTTGCTGCTGGACCTGTGGTCTTGGTTAAATTCTGTGACAGCGAGTGGTTTCCAAAGCAGTGAGAGGCAAATTGATTCTGTAGAAGTCATCAGGGACATGTGTAAATGTTAAGCCACAAAGATGTTCATGATGGCAGCATTTATAGTAGAAAGGAGGAGGAGGAGGAGGAAGAGAGAAGGTAGGAAGAAAGGAATGGATCGAGGGAATGAGGGAGGAAATGGATGGAGGGAAGGAGGAAATGGAGGGAGGGAAGGAGGGAGGGAGGGAGGGAAGGGGAAAGGGTATAGGAAGAGAAGAAAAAAAGAGAGGAGGAGGCCATCTAAATGTCTGATAATAGAGTATTGGCTGAATAAATTATGGGGTAGCCATTTGATGTTAATAACATGCAGTCATGAAAACTGATGCTATGGAAAGCTGTATGATGGAGGCCTGTAATCCTAGCACTCTGGGAGGCTGAGTCAAGAGGATCGCTTGAGCCCAGGAATTCCAGATCAGCCTGGGTAACATAGGGAGACCCGGTCTCTACAAAAAATCTAAAAAATTAGCCAGGCATGGTGGCACATGCCTGTAGTCCCAGCTGCTTGGGAGGCTGAAGTGGGAGGATCACTTGAGCCCAGGAGAAGGCTCCAGTGAGCTGTGATCGCAGCACTGCACTCCAGCCTGGGCAACAGAGGGAGATCCTGTCTCAAAAAAAGAAAGAGAGAAAGAAAGGAAGGAAGGGGGGGAGGGGGAGGAGCAGGGGGAGGGAAGGAAAGGAAAGGAAAGGAAAGGAAGAAGGAAGAAAGAGAAAGAAAAACTATATAATGGCATGAAATGATTTTTTTTCTCCTATATGTACCTGCGCACTAGAAGGAAACTAGAAATATTTGGTAAATGAATAAATGAATGTTCAGGAATTACTCTTAACTTACAAAAACTTTGCATTTATATGTGCAGCATAATCTCACTTTTGTTTTAAATATATATATAGATATAGAACTGGAAGGATATGCCCTAGGATATTAACAGCTTTTATATTTAGATAATAGGATTATGGATTATTTATATTTTCTTTGGGCCATCTGCATTTCTAGTTTTCTTCATCAAACATAGATTATTTTGGGAAAAAAAATCAGTTAAAATTTTAGGAAAAGCTGAAGAGGGCAGGACCACTGAGGGCGAAGAAGAAAGAACTCTAACTCCTTTACCAAGGACTTATTTTGCCCATTTATTTTCCCCTTTTCCAAGGACATACATAAGTTTCAAAGTTACTCTCTGCCACTGAGGTCAGTTTTTTGAAACTACAGAAAGTGGAGCAGAGCTAGCAACAAGGCTGACCTGAGATTCACCGTTTATCTTCCTTTCATTCCTTCAATAAACTTCTCTTGAGAGGGTCATCCTAGGGACTGGGGAAATACAGATGCAACCCCAGCCCTGTGGAGCCTACGGCACAGCACAGAGTTGCTCAGACTCAGCACTGTTAACATGGAGGGCTGGATTATCCTTTGTTTCTGGGCACTGCACTGTAGGATGTTCAGTAGCATCCCTGACCTCCACTCGCTATAGGCCAAGAGCACCTGCTTCCATTGTGACAACCAAATGTGCCTCCAGACAATGACAAACATGGGAAAAATTGCCCACAGATGAGAACCACTGGTCTAGCACATAATGATAAAATGCAAGAACTGCTACAAAGAAGGACTTTAGGAGAGTGCACTGAAGTGGACTTGGTCTAATCTATGAGGTCAGGAGATCTGAGGGGTGAACAGGAGGGAACTATACAAGACAGGGACAAAGCAGAGAGAATCCCATGGAGTGGAGAACAGTGCTGGAGAATTGGGGATCTTTTTCCGTTTTCAAGACAGGGTCTCGCTCTGTCTCCCAGGCTAGAGTGCAGTGGTACAGTCACAGCTCACTTCAGCCTCGACCTCCTGGGCTCAAAGGATCCTCCCACTTCAGCCTCCTAAGTAGCTGGGATGACAAGCATGTGCCACCATGCCCAGCTCCTTTTTTAATTTTTTATGGGGACGGGATCTCCCTGTGTTGCCCAGGATGGGCTTGAACTCCTGGGTTCAAGCAATCCTCTTGCTTCAGCCTCCCAAAGTTCTGGGATCATTTGGGCTCCATTTTGAGAGACCTGGCAGTTTGGGAATCCCAATCTTGGTGCCCTGGGTCTCCTCAGGACAACAACCTGGAGAGTTACAACCTCTTCACTGTGCATAGGACTTAAAATAGCAGTTCACAGGATGGGGTTTAGGATCAAAGAGCCCTGTAGTTTTCGTCCTGGCTCCTCTACTGACTAGTTGCATAATATTGGGCATGTTATTGAACCTCTCTGAGTTGCAGTTTCCCCATCTGTAAAATGGGGAATCCAATCTCACAGGGTTTCTTTGAAGATTAATTTCTTTAAGGCCCCTTGTGCAGCACCAGACACGTGCTATATGATCCACAGATTATGGCTGCTGATGATAACTCTTATTTTTTGAGCACTCATTAAGTTAACATACATCGTGGCTTTTACACATGACTTAGGGCTTGATACATATTATTTCATTTGATCTTCATAATGTTCTTTTAATCTTACTATTTAAATCTTTTTTTACACATGAGGAAATACATATAGCAAGGTTAGATCACCTGTTTAAAAATCACACAGCTATGAAGTGGCAGAGCCAGGATTTTCATCAGAGAAGTTTAAAGAAAGAGCTCATTTTCAGCCGGGCATGGTGGCTCACGCCTGTAATCCCAGCACTTTGGGAGGCCAAGGCGGGTGGATAAAGAGGTCAGGAGATCGAGACCATCCTGGCCAACATGGTGAAACCCCATCTCTACTAAAATACAAACAAATTAGCCGGGCGTGGTGGCATGTGCCTGTAATCCCAGCTACTCGGGAGGCTGAGGCAGGGGAATCGCTTGAACCCGGGAGGCGGAGCTTGCAGTGAGCAGAGATCGCGCCACTGCACTCCAGCCTGGTGACAGAGCGAGGCTCCGTCTCAAAAAAGAAAAAAAAAAAAAGCCAAGAAAGAGCTCATTTTCTTGATTCCATGCTGCACTGCCTCTCTCACTATTCACCTATCCATTGTCATAACATTTCATCATTCTTTTGCTGTGGAACAAATTACCACAAATTTAGCAGGTTGGAACAACACAAATATATTATCTTTCCAGCTCTGTAGGTGAGAGGCCTGTTCATGGGACTTAGCTGGAGTCTCTGTTCAGAGCTTCACTGGGTTGAAATCAAGATATTAACCAGGGCTGTGGTTCTCATTTGGGGCTTTGGGTGCTCTTCTAAGTATGCAGGTCATTTTTCTGCCAACTGTCAGCCAGGTACCACTGTCAGCTCCTATAGGCTACCCCAGTCCATCACCACATCCTCCACAGGCTTTCACAAACCTGGGTGTCTGCTTTCTCCCAGGTCAACAGAGACCCAGCTCTCTGAGTTCCACCTCTGCCACCTTCTCCTTTGAAAGGTCTCATGTGATGAGTTCAGGCCCACCTGGATAATCACCCTATCCTAAAATCAACTAATCTGGGGCCTTAATGACATCTGCGTACATCTTTCACAGCAGTACCTGGAATCACGTTGGACTGTACATGATTCACATACACGGAAAGTATGTGTGCATCAGGTCCTGGAAATCTTGGGAGCCATCTCAGAATTCTGCCTGCCATTTTTAATTTCTGTGTTTTTAAGCAGTGGTTGCTGACGCTATCAAAGAGAGTTGCCTGCCCATGCTGTGTTTCCAGGCCTAACACTGCCCTTCACACCCCTCCTTCCCCACCTTGCTCGGTGTCCCATGCATGCATACAGGAGTTGACCAATGCTTTCCTGATGGTGAGGTTTGGGGGCTGCACCTCAATCGTTATCTTCATCAGCTCCATGAATTTCCCTATAGTTCTTCCCCCCTCCGTTCTCTGTTAGGAAAGCCAGGTAATTCCCATTATGAAGAGGGAAAGTCCGTGATCTTGGAGCGGAGAGAGGGGTACCCGTGCCAACTATAACTAGGACTGATTCCAATTCAGCTGGTCAGTGCCATTTGGTGGAATCCAAACCTTATTTCTGCCTTCTCAGCCCTGACTTGCCCTCCCCCACCTACCCTCCCCACTACTATGTTCTCTGGTTTCCCCTGAAAATTCCTGTGTTCTTACGAGCATGCCAAGAAAATTGTGCTCAAACCATCTGGACAAGTAATCCCAGCGTGAAAATATCTTGGTGCTTCAGCTTCCCAAACTAAAAAGGTTTTAATTTGAGTCACCCACAGAGACCCGCCCTAAAACAGCCTAATTTTTTTAAAAAGGAAGGGAAATGAGACCTTCATAGAAAGGCAGCCTCTAGACTAGAAAATTTCACCCTGCCATAGATTTCTTCACATCTGATCTCCGTGAAAAATTCCACTAATTTTTCAAAAGTAACAAGTGAAAAATGTGAAAGATGGGATGTAGAGAATTAGCTGTACCACGTATGTGGACTAGTTTAAAGGTTTAAAGGTAACAGTCCTTCAGAAAAAAATTGTCAAATGAAGTAAGATTTTCGTTCCAATCAGACTATCTGGCATCTGTTTATTTGGTTCTTGATAATTTCAAGGAGAATATTGATACTGGCCCATCTAGGAATCCCATAAAAGAGTGTAAAGTGACCATACGCTAGCATATGAGTTAGACATTTTTATAGAAAATGGAAGCCAATATAATTCTTAAATGAGTGTATATTCTGCAATTATATTTAGTGAGATTAAAGATCAAAAAAATACTGGCTGGGTTCAGAAAGGTCAAAACACCTAGGATCTTAACCAAGTCCAAACTCTGCAACTGAACTCATCAAAGCCAACTCTCTCCCCAGTTGCCACTGAAAAAAACACAAAAAGGCCTGTGGAAGCCCAATGTAGATGAGCTGGGGTATGAATAGGCCAACTCCCATCAGTCATTGTGAAATGGCCTTGTTGTCTGGAGTAACAGCTGAGGTTTGTCGTCTCACGGCAACATGAGGTTTGTTGTCCCATGGAGAACAAGGACGCAGACACACAAAGAGTGAGTTTACGAGCAGGGGGTTTTATAGATGAGCTGGTGAGGAGGTGGTATCTGATTTACATACACCATGAAAGACTGGTTAGAACAGGTGTGCCATTTCTATAGGGAGAGAATCTCTGGTAGCTTCCACCCTAATCTTTTATTATGCAGGTGGGTTCTCTGCCTGAGTTGAGCCATGTTGCCCATTTCTTTATTACTGTACACGTGGTAACAACAACAAAAAAAGGGAAGATGGAGTCTCCATGTTGGACATGCCTGGCCCCCAGGTAGCCCTTTTCTGTTGGTGGAGCTACTAGCATTTCCCCGTGCAAGCTTCCAGCTTTATCTATGTTTGCAGCTAGATTTTTCATGCTGCTCTTTATTAGAAAAGGAATGACTTTGGGGGCTGCTTTTTGTTAGAAAAGAAATTCTGCCAAGGGCTCTTTTGCCCTCACTATCTGCCTAAATAATTTCTTTCTACCTCCTCTATCAATTGGTTAAGGGCTGTTCTCGGGGGGCATTAACTCTCTAGGATACCATTTGCCTGCTTCACGGGGCAGAGAAGACCCCAGCAGCCAAAGAAAGCCCTCAGGCAAGAAATGCAGGCTCTGATCCTTGAAAAGAAGATATGAGTGCCTGATATGTCAGGAGATTTAGTGAGGTGCTTCATTTCTCCTAAGAAGGGATGTAACAAGCTCTGCTCCCATTTTCTCTTAGAACCTGTGGGGGCAAAAACCCCACTACAGAGAGAAAAATGTTTCTTGACATACAAAGGATGTTCAGAAAGTACATTATGATATTAAACAACAGGATAAAGATCAATATCCTGAATGTGGTCTCTGGTATCTCCTCATCTCCTCTGTCCGTCCTCTGTGTTCTTCGTGATCCGCCACCCTGGCCTTCTTTCAGGGACTTAAACCACCCTGCTCCATCCCCAGCAGAAGCTTTGTACATGCTGTTCTCCCCACCCTAGTTTGGGGATCCTTTCTTTATTAGCTCAGTTTTTCCTTGTATAAAAATGCCTCCTGACCCCACCCACACCCCAGACTAGGTTAGATCAGAACTTACATCCATTCCAAATGTGTACCCATCCTTTCATTAGATCAGTAAGCTCAGTGAGGGCAAGGACACAGCTGCCCCCAATTCCCTACCCTATCCACAAAGTCTGGCACCATGCCTGGCACATAAGAGATTAGGGAACATCAGATGAATTGAATGGATGCTAGGAGAATAAATTCCAAATGTCAGCCATGCAAAGGGAGCCCATTGTAGACATTTGAGATGACTCTAGCATATACTATTGCTTTTGATTTTTTTTATTTGAATTGGTAATACTTTCACCTATACAAAATCCAAAAGTATACAATAATTTACCCTTTAAATCATCATAATGATTTAAAATATGCTCTCTCCTTCCCACCTCCCCTCCAGGCACCCATTTTCCCTCCTCTAAAGTAACCATTTCTAGTGTTATTTCCTCTACGGTAATCCATTTCTAGGGTCTCCCTCAAGAGATGATATCGGCACATAGACTCAGATACGCATATGAGTTCCTTCTTTCTTTCTGCAATTGGCAGCATACTGTGAATACTGCACCTTTTTTTTTTTTTTTTTTTTTTTCAGACAGAGTCTCGCTCTGTCACCCAGGCTGGAGTGCAGTGGCGCAGTCTCAGCTCACGGCAAGCTCCGCCTCCCGGGTTCACGCCATTCTCCTGCCTCAGCCTCCCATATAGCTGGGACTACAGGTGCCCACCACTACACCCGGCTAATTTTTTTGTGTTATAGTAGAGACGGGGTTTCACCACATTAGCCAGGATGATCTTGATCTCCTGACCTCGTGATCCCCCAACCTCGGCCTCCCAAAGTGCTGGGATTACAGGCATGAGCCACCGCGGCCGATCAACTTTTTTTCTTTTGAGACAGAGTCTCACTCTGTTGCCCAGGCTGGAGTGCAGTGGCACAGTCTCAGCTCACTGAAACCTCCACCTTCTGGGTTCAAGTGATTCTCCTGCCTCATCCTCCTGAGTAGCTGAGATTACAGGCACATGCCACCACACCCAGCTAATTTTTGTATTTTTAATAGAAATGGGTTTTCACCATGTTGGCCAGACTGGTCTTGAACTCCTGACCTTGTGATCCACCCGCCTTGGCCTCCCAAAGTGCTGGGATTACAGGCGTGAGCCACCGTGCGTGGCCTGCAACTTTTTTCACCTAACAATAAAACTGGAAAAAAGTCTATATGAGGATATAAAAAGCTTCCTCATTCTTTTTTTTTGTTTCCCAAAACTTTATTAAAATATTCAAAATTGGCTAGGCACAGTAGCTCATGCCTGCAATCCCAGCACTTTGGGAGGCTGAGGCGGGCAGATCACTTGAGATCAGGAGTTTGAGACCAGCCTGGCCAACATGGCAAAACTCCATCTCTACTAAAAATAACAAAAATCAGCTGGCATGGTGGCATGCACCGGAAATCCCAGCTATTTGGGAGTCTGAGGCAGGAGAATCGCTTGAACCCAGGACACAGAGATTGCAGTGAGCCAAGCCTGTGCCACTGCACTCCAGCCTGGGCAACAGAGCGAGACTTCATCTCAGGAAAAAAAAAAAAAAAAAAAAAAAAAAAAACCAACCCAAAAAACAAACACACACACACACAAATTCAAAATAGAGTGAAATTTAAGTAGTTTTACCAGGAATGCCTGTGAATACCCACCAGTTAGGTTTTACCATTAACACTTTACTGTGCTTGCTTTATCAAATATTCACCCATCAGTCATCTTTCTATCCATCCAGCAATCCATATTATTTGGGATGCATTTCAAAGTAAATAGAAAACATAAATAGACTTTTATCCAAATACTCGAGCAAGCATATTCTTAGTCAGAATTTCATTACTGGTTTATAACTTTTTACTTAAAAAAAATACCTATAATAAAATGCACAAATTTTAAGTAAATATTCTCTAAGCTTTGATAAACATATAAATCTTAGGTGCAAAATTCACTGAGTTTGGATAATAAATACTTTTGTGTAACCCAAACCCCTATCAAGATACAAGGTATCAACATCACCCCCAGAAACGTCCTTCATGCCCTTTACCCATCAGTCCCCACCTTTGTACCCTCAGAGGCAGCTCTTGTTCTTTTTCTACCATAAAATAGCTTTGCCCACTCTAGAATGTCCTGTAAATGAAATCATACAGTAAGTTCTCTCTTGCTTTTGAGGTCCATCCACCTCATTGCATGCATTTGTAGTTATTCCCTTTTATTGGTGAGTCATAGAATTCCATAGTGTCCACAGTTTGTTTACCTTCCTCATTCTTTCTAAAAGCTACATGACATTGATGATGAAACTTTGGGCTGTTTCTACCTTCTATGATGACAAAGAGAGTAACCTCCTACATGGATTACACGTATATAGGCTGAATTACTAGAAGTGGAATCACTGAGTCAGTCCTTATTTTTTGATTCTCAAATTTGAGAGCAAAACTGGTGCATGAGGCCAGGCATAGTGGCTCACACCTGTAATCCTAGCACTTTGGGAGACCGGGACGGGAGGATCACTTGAGCTCAGGAGTTCAAGACCAGCCTGTACAACATAGTGAGACCTCGTCTCTATTTTTTAAATAAATAAATAAAAATTTAAAAATAAAAAATAAAAATCTGGTGCATGACAAATTCAAAATTAAGGCACATCAGTTGTGTTTAAATGGCAGAGGACTTGCAAGGCATCTTATGAAAATGAGAACGGTGAATTACAATATCAGTCATTTCCCAGTTTGCAAGGAAGGGCACTGAAGTCAAATGTTTGCCTCTCAACCTGAATGCCCATGTTCTATTACACAGCTGAAAGCTGAGAGACTGGTCACAGACAACAAATTTCTATGAATATTGGTAGGTTTTAAACTCCTCTGGAGTGGATATCATTTTGTCCACATTCCTCTAGTTTCCCACTAAACCTTTTGTTTCTGGCAGACTTTATCCCTGAAACTTTACTGCAGACTGGCTGCTGGTCTTGCTCTCAGTCATAATCCTTTGTTCAAGAACTCACATCCCAGAAAGGCTCTGGGTTTCATTAGATAAGCTTTCCCTCCACCCTTTTTTCACACCCATTATCCCAGGCCCAGAAAGGTCGTGATATTTTCCTTACTTTTCCCCCTTTCCCTTTTATTTCCCACTGATAAATGGCAAAAGCAGCTGTAGGGTTTGCTTTGAAGGGTCTGATGGATGAGCATGATGAATCGGTGATGGATTAGAGCAGATGAATCACAGAAGAGAACACAAAAAGGGAACCAGGGAGAGCGGGAAGCCGGCTCCCAGCTTTACGTTTTTCAAACTCGCCTTAAAAGCCAGCATTTCTTTTAATCTGTTTCCAGTTTCTGCGGTGAGTCTGCATATGTTTAAAAGAAGGAGAGGCCGGGTGCAGTGGCTCACAACTGTAATCCCAGCACTTTGGGAGGCCAAAGCGGGCGGATCAGTTGAGCTCAGGAGTTTGAGATTTGCCTGGTCAATGTGGTGAAATCCCGTCTCTACTAAAAATACAAAAAAAAAAATAGCCAGCCGTGATAGCGCATGCCTGTAGTCCCAGCTACTTGGGAGGCTGAGGCAGAAGAATCACTTGAACCCGGGAGGCGGAGGTTGCTGTGAGCAGAGATCGCGCCACTGCACTCCAGCCTAGGTGACACAGTAAGGCTCCCTCTCAAAAAAAAAAAAAAAAAAAAGAAGGAGAGCGAGAGAAGTCTTGTGGATATAAACAGGGAATTCCATTCTCCAGTCTGACTCTGAGGATGCATTGTCATTCAGGGCGTTGAAACAGCTAGGAAACCACTTCAAGTCCCCTCAGAAACAACTGGGCAGCTCCAGGAAGAAGAACAGTTGGCAAACCAAGTGACAGAATTTAAAACTGTAAATCTTTAACATAAGGATTGACTAGCAAAATACAGCTGTTGCCGCTAGTAGCCATATCCTTGTTTGGAAGGAAAATGTATGCTTGAGCTGATAATCATGAACTGCTTGGTTACTGTGAAATGGTAAGCTTTAGCAGATTGGAATCTGGTCTTGTTTTGAACCCAAGAAAAATAAGAACAGTTATTGCATTGCTGTAATGTTTTCTGGTCTTAAAGGGACAAAGAAAATAAACTGCAGTCTGGAACTGCCGTTAAGATTGGGACTGAGAAATTCCAAGTCCGCCTTTGAAATTCAAGAGATACTTAATAGAGAAGAAAGGTCTTGGTGGGATGGATGATTCCTTTGTTTTTGAACAAGAGGGGCCCTCTTCCTCCCTAGATGGAAAGCCATTCAAAGGAAATCATTAAAGGACATCCCTTTTTGCACAGCTTAGACTCTGGCAATACATGTAAAACCAATTGTAGAATTGATGCAATTACCCAAATAATGAGGGCCGGGAAAGAAAGGAAAGGAAAAAATCTAGGCTTGGCTATTTGGCTAATTGCTAGGACCCAACAATTCACCCCAACTCTCTAAGACATCATCAACATGAAATACTTATTACTTTCAAATTTCACATTTTAAGAAAGGTAGAGGAAATATTAAAGGCTACAAAACACTGTGAAGCGACAGGGAAGAAAATCTAAGTTTGAGTTATCAAAAACCTTTTGGCCATAAGAGTTAGAGTTCTAAGATGATCAGTATTGATTCCAAGACTAAAGATTTGAAAGAGGCTCTCCCAGCATTGCTGAACACTCAGTGTGATTGAGCACTGGCTATAGGACAGCCACTTTGCAAAATCATTTCCCAGGATTATCTGATTTAATTTTTACCTCCTCCCTGTGGAGATTGTAGCACCTCTTTCTCTTAGAGACATTTAAGAATAAAGTGAGTCATTTTTAAAAACAGTTCTTTCTTCCCTGGTCAAAGTGGACCTAAAACCATTAAGTAGGGGTCAGAAAATAAATTTCTTATCCTCTGCCCCTCTTTGCCCCACCTCTTGCATTGGCTTTCTTGAGAATGTGGGTCTGCTGGGAGCACCTAGGGATTCCATGTCAATTGTTGCTCATGTCTTCGGTTCATTTTCACCCCTCTTGTTGCCAAATACTGGACTGATTCTTGGTCACAATAAGTTGAGGAATAATCACAGAAAAGAAGGGAATTGATGGAATTGCTTTGTGTGCATTTTGACCATACATATTTTGTACATCCACTTACAAGGCTGGCATAGCCCCCCATCTGTTTGGGAAAGTCATGTTAAATATAAATGAAGGTTAAATGATCAGTCAAATTTTTCCCCATCATCTTGATTTCAGAATTTAACAAGGTACCCAGACAGTAATAAAACTAACTCAGAGTCCTAAAGAATGCTGGTGGTTTGTTTAGAAGACGTCTCCACCTACATCTTATTTCTGACCACAGTGAGCATCTTATGGTTAAATATGTTTCTTTCAGCAAGTATTTATTGAGCAACTTTTAGTGTACCAGTTTACTTGCTAGATCCTGAAGATGCATTAATAAATAAGATATGCATTATACTTTTTATGCTTATAGTGCAGTAGAAGGCTGGCGTTAAATATATAATCACTCAGATACAAATATAGTTACCAACTATAATAAGTGCTATGGAAGAAAGGGATCTGAAAGAAAGAGAGCACGCAGAGTTTCTAATTTTGATGTGGTGTCCCAGAAAGGCCTCTCTGAGGAAGTGACATAGCAATTGGGGTCTGAAGTAAGACATAGCCACATCACAACTAATGGCAAGGATATTCCAGGCAGAGGGACTAGCACTGGCAAAGGCTGTGCAGCTGGAAAGCGTTAGGTTAGTTCACAGAATTGAAAGAAGGTTGGTGTGCCCATTGCAAGCAGAATGGGGGGTAAGGCACAGGGCCAGAGGCATGAGCAGGTACTGGAATGCCAGGAAGGGACTAAATCTAGCAAGGCCTAGCCAGCTGGCCTGCATAAACATTTATTAAAGCTTTGCAAGAACAATGAAGAGACATTTCTCAAAAGAAGACATACAAATGGCCAACAGGTATATGAAAAAAATGCTCAATATCATTAATCATCAGGGAAATACAAATCAAAACCACAATGAGATATCATCTTACCCCAGTTAGAAAGGCTATTATTAAAAAAACAAAAAACAATATATGCTGGCAAAGATACAGAGAAACAGGAACTCTTATACACTGCTGGTGGGAATGTAAATTAGTACAGCCATTATGGGAAAATATGGAGATTTCTCAAAAAACTAAAAATAGAACTTCCAGCAGTCCCACTGTTGGGTATTTATCCAAAGGAAAGAAGTCAGTGTATCAAAGGGACACCTGCACCCCTATGTTTATTGCAGCACTATTCACAATAGCAAAGATATGGAATCAACCTAAGTGTCCCTCAATGGACGAATGGATAAAGAAAATGTGGTATGTGCACACAATGAAATACTACCCAACAATTAAAAAGAAGGAAATTTTGTCTTTTGTAGCAAGATGGATGGAACTGGAGGTCATGATGTTAAGCAAAATCAGCCGGGCACAGAAAGACAAATATGGCATGTTCTCATATGTGTGAGCTAAAAAAGTTGATCTTACAGAGAAAGAGAGCAGAATGAGCCAGGCGTGGTGGCTCACGCCCGTAATCTCAACACTTTGGGAGGCCGAGATGGGTGGATTGCTTGAGTCCAAGAGTTGAGAGTAGAATGATAGATATAAGAGGCTGGGAAGGGTGTGTGGGTTGGGGGAGGTAAATGAAGAGAGTTTGGTTAATGGGTACAAACATACAGTTAGATAGAAGGAGTAAGTTTCAATGTTTGATAGCAGAGTAGGGTGACTGTAGTTAACAACAATGTATTGTGTATTTCAAAATAGCTAGAAGAGTAGGCTTGAAATGTTCCCAAAACATAGAAAGGATAAATACTTGGGGTAATGGATACTCCAGATATCCTGACTTGATCATTACACATTCTGTACATGTAACAAAATACCACATGTACCCCATAAAAAATGTACAAATATGACATATCAATTGAAAAAGATTTAAAAAGAGAAAAGTGTGGGTGGATAAGCAAAAAAAATATACAAAGTTTTACAAGAATAATGAATGGGATGCCATTTGAGGGTTTTAAGTAGGGAAGTGAAATTATGCAATCTACATTTTAAAGAGCTCATTCAGACAGAGGACTGGAGACTGGGTTGAGGGTCGCAAGCCTAGGTAAAGGAGACCAGCTAGGAGGCTGCTCCAGTAGCACCAGCAAAAGTTGAGTGGCTAGAGCTAGGGCAGTGGTTCTAGAGATATTAACTGGTTTGAGAGATTTGAGAAATTAATATTATTCCACTCTCCCTATATCCCTGAACAGAGAGACGATAGGCACAACCACAGAACAAAAGCAAATAACAGTTTTCAGGTTGTCCATTTGGTCAACCAAATGAAGTAATTCACACCTACCTACATAGACTGTTTTTCTAGGGAAAAGAGTTTCCTAAATTATTCCCATTAGCTGTTCTCATCAATACTGTTGACTGGCAATTACTAGCTGTCTAGGTGTTGACATTAGCACTAAGAAGTCATAAAGATTAGCACATCGCTCCTTCCATTGAATTGTTTAAAAAGACTCTCCAAGAGCCCTATATGAGTTGAGAGAGACACTGTGGGTTTATTTAACTACCAAGTGTTCATCAGAATTCATCATAAGCTTTATTATCCCTAGCATTAGCCCTACCAGGATGTATATTTAATCTTTCTCAACACAATCATTTCCTTTATCAGTCAGAGGCCACTCCTTCATCCCTGAGTCATGAAGTCTGTCTTCTAAACATCATGGCTCACAATGAATTTGATCTCCCATGCACAGGAACATTCTGTTGCCTGGTCCATATGAATTCTTTGCTGTCTATATCTGATTGCACATGTTGAACTGAGCTCTTGTGACCTGTACTCATCCTCAGCAGAGCTGAACAACAAACTCTGCTTTATGTATTATTTGTCTTTGCTCAAACCACAGCCCTTAGCTGGATAGAGTCTACAAGTTGCTTTCAGTTGAGTTGGCAACAACTCATTATTTGGAGGTCAAAGTTGCATATTCTGTTTCCAATAACACGTGCCTGTGATGAGCCAATAACTGGGGTGCCTGTATTTATGAATGAGCTATTGCAACACCCACTGCAGTCAGAGCAACACGGGGGTCACCCCCGTAACCAGAATCAGAAGGACTTTCTTCATCTTAGTGTATTGCTCAGGACTTGTTAGAATATTTTAATATTTTAAAATATTTTTAACATTTTTTAACATTAATAACACATTGATTCTCTACTGGAAGGTGAACATTTGATGGATTTTAGTGATGTCTCTCTTAAATTATCCCAGTTGTGTCTATGCACACACTGAAATGGGTACTCATGAAGACAATTGTCTGGATAAAATGCCAAGAGCTGAGATAAGAATCTGAATTGGATGCAAAGTCACTGCTTCACTGTCTCTTCTCACTTGGCTGGTGGTCTCTCTTTGCCACTTACTTCTCTTTTTTTTTGTCTTTTTCACTGGTGGCAAAATATAAATAACATAAAATTTATCATTTTAACCATTTTTAAATATATAGTCTATGGCATTAAGTACATTCAGAATGTTGTACAACCATCACCGTTACCTATTTCTAGAATTTTTTATCATCCCATCCAGAAACTCTGTACCCATTAAACAATTCCCTTCTTCCCCACTCCCTCCTCCTGTTAGCACCTGGCTTTCTGTCTCTATGAATTTGCCTATTCTGGGCCCTTCAGATACATGGAATCATACAATATTTGTCTTTCTGTGTCTGGCTTATTTCACTTGGCATATATTTTCAAGATTCATCCATGTCATAGTGTGCGTCTGAATTCCATTTATTCTTGTGGCTGAATAGTATTCCACTGTATGGAAACTATATTTTGTTTATCTACTCATCAGTCGGTGGGCATTTGGGTTATGTCCACCTTTTTGCTATTGTGAATAATGCTGCTATGAATATGGCAGTACAAGAATCCATTGGAGTTCCTGCTTTCAGTTCTTTTGAGTATATACCTAGGAGTGGAATCACTGGCTCATGTGGTAAATCTATGTTTAACTTTTTGAGGAATTGCCAAATTGTTTTCATAGCAGCTGCACCATTTTACATTCCCACAAGCAATGCACCAGGGTTCCAATTTATCTATATCCCACCAACACTGTTATTTTCCATTTTTTGGATAACACCCATGCTAATGGGTGTGCCCATTTCTTTTTAAGTGGTCTTATGTCTGTATACCTGGTCCTGTTGACGTAATCGCCTGACCATTCTATTCAATATGGCTGAAGTAGTTGCACATATAGATGCAAATTTTCATTCATGCAAAAACTGAAAAAAAAAATTTATCATCCACATTCAAAGTAAGAAAAGAATGATAATCCATGAGGGAGAGGGTAGCCAAGTGGCTGAAAGCTCAGCTTCTGGCACCAGACCGTTGGAATTTGAACTCCAGTTCTGCTCTAACCAGCTGAGTCTGTGTGTCCTCATGACAGTGAGCTGCACAATTCCTATGTAACTTCATCTCCTATGAAATGAAGATAATAATGATACCTGCCTCCTATGGTGATGGAAGGATTAAATAAGTTAATAAATGTAAATCACTTAGAACACTGCTCTGTAAATATTAGTTTAAGCAACACTGATGTAGTACATTTCTGGGGTGCACATGCATGAAGACTTTGGGCCTCATCTCATATCCCAGGCAACTAAGTCAGAATCTTGGTGGCAAGTGGGATCTGATTTTTTTTGAGACAGAGTCTTACTCTGTTACCCAGGCCGAAGTACAGTGGCACCATCTTGGCTCAGTGCCACCTCCGCCTCTGAGGTTTAAACAATGCTCATGCCTCAGCCTCCTGAGTAGCAAGGATTACAGGTATGTGTCACCACACCTGGCTAATTTTTAGTATTTTTAGTAGAGACAGGGTTTTGCCATGTTGCCCAGGCTGGTCTTGAACTCCTGGCCTCAAGTGATCCACCCACCTTGGCCTCCCAAAGTGCTGGGATTACAGGCGGGAGACACTGCACTTGGCCCAGGATCTGCATTTTTAATAAGCACCAAGTGTCCATATGACCCCCATGTACAATAGCTCTTAACAACCCCTGCCCTAACCCAGTCTCATCTTTGGATTTCATCTGACCATCAGACAAGTAGGTCAGGTTCCAAGAAGGAATCAAATTTATATCTAAAGATGCAAAATTACAACTGGT
The DNA here is from genome assembly GCF_000001405.40 of Homo sapiens. Classification (NCBI taxonomy): domain Eukaryota; kingdom Metazoa; phylum Chordata; class Mammalia; order Primates; family Hominidae; genus Homo; species Homo sapiens. The sequence goes on along the minus strand of NC_000003.12, from coordinate 66,586,290 downwards.
ATTTTAAACTATTAGAACTAGTAGCCTATGAAGATTAAGGTTATTCCATGAAAGAAATTTCTTTTACAGTTTTTCAACTTTGTTAATTAAGTCGTGGCACTTTCTTCTTCCCAGAGGAAAAAAACAGATTATTTTTCCTATTGAAAATGACAAAGTCATATATTTTTAACCAATTCTGGTATAAATCATTTTAAAATCTAAAAAAAAATTACCCTTTATTGTTCTAAAAGATGATCCTAAAACTCTACAAAATGCCAGCACACTCATGTGGCCAGTCACCTAGTTATTTCCAAATACCCAGATGTGTGACATTAGATAGACAAAACATAGGAACTGAAGACACAACTTCTATCTTGACCTAAAAGGGCCACAGAAATGTTCTACTTCTTAAAAGCATTTTACACAATCCAGGGATGGAAGCTATTGTGAAACACTTTTCACGTTTTACATTTCAGAAGTTCTTTCAGCAACCTGGGTTTTTCAGAAGACTGGAGAGTTAAAGGATATGAAAACTTCACCTGGGCCAGCCACTCTTTTACAACTAGGCCAGTCTCATCAAGTTCCCACCAGGAAAGGGATCAGAATTTCCACTCCACAGCAAAAGGAAGTGGAACTGGAAACAGTGTGAAGATTTTCTTCAAGAAAAGGTGGGGTTACTAAACAGAATGTAAGAGAAAAGAAGTAAGCACATTTCAAATATAGAGCCCTAAGATCATTTTGAAAGAGGAATCACTCTAAAAAATTGCAAATAGTGAAAATATTTTGTACTGAAAAACGAGGACCAGAGACATCCTATCAGTGGTTCACCAAGATTTCCCAAAGGCCCCATAATTTTAGGGAGCGGCCATCCGGAGATACAGAGGCTGACTGAGAAATTGTAGCTTTACCAGCGAAAGCTTTCAAAAAAGTCTGAGTTTCATAAACACACTATCAGACCTTAAACACTTCCCAGGCCTATACCAGCATCATCAAGATCCAGAAACAACCCCAGAATATAAAAAGTAACAACCGTTATGAGGTTTTACCAGGGGCTAGACACTGTAAAAGTCCTTCTTATATGTTACTCTTCAAATCCTCACAACTCTGTACAGTAGACTCAATTTGCAAATTAGGACAACATAAAGCTCTTTCATTTGTTCATTCCATAAATATTCACTGGGCACTTCTTATGTCAGGAACTCTAGAATACAGTCGTTAAAAATGGAGGAGGTGTGGATTGCTAAGTGAAAGAAGCCTATCTGAAAAGGGTACCTATTGTATGATTCCAAGCATATGACATTCTGGAAAAGGCAAACCTATGGAGGCAGTAAAAATCAGCGGTTGTCAGGTGTTTGGGACAGGGAAGAAGGGATGAATAGGTGTAGCCTATTCTTAGGGCAGTGAAACTATTCCGTATGATGCTATCATGTTGGGTGCATGACATTAAACCTTTGACAAGGGCCATAGAATGTACAAGTGAGCCCTAAAGTAAACTATGACCTTTAGTTAATGATAATAAGACATCAATAGTGGCTCATCAATCATAACAAATGTACCACACTAACTCAAGATATTAGTAACAGGAGAAGCTGGGGGGAGGAAATATATGGGAATTCTGTACTTTCTACTCAATGTTTCTGTAAGCCTAAAATTGTTCCAAAATATAAAGTCTATCAACTTAAAAAAAGATAAATGAGAAGTGGGGGAACCACAGTCCCTACCTACCATTATGAAGACTTATAGAGGGTGAGGTAGATTCAAAACAAGGAAACAAAGATATAACAAGAGATATGTAATTAAGGAAACAAACAAACAAGGCAAATGACTGTGCCTGCATTGGTGGAGGGTGGTCAGGGAAGGCCTCTATGAGAGGTGACATTGAAGCAGAGACCTAAAGGAACCACCACACGAAACGGGGGAAGGGTGTTGCACATAGAGGTAACAGCATGTCCGAAGACCTTGAGAAGGAAGGGAAATCTGCGAGTACAAAGAGGTTACATAGCTGACAATGGTGGAGCTGAGATTTCACTCACTTTTTGGTCCCAGCACCTCTCCTTTATAAGGCCGCTGTCTTGAATGTCAAACCTCACTCTTTCAAATTCTCCCTGGATCCCCTTTCCTATGGCGTGGCTGGATAGGTAAACATTACTTAAAATGGGAATAAATTCTTCCATCACCAATGGTAAAGTGTTCTGCCCACACTTCAATCAACAGAGAAAATTCCAGAGCTTTGCCTTCCAACTATCTTTAAATTCAGTGCGGCGGGGAGGTCAGCGGGGGAGGTTATTTTGTCATTTGGAAAAAAGGGCATCTATTCATTTTCCAAAAACACCCAACACATACTGCTCAACTCTTCTCGGGCACATCTCTTTGCATTATGAGAAAAGCTCCTGTGGTCTTTATAAATATTTATGATACATGACTGAACATGTTATATATACTGTGCTGTGCTAATATTAGTCATGGCTGAGAGTCTTTCTGTGCATGGAGCATGGTGATCATGAATAAACAGAATGGCTTCCTAGCCATTAGGGGAGTGAAGACATTCACTGCCATTGTTCTGTGGGTCTGCTTAAAGACTTTGCACATACCCAAATCAAAATACGGGTACTCCCTTTTCCTGAAGAAAAGAAAAAAAAGAAAATCCAGACTGTTTCAGTCCATATGAAAAAGCATTTCAAAACTGAAAACATGGCATGTGAAGAAGAAAGAGGTAAATGTGTTCTTTTCAATGGAAAAAACAGCTGCTTGGGTCAGATAGAAACCAGATGGGAGAGAAAGAATCAGAAGAGTAAAGCTGAAATGCATTCAGGAAAAAGACATCAGAGGCGAAATGTGCTCCCAAGTCAGAGGAGTGGTGACTCCCAGACTTTTCTTCCTGTGGTGCTGGACCACGGGGCTCAGAGGAATGAATGGTCCTTCTCCAGGAACATGGAAGAAAAGCTGAGGTGGACGCACCAAGTCATCCAAGGAATTGGAACTGGTCCCCAAAACAGTTCTGTCTGTCAACCCCCCGCATGGCCAGGTATCTCCATTAGAGACATTCAGAACTTGGCATGTTCTCTCAGGGAGCCGGAGAAGTAGAAGGATGTGTCTGTGTTCTCACCCAGCCCCAGTGCTGGCAGAAATAAACCAGGCAGGCAGACTTCAGCCTTTTTTAAGCTTGTGTTTATAGGAGCTCTCCTTCGTCATGGTCCACCTGTCTTTTCACACGATTCTCCAGGGCGTATGGACTGGTGAACTCGGAGGCTTTGCTCCAATCCCAGCTGCAGCGGCCACCTTGCCCGGCAGACACGCGATAGAAGGTTCTGGTGAATGGTTCCCTCCGTGCTGTGTTGTGGCTTTCTCACACTAGTGGAGCGTATTATTTGAGCTGCCACATGCTGACCACAGGCTTCCGCTTGCAGCACATGCAGACCTCAAAGGAGACTTGCTCACGTGTGGGCTTCCCGCCGAGACTTGCTGTGGTCCTGAGGCCGCGGCCTGGGCGCTGGCACAGCATCTGCCCACACAAAGCTGGAGACGAGCCTGCCTCTCTCTCCATCGAGTAAGCGTCCCAGGCTCAGACTCAGAGAGTCCAATCATCCACTTCATGTGACCAGTGTAGTTATCTAGCAGATTATCTGCTTAGCATGATCCTAGCAGCTAACGATATATTAACACACCATGCTAGGAAGAACAGCATTAAGAGGGCGGCTGGCCCCTGACCATGCCGTGAAAGGACAGAGCTGTGTCCAGACTGCTCAGGTATGTCCACCCACCCTCAATACCCCACCACCCTGAAGTCAGCCCTGATCGTAATGCAGTGTTTCTCAAAGTGCATTATGTATTCCAATCACCCGAGGGGCTTGTTCACAAGCAGATTCAGATTCAATCGTTTTGGGGATGAGGCCTCAGATACTACATTCCTGTCTACACCCCCAGGTAATGCCAATGCTGCCGGTCTACAGATTGCGCTTTGAACAGCGAGGCCTTAGTAAATAAAAAAAAGGAAGGATCATGTAAAGCTAGTTTGTCCAACCCTGCAGTCCATGGCTTTGAATGCAGCACAACACAAATTTATAAACTTTCTTAAAACATTATGAGCTTTTTTGTGATTTTTGTTTTTTTTTAGCTCATCAGCTATCGTTAGTGTTATTGTATTTTATGTGTGGCCCAAGACAATTCTTCTTCCAATGTGGCCCACGGAAGCCAAAAGATTGGGACACCCGTGTTATGAAGAATAGCACAGACTGATTTCACAAAGCTCTATAATCTTAAGCCAATCACTAAACATCTCTGAGCCTCAGTTTTCACATTCATAACATGGTGATTATAATAATATCTATCTCACAAGGTGCCTGCAAATATCAAGTAGATTTATATGAAAAGCTTATTATAAATGGGATCTTTACAGTTAAAAGTAAGACAACTTCAACTTGAACTTGTTTAAACAGAAAAAATAAAAGGTACTTATTGGCTCCCATAAATTGAAAAGTCTTAGAGTGCATCTGGCTTCAGGCATAGCTGGATCCAGTTACTCAAATTATTTCTTCCAGATGCTTGCTTGCTCTTGCATTTTCTCTCTCAATCTCTTGATCTCCCTCTCACTCTCTCATCTGTTTCTTGCTCCTGCCCTCCTCCTCACTCTACCTTCCTCATTCTTTCTTGTTTGGGCTCTGCTTTTTTCTGTGTTGCCTTCACACGCAGGCAGTCTCTGTCAAATAGGTCAAATAGTCTTTACAGAGGAAGTGAGACTTCCATACGTCCCGTTTTGGAGGGACTCTGATTGGATCCACTTGGATCCAGAACCCACTGCTTGCTTGAGTCAATATCAATAAACATGGGTGTGGAGAACTATGAACGGCTAGGCTTAGTGGCCTCTCCTCTACACACAAGGCTGGAGTGGAAGGACTTTTGTCCCCCTGACTGACTCTCATCTCCCTTCCTGTCAAAACCTGTTCACCCTGGATCTCATTCCCTTTTTTCGGCTGTTACTTTAGAAAGGAATAGTACACGAACTGGCCTCTAATCATGTGATGTGGAAATATCTTCTATTAGAAGCCAGAGATCTGCATTGTAATCCAAGTTTTGCCACTAACTGGCTTTGAGACTTTAGTCTCATTTGGTTAACCTCCTTGTGGCTTAGTTTCCCCATCCATAATATGAGGGTTGCCATCAATTATCCCACAGGCCTCTTTCAGCTCAAAGGTCTGAGTTGCTATGATTTGTTCCTTATTACATGACACTACTCAGGGGCACTCACATTTTCACAGAGACTTTCTGGGATGGCAATAATTTGATGCAATGAATGAGCCACCAACAGCCAAAATGTAATAAGGATATTTGCATAAAGGAAACCAGGAATCTCTTTCTTTTTTTTTTTTTTTTTTGACAGGGAGTCCCGCTCTGTCACCAAGGCTGGAATGCATTGGTGCGATCTCGGCTCACTGCAAGCTCCACCTCCCGGGTTCATGCCATTCTCCTACCTCAGCCTCCCAAGTAGCTGGGACTACAGGCGCCCGCCACCACACCCGGCTAATTTTTTGTATTTTTAGTAGAGACAGGGTTTCACCGTGTTAGCCAGGATGGTCTCAATCTCCTAACCTCGTGATCCACCTGCCTCGGCCTCCCAAAGTACTGGGATTACAGGCATGAGCCACTGCACCTGGCCGAAACTAGGAATGTCTTTCTAAGCCTCCTGAACATCATTCCATGTGGACATTCACCTAATCATGGTATGTTGAATTTGCTGTTCAAGTCTTTCAAAACTGTGGCTTTGTTGCCTGTGTTAACACAAGGGCAGAAAACAAGGCTGGGTGGCCACATTCTAGCCCACTTTCCTCCGACCAGTGGCTTTCTACTTTCTCTCCTACCAATGACTCTGGTGCTCTTTTATGATGACTTGGCCAGACCTTCCATGGCCCCCAGTCAGGTTTGTTTCAAGCCTACTTATCCATCACACAGCTCCAGCTTCCAAAGTGTTCCTAACCTGCAAGTCTCCATCAACACTTCCCTTTCCTATTTCCCATCTCTTCAAAGTCCTATACCCTAAGTAGCAGATACTACATTCAATAAACTGTAGATTACTAATAGGTACATACCCTCCAAAGCAATATAGGTGTGTGAATAAAAATTCATGCTAAACTTCTTGATAACCAAGGCAAAAGTACAACATACCTGATTAAATCAATTTCTTTTTTTTTTTTTTTTTTTTTTGAGACAGGGTCTCACTCTGTTGCCCAGGTTGGAATGCAGTGGTGCAATCACAGCTCACTGAAGCCTCAAACTCCCAGGCTCAGATGATCCTCACACCTCAGCCTCCAGAGTAGCTGGGACGACAGTCATCCATCACCATGCCCAGCTAATTTTTGTATTTTGTATTTTTTTTTTTTTTTTTTGTAGAGACGGGGTTTCACCATGTTGCCCAGCCTGGTTTTGAACTCTTGAGCTCAAGCAATCTGTCTGTCTTGTCCTCCCAAAGCGCTGTCATTACAGGTGTGAGCCACCACACCCAGCCAAATCACTTTCAAGCAGTGGTTACAAGGGAAAACACTCTATCCTACTTATAAATTAGCAGAGGAATTCATATGAGGGACTAAAACAGTGTAAAGAACAACCACTTAAAAGGCTACTTTGTTACATCAATGCTGGGGTGTTCTTCACAGGGACATTTGGTTAGGCCCTTGTGAGAAGATGACCCCTCAGGGTAGAGAGTTGCCTACTTTTCCGATATGTGACCCTGTCCATACAGCACAAAATAAAGCCAAGAGTTATCAGGTACCACAGACAGCCAAAGTTGTTCATTTAAGTCACTTGCCTGATTTCAACAGTGGACATTTGCATTGTCACAAAGTCCTATCATTTTTACATCCCAAATTGTCTCAGATCTATATACCACTGTTCTTCACCACTGCCCCCAGCCTTGAGTTGGACCACCATACCTCTGGATCTAATTCATCTCTCTACCTCCAACCGTCCAGCCCATTCTGTCTACATAGCCATTAGACATAACCCTTCCAAGGCATGAAGTTCATGGTGTGATATGGTTTGGCTGTATCCCTACCCAAGTCTCATCTTGAATTCCCACATATCGTGGGAGGGACCTGGTGGGAGGCAATTGAATCATCGGGGCAAGTCTTTCCTGTGCTGTTCTCATGAAAGTGAATAAGTCTCATGAGATCTGATGGTTCTATAAAGAGTAGTTCCCCGGCACAAGTTCTCTCTCTTTGCCTGCTGCCATCCATGTAAGATGTGACTGGCTCCTCCTTGCCTTCCTCCATAATTGTGAGGCCTCCCCAGCCATGTGGAAATGTAAGTCCATTAAACATCTTTCTTTTATAAATTGCCCAGTCTTGGGTATGTCTTTATCAGCAGCATGAGAACAGACTAATACATGGTGCTACTTCAGGGCCTTCCCATCACCACCAGGTTGCAAAGGTCTTAGCCTGGCTTCCTGGACCCTTCATGATCTGGCCTCCTGTCTATCTGCCAGACTCATCTCTCTTCCCCTTTTGGCCTGCTCCTTCACTTCTCTCCCATCTGAAACATTTTTAGCCCTTCCAGATGCCCCACAATCTTTGCCTAGCTATTCTTTCTCATTCTTCAGATCACAGTGTAGGCAAAACATCTTTCACAAGTTCTTCCTCAGCCTCTCCAGCCTGTCCTTTCTCTGTGTCCCCATCGTATCACTTCTCAAACCATATTAGAATTGCCTATGAGCTCACCAACCTGCTCTGTTGGACTCAACTCTGTGGTAGCAGAGCTCTGCCCCCAGAGCCATCTTTGCTGCTGCCCTGGCCAGCCACATGATCCTGAACAATCACTCCATTCCCCTGTGCCTCAGTTTCCTCATCAGTAAATAGAACTCATAAAGGTGCCTACTTCATAAAAATGTTGTGGGCACTAAGGGAGAAAATTCACTAAGAGCTCTTTCACTGTGCTAAGCACATAGCAAATGTGAACAACAATTATTATTATTGTCATGAATAGTATTATTGTATTAGGATAGGAATTTTTTCTGTCTTATTCACTGTTTTATCCCCACACCCAGCTCAAAGTCTGACACAGAATAAATGATCACTAAACATTTGTGGGATGAATGAATGAATGTCGAATTATCTGGTTTTGTCCTGTACGTAGTTCTGTTGGGTCTTCACTTGATTAAGGTCTGTGAAGACGAAAAGAACCGATTGTGCTAGCACCTCCCCAGTTTGTTTGCTCTGGTGTTTTTTCCATTTACTCTGTGAGGAGAAGGATTTCATTTTATGAAGAAGGGAGGAGGGGGAGCCTGGTTCCAAAGGCCTGTTTGTTCTCATTATTAATTTTCCTCTCCTCTTCCAAGTAGAGTTTGAATGATTTTGAATGTGCACTCATCTGGAAAGGCACCCTCATTCTCTCGTTTCATGCCTGGCTGCAATTAAAGTCAAAAGCAAAATTTAAAAATACAACTTTATTATGAAGTGAAAGAGTTGTTGATCCAGATTACAGAACCTGTAATCTCATAACATTACCATAAAAAAAAAAAAAAAAGAAAAGAAAGAAAGAAAAGAAAAAAGAATACCAAGCTGCCAACTTGTGGGTTTGGTCTTGCCAATGGAGACTCGAAACTCCAGAATCAATAACTAGGTTAACTTTGCTGGTTTCTAATGCAATTATAAGCATTGGAAAATTGCCCAGATGCTCAAAAAGGAACTAAGGGTCTACTTTAGAACATCCCCACCCCCTTTTCTAAAGAAATACTTGGGCGATAAAGGCAAAATAACTGAATGGGGTGGGGCTCAGCAGTTTCCAATGTCAGATCAGAGAGCTGTGGAATTTCAGAGCTGGAAAGAAGCTTAGAGGTCATCTCAAGGCCGTTTTACAGATGCAAAAACTGAGCCCCAGAGAAGGAAGGAACTTTTCCAGGTTCACACAGTGGCCATGAATCTTGGGGAATCTCCGTCTTGATTTGTTCATTTGTGCAAGAAATATTTAACTGATATCCTATTTGGGGCCAGGCAGTGTACTAGGTGTGAGAAATTCATTAGTAAATCAAACAGATGTGTTCTCTGCCCTTGTAAAAATAAACATTCTACTGGGGAATCAGACAGTTGATGAGTAAACCAGTGAACAAGTATATAATCAATGGCCAGAAGGAAACAAATTGTTGTGATAGAGAGCTGCTTATATGTAGTGGTCAGGAAGGCAACTCTGAGAAGGTGATATTCTCAGCTTCAGCTGAATCCTGGGAAAAGAGAGCTAGCTCAAAGGCCAAGAGACAGGGAAGAGCTTGGCAAATTCAAGAAACTATAGGGAGAAGAACGCGGCTGGAGCATAGCAGGTGATGTGGCATCCACATCCTTAAAGTGGAATATGATAGCACTTGCTGGCTCCTTTGTCCACACAGGGAGGCCACCGGCCTCTGGCAGGATAAGGAAAAGCTGAAACCTAGCCTTCCACCCACTCTTTTCTGAGAGCTGGGAAACCTGTATCCACTGCTGCACGCGGACCTGTTCAACTTCCTTGGGAAAGTACTTTTCCTTCACAAGCGAGGAAAGAGCTTGACCAGACTTAGTAGTCAGCTTCCAAATCAGGAAAAAAACCATGCCAAGGAGAGGGTGGCTCCAGTGAGGAAGGTCTGGGGAGGAAGTTCCGGTGTGGCAAAGTGGTTAAGAGCAGAGACCGTGGAGTCACACACCCTGGGGGAGAGGCCAGGTTTGACCATCATGGAGCTAGGCAAGCTACCTAACTTCTCTGAGCTGCAGTTTTCTCCTCTGTAGAATGGGTACCTCGGAGAGGAGTTGGAGGGAATAGAGGAGATCATGCTTATAAAGTGTGCAACGCTCTCACTTGGAGCTACATGCCGGCACTGGCTTCCTTGGGTATGCAGGCCAACTGCCTGCGTGAGCATTCTAGCTCTCTCGACCCAGCAATGGTCCTGGTTCCACAGCCTCACTCCATCATCCTACCTCCCACAGTGACCCACTACATACCCACATGAACCAAAAGCTTACACTTTGAGGACCAAGGACCATTTGGCTTAAGACCCCATAGAATGCCTGCCCACACCACCCTCCAAATCCAACAGCAGAAGACAGACGACCTCACCAGAATTAATAAGATAAATTGCACTGTTTTTGTTTAAACACCGATGAGGTGATGTCTGGTTTTTATTAAGTATCATAAGTAAATTATTAATTCCTACCAGAAACAAAAGTATAAACATGACCATATGATAAACATGGATACTTGAACAGTCTGTGGATCGCACGAAGGGCACCAACTGGCCAGTGAGTCTGGGACCCATAGGCTTAACTGGCTTGAGGCCTCAGCTGCACTGAAATCCCAGCAAGCTGGCATTCTGGAAGTCAGGCAAATAGGGTGTTCCGCTGCTCTACTCCACACAACCACCACCCCACACCCACAAAAAGTCCTTGACTCCATTGCTCAACACTGAATAACAACAATGATGATAATTATAACAACAGTAATAATTACAGAGCACTTCTGTGCTAGGCCCACTTTGCCCACCACACCAGCCACGAGCCACATGTAGCAAGTGAACACTTGAAATGTGGATCATCAAAATCAAGACAAGTTACAAGTGTAAAATATACACTGGATTCCACAGATACACTATGAAAAAGATACATGCAATATCTTAATAATTTTTTTATGGATTGCGTGTCAAAATAATATTTTGAATATGTTGGGTTAGGTAATATATATTATTATTATTATATTTTTTTGAGACAGAGTCTCACTCTGTTGCCCAGGATGGAATGCAGTGGTACAATCTTGGCTCACTACAAGCTCCACCTCCCGAGTTCATGCCATTCTCCTGCCTCAGCCTCCCGAGTAGCTGAGACTATAGGCGCCCGCCACCACGCCCGGCTAATTTTTTTGTAATTTTAGTAGAGACGGGGTTTCACCGTGTTAGCCAGGATGGTCTCAATCTCCTGACCTTGTGATCTGCCCGCCTCGGCCTCCCAAGGTGCTGGGATTACAGGCGTGAGCCACCGCACCGGGCCTATATTATTAAAATTAATTTCATCCGTTTACTCTTTTCTTTTTTAATATGACTACCAGAAATGCTTACTTATGTGGTTCTCATCATTTTGCCCGTGAACAGTGACTAAGTGCAAAGCATGGCACATGCATTATTGGTTTCTTTTTTCTTTTTCTTTTTCTTTTCCTGAGCAGAGTCTTTCTCTGTCTCCTAGCCTGGAGTACAGTGGTGCAATCTCGGCTCACTGCAACCTCCGCCTCCCAGGCGCAAGCAATTTTCCTTCTTCAGCCTCCCAAGTAGCTGGAATTACAGGCACGTGCCACCACGCCTGGCTAATTTTTATATTTTTGTAGAGACGGGGTTTCACTATATTGGCCAGGTTGATCTCAAACTCGTGGCCTCAAGTGATCCTTTTGCCTTGGCCTCCCAAAAGTCTGGGATTACAGGCGTGAGCCACTGGGTCCGGCCAACATGCATTATTTTCTTCTACCCTCACAGTAAACCCTTTAGATAGGGACAATTATTACCCCATTTTACAGATGATAATACTGACATTTAGTAGTTCCCACTTTAATCCCTTAAGGCCTAGGGATTGTTAGAGTGTCCTTCCCTGATTTTTTCCCTCTGAATTCTATTTCATTCTCAAGGCTTAGAACTCTGTATCCTGCCTCTCCATGGAAGCCTCAGTTCTCTTACCTCCCCTATTTCAATATCTCTTTTTCTCTCTCTCAAATGTTTGACCGTAATACTTGTCACCTGTACCTAACAATAACATACTTAAATGACATCTCCCATGTCTTACATTCTTGCTATTTCACACTGGTTGGCTTTTTTGGTGTAAAATAGTATGTTCTCATGCAGGGGTTTTCAAACTATGGGTTATAACCCAGTCATTAGTGGGATGTGAAACCAATTTGGTGAGCCATAGCTAAAAACTTTTTTTAGCTGAAATAGAAGAGCATAGAAGAAAATAGAATAGGAAAAAAAATGTATATTGTTTCCTAACACTTTTATATGTGTGTCCTGGGCCATGAGATAATTTACATTTCCAGCTAATGCATGCCAGGCTTAATACCCAGGTGATGGGTTGATTGGTGCAGCAAACCACCATGGCACACGTTTGCCTATGTAACAAACCTGCACATCCTGCACATGTACCCCAGAACTAAAAATTAAAATTAAAATAAGAATAATTTGCATTTCCAACTCTGAGGCTTAGTCCAAAAAAGTTTGAGAAACGCTGTGCTAGTGGTTTAGAGCATGGGCCCTGGGAGCTGGTGCCTGAATTTGAATCCAGGTTATTGCTGGCTAGCTGTGGGACCTTCTCCAAGCCTCAGTTTCCTCATCTGGGGGGCTTGTGAAACCAGCTTGCAGGGCCCCACTCTCAGAGTTTCTGATTCAGCAGGTCTTGAAGGAAGTCTGAGAATGTGCGTTTCTAACAAGTTCCTGGGAGATGCTGATGCTTCTGGTCAGGAAACCACACTTGAAAAACCACTGGTGGCATGCTTAAGAATATGGGCTCCATTCGATGAACCTAGGCTAAATTCCACATGGTGCTGGCATACATACCTGCTCTACAAACTCAGACTTCAAATCTGATTACACGTTTTAAACTAGTCTGTGCTTTAATGGCAGGATGTTCTGTATCATTCCTTTAAGACCTCTCCCCACACACAAAACTGACCAAGAACCCTCCTAGAGTCTTACTGAGTCCATAAGGATTTTACCACACCTCTTCCCCAGGCCAGAGAAACTGCGCTCATCAGTTACTACTGCTATTGCTTCCCACTAACACCGGGGGCGCTGCTGAAGACTGGCTCCGCACCACTGCTTGTGGATGGAGCGTTGGTTACTGAGTTGTCCTCACTGATCCGGGCACCAGCTGAAGCTCATTGAAGTCTCATTATGGCCTTTAGCGTTACAGCTTTTTTTCCCCGTTTACACTCTCATACTCAGCCATTTCTTACCAAAGCACATCCACTGTGCTTTGGTAAGCACATTTCTCATCCACTGTGCTTTGGTAAGCACGTACTCAGCCATTTCTTACCAAAGCACATCTGAACCTGGAAGTTCAGACCATCATACGCACACTGCGCCCAAACCAGCCCACCCTTGTGAATTCTCAGCCCTTTGAGTTGAACCTAATCGTTAGTAAGGCTGTCCTCAGGGTAATTTTATCTTAGGTACTTCGTCACCCTGTCTCGCCATTCTGAAAGACTCAGAATGTTGGGGGAAAGAGATTTGAGGCAATTTCCACAAACAGAGGTACCAGCTCTCCCCAGGTACCAGCTCTACATAACAAAGGGTGAGGGAGCTTTTGGTAAACCACTCAAAAGAACAAAAAGGTGTTCTTCATTCTTTTTATTATGACAATTGGAGCATGTTTATGCTTCATTTTGCAAGTAAGAGGGGCTTTTCAAGGACCTTTTCCTGACCTGGCTGTTCTACTCCAGAGACTTTTAGCCACTACTTGGATTTAACTCTCGCTTTGTCAAGCACTAAACCCATCCTCAGTTTAGGCTTATAATGTTCAATCAGCACGTAAGTACTCATGAATGGGTCATCAAAACAATTTAGTAGATTGCGACCATACTATTTTTTAATGAATTAAAATAGAAAGTAAAATTATTTTGCACGTATTAGACAATCAATTCATGAAACTTTTGTTTCACTTATGTACAAAAATGTACCTATACTAGATCAAGATTTAAAATGAATTTCTCACTGTGGGGCAAAGTCAAAAAGTTTGTCTACTGCTCTCTGCAAAAGGTCTTTTTGCTCTTTTGTTTGGCTTTCTCTTCATCCTTTAGGCTCAACTCCAGGAAGCCTTTTTTGGCCCCCCTCTTCCAGACTTCAAGCTTCCAGAAAATCCTGTGTGTCTCTAAGAACACTTGCCAGGTTGTTTTGCAATAATCTGTGTAAGTACTCTGAGACCCTCCCCTTCACTCATTCACCCCCTATGGACCTTGAGCTCCTTAGGGACAAAGACTGGGTCTTAATCTCCATTGTATCCTCAGCACGGGGTGCACAAAACACTTGGTACGGTAAATATTTGCTGAATGTACCAACCTGTCCTTATGAATTGTTGCCTCTGGCAGCTTTCAGATGCCACCTTATATATAAACTTTTCTCTAACCTTGTATTTGGTCACTTAGTGCACATTTTTATAGGTCATCTGTTTTCGCCTAGTCGAATTTAAACCCCGGGAGGACACAGAGATCACCTCTTATCATTCTTTGTATCTTGAGTCTTCCGAGAAAATTTTTCCCAGGTAATTGATGGGTGGTGATGCTGAGCAACAGATTAGTCCTATCTCAGCTTGTTCCAGAAAGTATTTAAGGGTGCTTGACAGGATACATTAAATGAAGCAACATAAGTTAAAAGGCAATGAAAACGTCTAAGAATTGTCACCAAAAGATCAATCTATGCATGAAGATTTTGATACGAGTGTTTATTACATTTTTTTGGTTGTTTTATAAAAGGAAACATTTAGAAACAGCCTAACATTCAACAATCTTATATTGATTGAATATATTATGGAACATCTACAAGACAGAAGACACCTAATCACATAGAAAGATGTGCATGGTGTAGTAAGTGGGGTGAAGGGAAGGACAGTTATAAAACACTATATATGATATAATCTCATTTTGTATTAGGTTGGTGCAAAGGTAATTGTGGTTTTTGCCACTAAAAGTAATGGCAATAATAGGCAAGGCACAGTGGCTCACGCCTGTAATCCCAGCATTTTGGGAGGCCGAGGCAGGTGGATCACTTGAGGTCAGGGGTTCAGACCAGCCCTGCCAACTTGGTGAAACCCCGTCTCTACTAAAAATACAAAAATTAGCCAGGCATGGTGGTGCACAACTGTAATTCCAGCTACTTAGGAGGCTGAGGCAGGAGAATCACTTGAATCTGGGGGGCAGAGTTTTCAGTGGGCCAAGATGACACTAGTGCACTCCAGTCTGGGTGACAGAGCAAGACTCTGTCTCATAAGAAAAAAAAAAAGTATGGCGATAACCGCAATTACCTTTGCACCAACCTAAAATATATGTATAGACTGTGGGTTAGGTGGGGGTAGGGAGAAAATATACCAAAATATAAATGGTGTTCTCTCTGGGTATGACTAGGTGATTTTTACTCATTTTGTGTTTGCTTTTCTGTGTTCTATACATTTTTAAAGATTTCGTTTGCACAAAGTATCATTCTTTAGTAAAGGCAGGGTAGGGACGTTTATTTTTTTTAAGTAGGTAGGCCAAAAGAAAGAAAAATACAAGTAGAAAGCTAAGAATGAGGCTTATTCCAAAAGTGAACACCATACAAACCTAAATAAGCAAGTCACAAATTTGACTCTGAGCTTTCCAGCAATTAACACAGAAAGGGAATCAGGACAGGCTATCTAACTCACACTGTCCAGGAACAACATGGCTTTTCCTGATACAGAGGAGCAGGAGGACATTCTGCAATGTAAGGAATAACATCCTCAACCAGATCCTGTCATCGAGGTGAGTTTCCTGGAGTTGGTTTGGAATAGAGCAGGCTCTAAATTAGATTACCATGTTCCCCATTATTATTATTATTATTATTATTATTATTTGGTAGAGGCAGTGTCTCACTATATTGCCTGGGCTGGTCTTGAACTCCTGGCCTCAAGAAATCTTCCTGCCTTGGCCTCCCAAAGTGCTGAGGTTACAGGCAGAAGCCACCATACTACCTGGCCTCCCTGCCTTTCTTCTAAGGATAGCTTTAGGCAAAGTATTTAATTCCTCACTAAGTACCTCTATTTAATAGTGGTGAATTAATTACTTCATATCTAAATAACTAGCGATTATTAATAGCTGCAATGAGTAATTATAGTGATTAAGCCATCCTAGCCTAGGCTGGCTTCTCAGAATCAGTTCCCTCTCCCAAATTGCCAGGAGCACCATTCTTGAGGAGGGGTCTCCTAAGCCTTGCACTGCAGTGGGGCCGAGAGGCAACTCAGTGACTCACCTACATTTTCACTTCTGGCTCATCCAGGCGTGCAAAGGCAAGAAGCCAGAAAGACTTGATTATTTAAACTATCTCCTATCTAAAGCCCAATGTGCCCAGTAAAACCAAATTAGTAAATTTTTTTTCATGCACAGGGGCTCCTGGAACGGACACATAGAGAAAAGAAGGCAAAAGGCTGCAGAAAGGGATTTGGTCTCCAATAAAATTCCCCTCTCTGGATTCCCAGGCCTTCTCTAATGGAAGCATTTGGAGTCTGAGTTCTTATGACACCTGCCCCTAGGTATGCCTGACACTGCACTAGGTGCTGGGCTACAAAAGTGAATGTAGGCAGGTGAGAGAAGTTCCCAATGGGGGGGCTACTGGATAAGCAGATCATTTCAGTATCATAGTTAGAGAGGGCACAAGAAACTAGGGGAACACAAAGAGATCCTCAAGGGTCAGGGAAGGCCTCCTGGAGAAGATGATATCTAATCTGGGTCTTGAAGGAACATATGGTTCAGTAGAACTGAGAAAAAGGTACAGGTCATTTAAAGGAACCACAGACATACTCTATTCTGGGAACTACAATCATCTCCTTATTACCAGAGCATAAAGTTCCAAATGGGATGGAGATGAAGCAAAAGAGGCAAGTTGAGGCCAAATCATGGAGGGCCATGGATGTAGCACTAAAGAAGCAGTCTTTGATCCTTTAGGCCTGGCCCAGACCAGGCAGATGCTGTGAATTAATGCACTATCCCAGGGACAAGAGAAGACCATGGGGACTGTGGCAAACTGGAGTGCACTTGAGTCAGTACTCGTATTGCCAGATCTTTCCATTGTTTAAGAGAGGTCAGAATCCAGATCCCTATGTACAACTCTCCCTCAAGGGAAACATTGGTGATTAATTCAAATTTAAAACACAGAGAATAACCAGCAAGGGGAAGGCCCCAATACTGTGTCCGTGAGCCTGATTTAACCTGAGGGCCAGATTTGGCCTATAGGTTACCATGTTGCCACTTCTGCCTTAGAAAGTAAGAACTTAAACGTAAACGTCAAAACTATAAAAACCCTAGAAGAAAATCTAGGCAATAACATTCAGAACATAGGCACAGGCAAAGATTTCAAGACAAAAATGCCAAAAGCAATAGCGACAAAAGCAAATATTGATAAATGGAATCTAATTAAACTAAAGAGCTTCTGCTCAGCAAAAGAAACTATCATCAGAGTGAATAGGCAGCCTACAGAATGGGAGAAAATATTTGCAATCTATCCATCTGACAAAGGTCTAGTATCCAGAGTTTACAAAGAACTTAAACAAATTTACAAGAAGAAAAAAAAAGAGTGGGCAAAGGACACGAATGGACACTGCTCAGAAGAAGGCATTCACGCAGCCAACAAACATGAAAAAAAGCTGAGCATCACTGATCATTAGAGAAATGCAAATCAAAACCACAATGAGATACCATCTCACAGTCAGAATGGCAATTATTAAAAAGTCAGGAAACAACAGATGCTGGCGAGGTTGCAGAGAAAAAGGAAGGCTTTTATACTG
Organism: Homo sapiens; assembly: GCF_000001405.40. Taxonomy (NCBI): domain Eukaryota; kingdom Metazoa; phylum Chordata; class Mammalia; order Primates; family Hominidae; genus Homo; species Homo sapiens. Next base: position 66,568,819 of record NC_000003.12, on the reverse strand, counting down.
TTGGTGGAAGTGTACATTAGTTCAACCATGTGGAAGACATTGTGGCAATTCCTCAAATACCAAGAGACAGAAATACCATGTGACCGAGCAATCCCATTATTGGGCATATACCCAAAGGAATATGTATCATTCTAATATAAAGATACATGCATGCGTATGTTCGTTACAGCACTATTCACAATAGCAAAGAGATGAAATTAACCCAAATGTTCATCAATAACATAATGGACTAAGAAAATGTGGTAAATATACACCATAGAATACTATGCAGCCATTTAAAGGAATGAGATCATGTCCTTTGCAGGGACATGGATGGAGCTGGAAGCCATTATTTTCAGCAAACTAACACAGGAACAGAAAACCAAACACCACATGTTCTCACTTGTAAGTGGGATCTGAATGATGAGAACACATGGAGACAGGGAGGGAAGCAACACACTGGGGCCTGTCGGGGGTTGGGGGAAGGGAGAGCATCAGGAAGAATAGACACTGGAGAGACACAGGGGACTGGAGAGACATGTGGAGAAACACAGGGGACAAGTATGTGAGAGTAAGGACTTGTCTCATTCATCTTGCATCCTCAGCCATCACCTATGACGGAATCATATGGAATCAATGAGCATTTTAATGAATTGATTAGTTTATTAATGATTTGGTGGCTAAAGACCAAGCTTCAAGTCCTGGCTTGGCTACTCATTAACTGGGTAACACAGGTCAAGAAACTTGATGTTTTAGAGCCTTATTTTCCCACTCTGTAAATTGGGGATAATAATGCCCACTGTGTCTACCCTATTGGCTCAAAATCCAAATGCAGAAATGCCCATAAGGAAGAGCTTTATAAACTCACAAGTGCCCTATAGGATGGACTGGGGTGATTACAATTACTTTGCCAAACCTGGGTATCTTTAAGAGTAGCATTTTTTTTTTTCGAGAAGGAGTCTCGCTCTGTTGCCCAGGCTGGAGTGCAGTGGCGCAGTCTCGGCTCACTGCAAGCTCCACTTCCCGGGTTCAATCCATTCTCCTGCCTCAGCCTCCCGAGTAGCTAGGACTACAGGCGCCCTCCACCACTCCTGGCTAATTTTTTGTATTTTTAGTAGAGACGGGGTTTCACTGTGTTCGTCAGGATGGCCTCGGTCTCCTGACCTCGTGATCTGCCTGCCTCAGCCTCCCAAAGTGCTGGGATTACAGGTGTGAGTCACCGCACCTGGCCAAAGGTAGTATTCTTAAGTATACAGAAAACAAGAGAGAAAATGTTCAGAATTGGATACCTTTAAGATGGCCTTCCAAGCTTTGACAGGTTCCTACCTCACTGCAAGAAGTGTGGCACTCAATGCCAAGGCTTCAGTCCCATGCCAATGAACAAATGTAAGGCAAAGGAATCCTCCCACAAACCGCTCCATCAGCTATGTATGTGCTGTGAACTGTACATTCCAATTACACAGAAGCACTTTGAGTCAGACTTCCATATGCAGAGTGCTCTGTAGAGCCTTTGCACGTACCATTCCCTCTGCCCAGAGCACTCCTGCTTAGCTTTTAGGTCTCAGCTTCAGCTCCTTAGCATTCTTATAAAAACAGTTTTGGAACTCATGAATCACATGAAAGATCTCAGAGACCCCAGAGATTCCAGACCTCTGCTGACTAAGCTATTACTTAGCAACCATTTCTTATGTTTCTCTCTTCTCTCTCACTGCAACTAAAAGTTCACTCTCTTTTTTTTTTTTTTTTTTTTTTTTTTGAGATGAAGTCTCACTCTGTCGCCCAGGCTGGAGTGCAGAGGCGCGATCTCAGCTCGGTGCAACCTCTGCTTCCCGGGTTCAAGTGATTCTTCTGCCTCAGCCTCCTGAGTAGCTGGGATTACAGGCGCACGCCAGCACGCCCGGCTAATTTTTGTATTTTTAGCAGAGACGGGGTTTCACCAAGTTGGTCAGGCTGGTCTCGAACTCTTGACCTCGTGATCCGCCTGCCTCGGCCTCCCAAAGTGCTGAGATTACAGGCGTGAGCCACTGCGCCCTGCCAAAAGTTCACTCTTTAAGTAATAACAACTACATAGAATTGAGCTAAACCCTTCCATAACTCCAAAAGTACTGTAGGCAGCAGACTTCTAACCACTTCAAAAGAATTTACTGTTGACTGGGTGCAATGTCTCACACCTGTAATCACAGCACTTTTGGGAGCCTGAGATGGGAGCTTCACTCAATGTCAGGAGTTCATTACCAGCCTGGGCAACATAGTGAGACCCCCATCTCTACCAAAAATTTTAAAAATTAGCCAGGCATGATGGCGTGCATCTATAGTTCCAGCTATTCAGGAGGCTGAGGCAGGAGTATCACTTAAGCCCAGGAGTTTGAGGCTGCAGTGGGCTATGATCACATTACTGCATCCCAGTCTAGGCGACAGAGCCAGACCCCATCTCAGAAAAAAACAAAAACAAAAACAAAAACAAAAACAAAGAAAAAGAAATAATTTACTACTAACTTTAGTCAAGCAACTAATTAGCAGTGTTTTTTCCTAATCTTTCCCTTTTTTTTCTTTCCCTTCCCATAATATTTTTTTTAAATCCCTGGCAACATGTCATTTACCCTTTAACACTTCTGTATAAACCTCTAAAGTATAAGGACATTTTCCTATAAAACTGCAGTACCATTCTCTATTACCTCTATTAACAATAGAGGTAATTATTTTAATTATTTAATACCAGCTAGCCAGTTATATTCAAATGTCCCCAACTGTCCCAAAGGTGTCTTTGTACAACTTAATTGTGCACATATTGCACTTGATGATTATTTCTCTTTCATCTCATGAAAGTTCCCCCTTCCCTTTCTTTTTTTCATGCTATTAACTTGTTGCCACACACACACACACACACACACACCCCCACACACACACGCATACACACACAAAGTCAGCTGTCTTACCTCCTGAATTTATCTGATTGTTTGCAAAGCATGAAACTGTTTGACTAGTTAACTCTCCCTCCTGGTTGGCTCCGGAGGCTTGATTAGGCTTCACTGTTTTTGACAATAATATGTCATACTTGGGTTGTATGTTTCACATATTGCATCTCGTCAGGAGTTATCTAAGGTCTGGTCGTACCAAGAAAAGACTTGTGCTTTTTCATTGTTACAAGCATTATCTCATTTAATCCTCACAGCAACTCAAAGAGATACGTGTGGAGTCCTAATTAGGGACAGGGAGTTGGACTGCCAGAAACGAGGGAAAGCAAAAAGAGAAAGCAGATAAACTATAAGTCTATCTTTCTTCATGGTCCAAGACACATAGCCCCTCCTGCACAAATGACTCACAATCTTCCTGAGCCCAGCTATCACCAGACCCTTGGCTGAAAGAAAAATGCAAGTTAGCTCACTGCAACCTTGGCATTATCAGTACTGCACAGAGCCCTCTTCAGCACATAGCACAACATCCTATAAAAGCCCTAGCAAGCCTTTGTCTCTTTGCAGTCGGCTCTTCTTTTGCTGACCTGCCCATTGCTTCCTTGCAACATATTTTCATACTTTCTCTAATCTGCCTTTCTTTAACTGCGACTGTCTTGGTAAATAAATTATTCTTATCGCCCATGCAATGCTGGCCCCATGACAGTATGTTCTAAAATTTATCCCATTTTATACTTGAGGAAACTGAGGTACAAAGCAGTTACCTGCTTGGCCCAAGTTTACACATCTAGTACGTAGCTCTGTGACTGGGGAGCGTTAGATGTGCCTGAGAAATGGGCAGGGTGGGGATTTCTATTTGCCACTCTCTAAGGACCCCATATCTTAGGCAGTTGATCCATCTTTTTATCTTCCACAGCCTCAAAGCCATTCACTTACTAAAAAACTTTACCTACTCCCAGCTTGAGGGTCTTATAGGAAGGCCTGGTAGAGAGAATACTTCCTTTCACATACGTGTAGTGAACAGAGAACCAATTTTTTGCACCAACAAACAAGATATATGTGTGTGTGTGTATATATGTACATATGTGTGTGTATGTACATATGTATGTGTATATATACATGTTTGTAACCCCCAAAATCAATACTGTAGCACTTCTGTGATTATTCAGACCTGCGGAAAGAGGGGGGAAATTTGAGTCACCTAATGTGCATGTTCCCAGGTCGAATACTTGTTTCACCCCTCAGCCTATAAACAGGGGTCCTTTTCGAGGTCTATCTAGCACCAGGTTTTTCACATTTGTGTGCTTTTAGTTGGTGATTTTGCTGTTTAAAACAGCCCCCAACCATAGTTCTCTTGTGTTCCTAAGCGTAAGAAGGCTGTGATGTGCCTTACAGAGAAAATACGTGTGTTAGATAAATTTTGTGCAGATGTGAGTTATGGTGTTTGTGAGTTCAATGTTAAAAATGAATCAGCACTGTGTATTAAATAAGGTGTCTTTAAACAAAAACATACATAAAACAAGGTTATGTGTTGATCAGTGAATAATCATGTTGTGACCACAGGTTTGCAGGAACTTAACCCTAAGTTTCCCCTAGGGTCAATGATTTGCTATTTACTAATTCAGTATTTGTTACAACTTTAAAGAACATAGCTACCATGAATAATATAATTGACTACAAGTATGTGTGGGTATATGTGTACATAAAATAGATATATATTTTTTTCTTAGTGGTAATCTTTTTCTTAATTGCTATCTGACAACAGAGAACCTGTATATATGTGTGTGTGTGTATGTATATATACACTCACCTTAGGGTTGTTCTATTTTTAGTTCCCTCAAATCTGATTAAGCTAATTTTCTAATTAAATATTTTGAATCAGACCTTTACAAAATTGCGATGAGGGGGAAAAAATGCACTGAGCACATGATGAGGGGTGGGAGTTTAAAAATACATATATCAGATTTTGTTTTTTCTGCTCCAATCAATTTAGGATAAACTTTTCCACTGAAGCACATCCTGGTACTGCCGACCTGTCTGAGGTAAGTGGACTGTGGGGAGTAGGATCCAATCTGCTCCCAATTTAATATTACTCAGAGCTGAAGTATTTATAATTTTGTTTTGCTGAATCATTATAAGGTATCTGAGTAAAAGAAAATCAATTCCTGAAGTATTTATGCCTCTGTGGTTTTGGGGGGAAATTCAACTAACAATTTTCATTTATTATAATTGGGCGTTCAGCCTTCATTGGTGTCTGTAGCCCTAATGTAAGTAATTTCATATTTACTCAGGGCCTTCCTTTTAATAATGAAAGCTGGGTTCCCATCAGGGAATTCTCAATATTCTTTCAATCTCACTGCTAAAGGATAGAGTAAAAAAGTTCTTTTAGAAAGCAATAACAAAATGTCCCCCTTCCCTAAGATATACAGTGCTAGCTTTATAGTGTTTTCATAAGGGAGAGCCTTTACAACATAGCACTCATTCCAATGTTTCCATATTTAGAGCAATTTTTCATTTTGTTTTGGCTATTTAAATTTTTTCTTATTAAACATGTTTACAAAAATGTAGAAAATGACTTTGATGAAAACCATGATCTGAAACACAGCTCTTTGAAAGCCAGAAAAATCACACCTTGTAACCCTTTAAATCCAAGTATTGTTTTCTAGCTGAAAGTTCTGAATCCCACCTTGTATACCTCCTGACTGATTGAAATTTTGAAAATAAATATCATAAGACTGAAATGACCTTGGGCAGCCAACCTAATGGTGTTTACCAATGGTTTTCAAACAACCAATTTGAAAAGTTTTACAACCATAATCTTAATTTCTGAAGTTAAATGTCCAAGGCATGTAATGGAGGAATACATTTAGGAATTTTCCTTTTGCAGTCCTTATTTACCAAGTATCCACGGACAAATACAAGTTTGTCTTTAAAAAAAAAAAAAGGGAGGTGGAGAAAAAAAAATGCCCCAAAAAAGGCATCTTGGTGTAGATTTTCTAAATAAAAAGAAGATTGGCTACCCTGACTCCCTGTTGTTTTCCTGTGGCCACCAAAGCTGAAAAATTCGTTATCTTGAGACACCTATTTCTAAGACCTAATGCTTCCCAGCGTACCACAGGAATGATTTCTTGGACATGAGAAGACAGAACACCTCCTTTTCAATTCTCCCCTTGGATTTCCAATAAAAGCATTTGTTTGAACAACAAAGCAACATGGAGGCCAGGCCCAGTGGCTCACACCGGGAACCCCAACACTTTGGGAGGCCAAGGTGGGAGGATCGCTTGAGCCCAGGAGTTCAAGACCAGCCTGGGCCACATATACAAGACTCTATTGGCAACATAGACAATTGTCAACATAGCCAAGACCCTATTTCTCTATTTTAAAGAGACAAAAAACAAAAACACAAAGCAATGTGGGCATGATTGTAAAACCACAGCCATTACCCCTCCTCCCTTAAACAGGACTCTTCAGGCATCAGTGTGCCCAGCCCCAGAGGATAAACTGATTCGTCTAAGTCAGTTATGACTTTCCCATTTCTTTTTGCCAGTCATTGGTCTAAGACAATAGTTCTCAACCTCAGGCAATTTTACAGACACACACACACACATTTGACAGTGTCTGGAAACATTTTTGGTTGTCCTAACTGGGACTGTATTCCCCGCATCTAATGAGTGGAGGCCAGGGATGCTGCTAAGCCTCACACAACAAATAATCACCTGGGCCAAAACGTCAATAAGGCTGAGGTGGAGAAACCTCAGCTTAGGGGTTGACATGTAACATAGTTCTGGGCAATGAAATGTGACAGAAAAGAGGTAGGGGGAACTTCCAGAAAGTATTTTTCCTCCTTAAAAAGAGGAAATGTTTTTGCCTTCCCTCCCTCTTTTCTTCTTGGATACCAGAGAATGAAGATGTGATGCTTGGAACTACTGCAGCCACCTTGGGACACGAGGGAAGTCAACACCAACATGCTGAGGATCTTTGAGCTGCTGCACCAACCTAAAACCACCTCTCTCCAGACTTCTTGTTGCATTAGAAAGTTAATTGTCTTTACTTTTAAAATGCTTGTTAGTTGGCATTTTTGTTACCTATTGTCAAAAGCATCATAATTATTACATCTAACTAAATTATATGCCATCTACTGTGGCATATAATTTTCTTGCAAAAGGTCCACATTAGGTTGACCAGAAAACAGAAAAACTTTTCTGAGATTCAGATGTTGTTCAATGGGCTGGGCTCAGTCACTAGCTAAGTGACTTTCTTCTTGCACAAAGCCCTTTCATAACAAGTGAATTCAATCCCTGCTTCTGAAGAATGACAAATTACTATATATGGGTCTTCAGAGTGACTCATGAAGACTGAAAGTTGTGAAGCCATCCTGTCCTAGTTTAAATCCAAGCTATGACACCTCACAGTTATGTGATCCTGGGTGAATTTACTGCTCTGCTTCAGTTTCTTTATCTATAAAATGGAGATAATAATGGTGATATGGTTTGGCTGTGTCTCCATTCAAATCTCAACTAATTTTTTTTTTTTTTTTTTTTTGAGATTGAGTTTCACTTTTGTCACCCAGGCTGGAGTGCAATAGCAAGGTCTCAGCTCACTGCAACCTTCACCTCCCGGGTTCAAGCAATTCTCCTCCCTCAGCCTCCCAAGTTGCTGTCATTACAGGCACCCGACACCACACGGGGCTGAATTTTTTTTTTTTTTTTTTTTTTTTTAAGTAGAGACAGGGTTTCATCCTGTTGGTCAGGCTGGTCTTGAAGTCCTGACCTCAGGTGATTTGCCTACCTTGGTCTCCCGAAGTGCTGGGATTACAGGCATGAGCCACCACACCGGCCTTCAACTTGAATGTGTCTCCCAGAATTCCCACATGTGGGAGAGACCCAGAGGGACGTAATTGAATCATGAGGGCCAGTCTTTCCCTTGCTATTCTCATGATAGTGAATAAGTCTCACTATCTGATGGGATCTGATGGGTTTATCAGGGGTTGCCGCTTTTGCTTCCTCCTCATTTTCTCTTGCTGCTGTCATGTAAGAAGTGCCTTTGGCCTTCCCCTATAATTCTGAGGCTTCCCCAGCCATGTGGAACTGTAAATCCAATTAAACCTCTTTTTCTTCCCAGTCTCAGGTATGTCTTTATCAGCAGCATGAAAACGAACTAATACAGCAAATTGGTACCAGTAGAGTGGGGTGTTGCTGAAAAGATACCCAAAAATGTGGAAGCGACTTTGGAACTGTGTAACGGGCAGAGGTTGGAACAGTTTGGAGGGCTCAGAAGAAGACAGGAAAATGTGGGAAAGTTTGGAACCTCCAAGATACTTGTTGATGGCTTTGACAAAAATGTTGATAGTGATATGAACAATAAAGTCCAGGCTGAGGTGGTCTCAGATGGAGATGAGAAACTTGTTGGGAACAGGAGCAAAGGTGACTCTTGTTATGTTTTAGCAAAGAAACTGGCGGGATTTTGCTCCTGCCCCAGAGATTTGTGGAACTTTGAACTTGAGAGAGATGATTTCGGTTATCTGGTGGAAGAAATTTCTAAGCAACAAAGCATTCGAAATGTGACTTGGGTGCTGTTAAAAGCACTACATTTAAAAAGGGAAGCTAAGCATAGAAGTTCAGAAAATTTGCAGCCTGACGATGTAGTGGAAAAGAAAACCCATTTTCTGGGGAGAAATTCAAGCCAGCTGCAGAAATTTGCATGAGTAGCAAGAAGCCTAATGTTAATCCACAAGACCACAAGACCAAATGTCTCCAGGCCATGTCAGAGACCTTCATGGCAGCCCCTCCCATCACAGGCCTGGAGGCCCAGGAGGAAAAAGTGGTTTCGTAGGCTGGGCCCAGGGTCCCCGTGCTGTGTGCAGCCTGTGCAGCCTAGGGCACTAGCCCTAGGCTCAGGCTGTGGCTTCAGAGAGTACAAGCCCCAGGCCTTGTTAGCTTCCACGAGATGTTGAGCCTGCAGGTGCACAGAAGTCAAGAACTGAGGTTTGGGAACCTCCACCTAGATTTCAGAAGATGTATGGAAATGCCTGGATGCCCAGGCAAAAGTTTGCTGCAGGGGCAGGGCCCTCATGGAGAACCTCTGCTAGGGCAGTGCAGAAGGCAAATGTAGGGTGGGAGCCCCCACACAGAGTCCCTACTAGGCCACTGCCTAGTGGAGCTGTGAGAGGAGGGCCTCTGTCCTCCAGACCCCAGAATGGTAGATCCACCGACAGCCTGCACTGTGAGCCTGGAAAAGCCACAGACACTCAATGCCAGCCCGTGAAAGCAGCCAGGAGGAAGGCTGTACCCTGCAAAGCCACAGGGGCAGAGCTGCCCACAATTATGGGAACCCTCCTCTAGTATCAGTGTGACCTGGGTGTGAGACCTGGAGTCAAAGAAGATCACTTTGGAGCTTTAAAATTTGACTGCCCCATTGGATTTCGGACTTGCATGGGCCCTGTAATTCCTTTGTTTTGGCCAAATTCTCTCATTTGAAATGGCTGTATTTCCCAGTACCTGTACTCCCATTGTATCTAGGAAGTAACTAGCTTGCTTTTGACTTTACAGGCTCATAGGCAGGAGGGACTTGCCTCATCTCAGATGAGACTTTGTACTGTGGACTTTTGGGTTAATGCTGAAATGAGTTAAGACTTTGGGGGACTGTTAGGAAGGCATGATTGGTTTTGAAATGTGAGGACATGAGATTTGGAGGGGCCGGGGCAGAATGATATGGCTTGGCTGTGTCCCCATTCAAATCTTAACTTGAATTGTATCTCCCAGAATTCCCACGTGTTGTGGGAGGGACCCAGAGGGAGGTAATTGAATCATGGGGGCCAGTCTTTCCCGTGCTGTTCTTGTGATAGTGAATAAGTCTCACGAGATCTGATGGGTTTGTCAGAGGTTTCTGTTTTTGCTTCCTCCTCATTTTCTCTTGCTGTCGACTTGTAAGAAGTGCCTTTCACCTTCTGCCATGATTCTGAGGCCTCCCCAGCCTAAGAATGTGGAACTGTAAGTCCAGTTAAACTTCTTTTTCTTCCCAGTCTCAGTTATGTCTTTATCAACAGCATGACAAGGGACTAACACAAATGGTGTCGTCACAGGTCAATGAGTTGTCACATGAAAAATGCTTAACACAGCGTCTCACACATATTAAGCACTATGTTCATATTATAATTGTCATTGTTATTACTAAGTATTACATCTGAGAATGCCAAGTGTCTGCTGAACAATTTTTTAAAAATCTTTTTGTAGAAATAGGGTCTTGCCATGTTGACCAGGCTGGTCTTGAACTCATGACCTCAAGTGATTCTCCTGCCTTGGCTTCCTAAAGTGCTAGGATTACAGGCATGAGCCACCATGCCTGGCCAAACAATTTTAATATCTAAATCTTACCCGAACACCTGACCATCCTTCAGAGGTGATAGCAATAGCTGAGTGGGCATTTTATGTGAGCTAGTGATAGGGGAATGAACTAGCAATACTCCCTTTATCCATTCTTACCAAATTCCACCATTGTTTAGGGACATAACCAGGTGGCTTGAACTCATTTTTCCCAGAACAACAGTGGCATGATGCCAGCAGGCCCACTGTAGGTGTGTCACTGGTAGAGGAGCTAATTTTGTAAGAAACATGCCTCCAGTCTTCCGGTATTCATGATTTCTTCACATGGTTATGTGTGGATCCAGATGGTCGGTCTAGCATCCTGTATGCCTCTGCTTCACATTAGTTCTTAACTTTGTCAAACCAATACCAGGAAAGATACCATGAAGCTCTCAGTGTCCACATATTCACTGGGTAGAGAAGTCTTCCTCAGAGACTGCCGTCTTCCTCTTTGTCTTTAAAACCTCATCTGTTGTCTGAACATCTGTATGCAGCTTTGACATGAGGCATTTGGGGATTTGAGTTGATTTCTGAAGCTAAATATCCAGTGGGACCCAGGTGAGTTACTTCATGTCACTACATTTCCTCATCCTTAAAATGCAGCCTTCTTTTATAGAATCAAATTCTTTTTTTTTTTTTTTTTTGAGACGGAGTCTTACTCTGTCGCCCAGGCTGCAGTGCAGTGTCAGGATCTTGGCTCACTGCAACCTCTGCCTCCCAGTTTTAAGTGATTCTCCTGCCTCAGCCTCCTGAGTAGCTGGGATTACAGGCATGCACAACCATTCCTGACTAATTTTTATATTTTTAGTAGAGATTACAAAGTGTTGAGATTACAGCTGTAAGCCACCATACCCAGCCTCTAGAATCAAATTCTGTCTGGTTCTCTTCCATTCCTATTCAGTTATTTAGTAATAAAATCAGTGTTCCAGCACATTTCAGGGCTTCGTGCAAGTGGATTGCACTGAACTGCACTGGTCCTCAGCCAAATTTTATGCTCCCTTTTCATAAATACCTGAGTAATATTTAAACCCAAGAAGGCAGGGAAAAAGCAACAGAGACCCAAAGGGAGTCAGCCAAGAACCTACGTGAGTTGTGTATTCGGAGTGGTGATCCTACCGTCCTGGAGCATAAATCTTAAACTGCGGATCTGTTCTTTTTTGTAGACTCCACACCGGACAGCTTGACAACCACTTTAACGTCCAGGTCTCCCTAGGCAAAAGTAGTCCAATGCGCAATGAGGTGTCCTGTCTTGTGTAATGTTCAAGAGCTTGGCACCAACATGTCTATTTTCACCCTTCCTGGAAGAAATCAACCCTTTTCCCCATCTACCCACTCTCAATCTCAGGCAACAGGCTGCACACTTCCCCTAGTCTTGACAAAAATGTTAGCAAGAAGTGCGATCTTGAAACCATTCCTTTCCATCGGCCTGTGCTCTTTTCATTGTTTCTCCAAATATATTATCCATGTGGCCCCGAAAAGTGGAGCATGCAGGAGGACTTTGGATGGTACCTAGATAACCTTTTCAGTAAGAAGTTCCTTTTACTACATTTCAGATTTTTAAAGGTGAAAAAAATAATTATAGTGATACAGATGAGTTTTCTTTTCTTTTTTTTTCTTTTTCTTTTTAGAGATGAGATCTTGCTCTGTCACCCAGGCTGAAGTGCAGTGGCACAATCAGGGCTCACTGCAGCCTCGACCTCCTGGGCTCAAGTGATCTCCCCACCTCAGCCTCCCAAGTAGCTGGAACTACAGGTGTGTGCCACCATACCCAGCTAATTTTTTATTCTTTTTTTTTTTTTTTTGTAGAGATGGGGTCTTGCCATGTTGCCTGGGCTGGTCTCAAACTTCTAGCCTCAAGAAGTCCTCCCTGCTTAGCCTCCCAAAGCACTGGGATTACAGGCATGAGCCACCAAACATTGCTGAATTTTCTTTTTTTATTGTGAGTTAATTCCAGTAACAACAATGTAATCTGAAGTACCTTTCTTAGTAGCCAACATCGATGGAATGCTGGGGATGTTCCAGGTAGAGCTGGCAGGGCTTTGTAAGCACCCTCCTCACAACCCTCCATGGTAGATAGTATTATTCTCACTTCACAGATGAGGAAAGTGAGGCTCAAAGACAGTGAAGCAACTTGCTCAGTTATTGTATCAGAGCTGCCTTCGACTCTGCTACTCGCTCTTTTTTTTTTTTTTTTTTTTTTTTAATGAAATGGAGTTTTGCACTGTGGCCCAGCCTGGAATATGGTGGCACAATCTCGACTCACTGCAACCTCTGCCTCCCGGGTTCAAGTGATTCACCTGCCTCAGCCTCCCAAGTAGCTAGAATTATACCTCCACACCCAGCTAATTTTTTTTTTTCTGTATTTTTAGTAAAGGTTGGGTTTCACCATGTTGGCCAGGCTGGTCTCTAACTCCTGACCTCAAGTGATCCACCCATCTCAGCCTCTTAAAGTGCTGGAATTATAGGCATGAGCCACTGTGCCCAGCCTATTCTGCTCTATTGATACACTCACTTTAAATTGTTATTCATTGAAATGAAGCTCCAAAGCAATGGAATTAAGACTCAGCGGGTTTGCTGTTGGCCTGGGAATCTGTATATTTACCACATCTCAGCAGATGCTGCTGCACCTCTCTAGGTAGATCTGTGACAGCCTCTGAACCAGATGATCTTTACAGTCCCTTCCAGATGGAAAAGACAGCAACAAACATATCTATTGAGCACAGTGAGCCCTGAACACTAAACTGGGCATGTATTGGGCATATGGGCAGAAGGAAAAGCCCCAGCTCCTTCTGGCTTCCACCCAGCAATCCTTCTCTAGAGAAGCCAGGATTCAGTGGAAATTCAGCAACGGTGAGCACTTGACTTATTCCCCTAGGGATATGGCGTATTAGTCACCCCATAAACATTTAATTATATTTAGCTATATTTTATAAGCTGGCACATTATCAGAGCTGTCTCTCTCTGTTGCCCCAAGTGCCACTGTTTGAAAGTACCCATAAGACCTCTTAACGTTATGTCCCTCTTGGCTTCTGGTAAAACATGGGCATATACAACAAAAGAAACTAGGAAAGGCAGATGCTGCTGAGTTAGCCAAGAGTGCTTGCAGAAACCCCTTGAAGAAGGAAATATGTGTGTCATTCAAGTGCGGTGTAATTTTCAAAGGATGTTACCCTAATGATGTGCATAGAAATGCCTGGGGACCCTGTTGACCACACACATGCACAGACACACCCACACACCTGCACTCAAGAGAGGGTGATTCTATCAGTCTGGGCTAGGGCCCTGGAATTAGCATTTTAACATTTCATTGCAATATTAATGTACAGAAAAGTACAAAAAGTAGACACCTCAATTAATTTTCACACCCATGCAACCAGAACCCAGATCAAGAAAGAACACTGCCAGCACCCTAGAAGTCTCTTTTTTTCCCTTTATCACTACTTCTCTCCAACAGTTACTGTTTTGCTTTTTTTGTTTGTTTTTGTAGTTTTGTTTTTTTTTTTTTTTGAGACGGAGTCTCACTCTGTCACCCAGGCTGGAGTGCAGTGGCACGGCGCGATCTCCACTCACTGCAGCCTCTACCTCCCGGTTCAAGCGATTCTCCTGCCTCAGCCTCCCGAGTAACTGGGATTACAGGTGCGTGCTACCATACCCAGCTAATTTTTGTATTTTTAGTAGAGACAGGATTTCACCATGTTGGCCAGGATGGTCTCAATCTCCTGACCTCATGATCCGCCCACCTTGGCCTTCCAAAGTGCTGGGATTACAGGCGTGAGCCACCGCGCCCGACCCCAACAGTTACTATTATTCTAATTTATAACCCATGCATTAGGTTTTACCAATTTCTGTATTTATAGAAATGGAAATATATATTGTACACCCTTTGGTGTCTGACTTATTTTGCTTGACCTTGTATTTGTGAAATTCATCTATGTTGCTGCCTGCAGTTACAGTTTATTCTTTTTCAGTGCTGCATAGATTTTTCATTGTGAATGTAATGCAATTTTTAAATTTATTCTAAGACTGCTAATGGGCAATTGGATAGATTTCAGTTTGCAGCTATTGTGAATAGTGCTGCTATGATCATCCTAGTACATGTCTTTTGATGAATAAATGTACACTGTTCTATTTCTAGGGATGGAATTGCTGGGGGAAATCATCATTTTTAACAAGCAACTCAGGAAATGCTGACTCATGCTGACATTTAAGGACCACACAAATAGACAAACAAGTAAGTTACCATTTACCAAGATTGTTAATCAGGCTTGGCTTACACATCAATACAGGAGGTATAAATTGTGTCCAAAAACCCTTACAGTCTTATTGAGAAAGCGAAACTTAGACTTACTAAGTATATATTGAAGAAAACATTTTACACAAAATAACTCAGAGAGCCAATCCAAATATTCTTGTCTAGAGCAATATACACATATATAGAACAAAGTTGCAAAGTAGCTTCCTATAGGAAAGACACTCATTATGTTTCGTTTAGTTTGGCATAAATAATGGGGGGTTTTGTTTGTTTTTTGTTTTGGTTTGGTTTTTTTTGAGAGTAGGTCTTACTCCGTCACCCAGGCTGGAGTGCGGCGGAGCAATCAGTTCACTGAAGCTTCAACCTCCCAGGCTCAAGCTATGCATCCACTGCAGCACCCGCCCCTGCCCCCTCCCCAAGTAGCTGGAACTATAGGCGCATGACACCATGCCTGACTAATTTTTCTATATTTGTAGAGATGGGGCTTTGCTCAGGCTGGTCTCAAACTCCTGGGCTGAAGCGATCCACCTGCCTTGGCATCCCAAAGTGCTGGGATAACAGGCATGAAACACCGCACCCAGCGATGTTACAAAAATCAAATGATGTCACTTTAAGTCTTTGTTTTTTTGTGTCTCTTGAAAAATTAAGCTCTCGCAACACTGGGTCCTCATTCCTGAATGGCAGTAATTGGCTGGAGCTGAGCAACAGCTGTCTCCTCAGATGGGACATGTGGTCTCCAGGGCACCAGACCCCCACTAATTCCTGTTGTCTTACCCTGGCCTCCTTCCCTCATTCGCTGCTTGATTCTTGTGGGCATTTGGCTTTCTAGTTCCTGGTCTAGGGAATTACATTTTTTAAACATTTTCCTGTAGGAAAATGTTCTGTCCTCACAAGAACCCTGCAGGTTCTCCGAGGCCTAGTAAGATTATGCCCATTTAGGGGCTGAGGAAATTGAGGTTTCAAGAGTGATTGAACAAAGTGGCATAACTAGTAAGTGGCGGTTTTCTATTTCCTAACGCAGAGGGCTATTTGGAGAAATATTTTTAAATCGTATGTGTGCTTTTTTTATGTTAAGTATCAACTGAAATAAATCAAGATAGGTGCAACAAGATGTTCATAATAAAGTTCAGCGAATTTTTTTCTTTTTTTGAGGTATCAGTAAGGGAAAAGCTCTGTGGACTAAAGTGGTCACAGACACATTTCCCCCAAGGATGCAGGATTTCACCTGAGCTGTGACACATGACCGGGAAGAGGGGGAGGGCGATAGCATTCCAAACAGGGGCTCAGCTGCAGCAAAGACAAGGAATGAGAAATAGGCAGGTCTGAGGGGGAGACGCACAAGACAGAGGCTCAGAGGTATAGTGGGAACTGAGTCTCCTTACAGTTGCTGGCTGTGTTGCCTTGGGCAAAGGGCAACACAGTTGGTTTGTTGGGTCGCTTTTAAGGTAAATCCCTCCCTAGGTTTTGAGAGGACTAAAGGAAACGATGTATGCTAAGTTAGTTAGTTTATTCATCCTTATTAGGAAGAACAGCACAGTACTGACTGGCAACCACATAAGAAATGATCACTATTGTGCTCTTAATATCACAGTGTTGATGGCTGGCTTGCCAGAGGTTGGCAGTACAACGAGGAGAAGAACTGAGTAGCTCCCCAGGGAGTCCGATCTTGAAGCAAGATCTTCATCTGTATGCCGTACCCCTCAACCCTACCCAAACCTCACTGCTCTTTAACTGTAGGTGATGGGTGTTTTATCTGAACTCTCTTCCTCAGTATTACTCTTTAGTTTGCTCTTGAAGTCACTGTTAAGAAGCATCATCCACTGGGTAAAATATATTAAGACAAAATCTTCCTTCAGATGCACCCACTTTGGAGCTTGCGCTGTCATGAGTCTAGTAGGCTTTGATGCTTAGGAAGGGAGGTCATGTGGTATAGTGGAATTAGAGTGGATTCTAAGATCTGACATAGGTTTGATTTCATGAACATCTTGCTGTGTAGCCTTGGGTGAGCCATTGAAACTCCATGTTTCAATTTTCATTGCCTACAAAATGAGAAAAATAATACCAACCACTCAGGGTGATTGTGAAGATTCAAGATAAATATATATAAAGTGGCTGTCACATAGTAGGTGCTCAGCTCATTGTCATTATTGTTGATCCAGTGTAAGATCTTTATCCAAAGAGCCTCTGAATTTACTCATACTTAATTTTCTGGGAACTTCCCCAGGCACAGGCACAATATTGTAAATACACTAAGGGCTCAATCGTATCAGCTGACTTTCTGGTCCCATCTGCATTGCTTAAAAAGCTGTGTGACCATAAGCAAGTCCCCTAAACCATTTAGGTCTCAATTTCTACAACCATGGAATGGGGGAGGGACCCTGTATAAACTCTAGCATTAACATTTTTAAAAGGCTACATATAACACAAAAAGAACAAATAGCATTTTTTTACATTTTTATTTTATTTATTTATTTATTTATTTATTTATTATTTATTTATTTTGTTTCTGAGACAAAGTCTCACTCTGTCACCCAGGCTGGACTGCAGTGGCATGATCTCAGCTCACTGCAACCTTCATCTCCCAGGTTCAAGTGATTCTCCTGCCTCAGCCTCTCAAGTAGCTGGGATTACAGGTGCCCACCACTACACACAGCTAATTTTTTGTATTTTTAGTAGAGATGGGGTTTCACTGTGTTGGCCAGGCTGGTCTCAAACTCCTGACCTCGTGATTCACCCACCTCAGCCTCCCAAAGTGCTGGGATTACAGGTATGAGCCACCACGCCGGGACAATAGTAAATTTTTAAAAGAAACTGTTTTAGGCCAGGCACAGCAGCTCACTCCTGTGATCCCAGCACTTTGGGAAGCCATGGTGGGTGGATCACTTGGGCCCAGGAATCCAAGACCAGCCCGGGTAACATGGGAAAATCCTGTTGCTACAAAAAAAATACAAAAGTTAGCTGGGCATGATGGCACATGCCTGTGGTCCCAGCTACTCAGGAGGCCGAGAGGGGAGGATCATCTGAGCCCAGAAGGCAGAGGTTGCAGTGAGCTGAGATCACGCCACTGCACCCCAGCCTGGGAGACAGAACAAGACCCTGTCTCAATGTAAAAAGAAAAAAAAACCCAAACTATTTTACCAATAAGAAGTCCAGAGCAGTAAGGAGGTTGCAGGATTGTTTCCCAGACTCAGCAATGTCACTGAGGAGGTCGGTGTTTTTCCTGTCTTGTCTCTGCCATCTTTTGTATTAATGACAAAAACCTACTGCAGCTGCAACCATCACATTTTTCCCCAGGAATATCGAAAGGCCGTAAGGAAGGGCAGTTTCTCCTCATGCATTTTTTATATCAGGGATAAAAGGGTTTTTTTCCTCCCAGGATTTCTCTTGAGCTCACTGGCCACAGTTTCACCACCTGGAAAAAGAAATGGAATTACCATGATTGGTTAGGTGAAGGTGTCTAAAACATGGTACTATTGACATTTTGGACAAGGTTATTCTTTATTGTGGGGAGTGCCTTATGCATTATATGAAGCATCCCTGGCCTCTATCCACTAGATGCCAGTGGCAACCCTTTTGATAATAAAAAGTGATAATAAAAAAGTCTCCGATATTGTCTAGTATCCCTGATAGGGCAGAATGGCCCCAGTTGAAAACCACTAATTTATACTAATCAGCACTTAATCCTCCCTGGAGATGGGGAAGGATAACCTTCCCAAAACACATAGCAAAATTAATACCTGACATCATTAGGGTCCTGCCAGCAAGGAATAAAGCAGAGGGCTTGAGAGGAACACAGAGGGTGACACTTGGCTCTGTCTGATGCAAGTGACGAATTGGTAAAACAACTAGAGGTACCCATTCTGGAAGCAATACGATTTCAGATAAGAGAACTGATAGCTAATTCCAAATGTTGGTGGCACCAGCCTACAGAAGGAAAGGAGAACAGAATGAACACTTACTGAGGATCTCCAGTTACCCATCCTTTGCTGGATTCTTCATATGAATTTTGCTTTTAATTCTGAGAGCACTACAGTGAAAGACTAAGGCTTGCGTCATTTGACTCCTGGAGGGTTATGACCAGGGAGCGGGCAGATACTACATTCACTTTTTCTTGTTCCACAGACCCCTTTGGTAGCCTGGAGAAGTCTGCTGGATCCCATATTAGAATAATGTTTTAACTGCATAAAACAGAATATCAGTATAGTGAAAGGATACAGGTGAGTTTTTTCTCACCGAGGACTTAGGAAGAAGGTTGGAGGGATTCAAGAGGGATTCAAGGTTCGTATGAGTTTGGACCTTTAAAAGCCCCTCCAGTTTATTTGTTTTAATTCTTATTTTTCTTTCCTTTTTTTTTTTTTAATTGAAACAGGGCCTCACTTCGTCACCCAGGCTGCAGTGCAGTGGCACGATCTTGGCTCACTGCAACCTCTGCCTCCCGGGCTCAAGTGATCCTCCCACCTCAGCCTCCCAAGTAGCTGGGACCACAGGTATGCACCACCACACCCAGCTATTTTTTTTGTATTAATATTTTTAGTAGAAATGGGGTTTCGCCGTGTCACCCAGGCTGGTCTGGATCTCTTGATCTCAAGCGATCCGCCCTCCTCAGCCTCCCAAAGTGCTGGGATTACAGGCGGGAGCCACTGTGCTCAACTAATTCTTACTTTTCTAACTATAAAATTAATGTACCCTGATTGAAAAACAATGAGAGAATATAGAAAAGTATAGAGTGTTCATATTCCCATCACCCAGAAACAATCACCATTGACATTTTAGTAAGCCCTTCCAAACTTGTGTATTTTTATACATCTGTTCATATGCACGGGACATACATAGAGATATACTTTTTCCACCAAAAGGGAACACTTCATAATTATTTGCAACCTGCTCTGTTTCATTTAGCAGTTTGGGAACATTTTTCCAAGTTAGAAACTTTTATTCTAGACTGGGAACAGTAAAGTATACTCCACAAGCCAAATCAGGCCCTCTGCCTTCTTTAGTAAATAAAGTTTTATCAGAACACGACCATGCTCATTTTTTTGCATGTTGTCTGTGACTGCTTTCACATTACAAACAGGGAACTCAGTAGTTGTGACTGAGACCATATGGCCCATAAGTCTAAATTTTTATTATGTGGCCCTTTATAGAAAAAGCCTGGGGACCTATAAGCGAGATCACGGATTTTAAACCTGAGGGTTTATGAATTTGGGTTGGCGGGGAGACTACATCTTTATTTTTATCAATTCTAGCTGCAATTTAACATATCTTTCAAATTCTTGGTATAGACAATAAATCACAGTTGTGTTAGCAGCACCTGTGAATTTGTCTCCACTAAAAACCATAAGTATTAATATACCACGGAGAGTTTGTCACAGGTATCTTGATGTATTTATGTTTACCACTACTTGAAAAATATAATTATTAGACCTATTACTAGATCTTTTTATGTTATGCCTTTAAAAAGAAGAATCAGCTGGGCACCATGGCGCGCGACCGTAATCCCAACACTTTGGGAGGCCAAAAGTGCAGGAGGATCACTTGATACCAGGAGTTCAAGACCAGCCTGGGCAATATGGTGAAACCTCATCTCTACCAAAAATACAAAAATTAGCCAGGTGTGGTGATGTGCGCCTGTAATTCCAGCTACTCGGGACGCTGAGGTGGGAGGATGGCTTGAGCCTGGGAGGTTGAGGCTGTAGTGAGCCGTGATTGCACCACTGCACTCCAGTCAGATCCTGTCTCAAAAAAAAAAAAAAAATCACATTTATTAATACATTACAAAAAAAATTTAGTATTCTGATTATTTTATTTCCATGTATCTGTTTTCTTCACATTCCTATGTATTCAGTTTTACACCATTAAAAACATTATTCTGAGAAGATATTGATTACATTTATCCAGATTGCCAAAGGGGTCCATGGAACAAGAAAACGTTAAGAATTTCCAATCTAGGTAATTTTTCATGACTGTCTGTTATTTCACTGTTGTTGGTATTTAATCAATACGTAGGCTATTTCCAATTTATCATTCCTATTTTAAAATATATTATTGTAATTATTTTATAATAGATAATTGTAATTGTTTTAAAATAATTTTTTAAATCCCATGAGGTATGCAAATCCATATACTCTTGTCTAAGTAAACATTTACTTGGGATAAATTCCTTCAACTGAATTGTTGGATCAGTGGTGAGACCCTTTCTTAAGTTCCTTGATACATGTTGCCAAGTTTTTTGTTTTGTTTTGTTTTGAGATAAGGTCTCACTCTGTTGCCCAGGCTCAAGTATGGTGGCGCAATGAGGACTCACTGCAGCCTCAACCTCCCACCTCAGCCTCCCGAGTGGCTTGGACAACAGTCACATGCCACCAACCTGGCTATTTTTTTGTATTTTTAGTAGAGATGGGGTTTTACGATGTTACCCAGGCTGGTTTTGAATTCCTGAGCTCAAGCAATCCACCTGCCTCAGCCTCCCAAAGTGCTGGGATTGCCAAACATTTAATAGTGACAATGATGATGGTGGTGGTAGTGATGATGATGATATAAACATGGTACTTACTATATGCCAGACACTGTTGTAAGCATTGTTCATGTAATCACTCATTTAATCTTCTGAGGACGCCATAATTATACCCTTTTGCAGATGAGCAGACTGGAATAGAAAAGTAAACTCTCCCGCTGGGCACGGTGGCTCACGCCTGTAATCCCAGCACTTTGGGAGGCCTAGGCGGGCGGATCACGAGGTCAGGAGATTAAAACCATTCTGGTTAACACGGTGAAACCCCATTTCTACTAAAAATACAAAAAATTAGCTGGGCGTGGTGGCGGGCACCTGTAGTCCCAGCTACTCAGGAGGCTGAGGCAGAAGAATGGCACGAACCCAGGAGTTGGAGCTTGCAGTGAGCCAAGATCGTGCCGCTGCACTCCAGCCTGGGCGACAGAGTGACAGTCCATCTCAAAAAACAAACAAACAAACAAAAAAAACAAGAAAAAAAGAAAAGAAAAGTAAACTCTCCCAGAGTCACACAGCTACTCAGGCAGGATAGCTTCATAGTCTTTACTCTTCATGAGACGCTCTGAAAACCCACTGCAAAGGAAGCTGAGATATGAATGACAGGTAGGAGCCAGCCCTGACAAGACCAGGCCAGGAGAGTATCCCAAGAGAAAGGGAACAAGGAGAGGTGATGGTGTAGCCAGAGCTGATGGGCGAAGCCTAGACTGGAAAGAGAGATGGGAGAGGAAGCCCAGATCACGTAAGGCTTTGGGAAGCCATTGACGGGTGCTGAGGCAGGAAGTGGTGGAACCTGACCAGCATCATGGAAACAGCCCTCTGACTGGTGTGGGGATTATTCCCAGGGAGAGGGCAAGAACAGAAGAGGGACATCCCATTGAGAGGCTATTGTGAAGGCCCAGACTGGGATAGATGTGGGCAGCCCATGCCTAGTCATCAAATTTGTGATATATTTGGATATAGAGCCAAACACTATTTTCATGGTATATCTTCAGTCTTTTCTGATCATGGGATCTTCCTCTACTACCTTTCAAAATATGTTTCTTTCTGAGGGATTTTAAGATTTTGGCTACAAAATACAAAGTGGAATACACATTTTAAACTTACCTGATAAATTTTATGTCTAGACCATCACTATCCAATATTAATATACCACAAGTCACATATGCAACTTTAAATGTTCTATTCGTGACATTAAACAAGTTAAAAGATACAGGTGAAATTAATTTTAATAACATATTTTATCGTTAAATATTACTTAAATATATGACCCAAAGTAGTATCACTTCAATATGTAATTAACACTTAAAATTAGTAATGAAATATTTACATTCTTTTTTTCATACCGAGCTTTAAAATTCCGGCGTGTAGGCCGGGCGCAGTGGCTCAAGCCTGCAATCCCAGCACTTTGGGAGACCAAGGTGGGGGGGATCACCTGAGGTCAGGAGTTCAAGACCAGCCTGGCCAACATGGCGAAACCCCATCTCTACTAAAAACACAAAAATTAGCCGGGCGTGGTGGCGTGCACCTGTAATCCCAGCTACCCAAGAGGCTGAGCCAGGAGAATAGGAGAATTGCTGGAACCCAGGGGACAGAGGCTGCATTGAGCCGAGATTGCACCACCGCACTCCAGCCTGGGTAACAGAGCAAGACTCCGTCTCAAAAAAAAAAAAAAAAAAAAAAAAATTCTGGTGTGTATTTTACCCTCACAGCAAATCTCAGTTTTCCTTGAGAGCTTGTAGTATTTTGGCTACAAAATACAAAATGAAATACATATTTTTATATTCATCTGATAAATTTGTTCTGTCAGGAACATGACCATTCCACAGAAATATAATTTGTCACGTACGTCATTTTAAATGTGCTAGTAGCGACTTTAAAAAGAAACAGGACCAACCATATTTCATGTGCTCAATAGCTGCATATGTCAAGCAGCTACTACATTGGACAGCACAGCTCTAGAACACTCAATTCATTCAAAATAATAACAAAAACCTAAACCATCTAGAAATAATTCTAACAAGCAATGTATAGAAGCTGTATATATACTTAAAATGGGAGGATTGCATGCGACCAGAGTTCAAGACCAGCCTGGGCAATATAGCGAGACTCCATCTCTATAAAAAAATTTTTAGTAAGTAGCCAGTCTTGGTGGTGCACACCTGTAGTCCTAGCTGCTCAGGAGGCTGAGGCAGGAGGGTGGCTTGAGCCCAAGGGCTCGAGGTTTCAGTGAGCTATAAGGCAAATCTATAAGGACTTCAGACAGATTAATAGTCACCTGGGGCTGGGAGTGATGGAGGAATTGGGGGGGTGCTGCCTAAAGGATAGGGCAATTCTTTTGGAGGTGATGATATTGTTATAAAAATCATGTAATAATGATTGCACAACTCTGTGAATATACTACAAACCATTTGATTGTTTTCTTTAAGTGGGTGAATTATATGATACATGAATTATATCTCAACAAAGCTTTTCAAAAAGAACCCATATATTTATCTAATAATCTAAGACAAGATCATGAGTCATGAAGACTGATAACAGAATGTACTGGTAATAGAAAGCCTATGAGACAGGAAATCAGAATCCTTGTGACCACATTGAGAGGTGACAGTGTGCTGGCAGCACGCGCAGCCCTCGCTCGCTGTGGGCACCTCCTCCGCGCCCACTCTGGCAGCGCTTGAGGGGACCTTCAGCCTGCCACTGCACCGTGGGAGCCCCTCTCTGAGCTGGCTGAGGCCAGAGCCGGCTCCCTCGGCTTGTGGGGAGGTGTGGAGGGAGAGGCATGGGTGGGAACCCGGGATGCGCACGGCGCTTGCCGGCCAGTGCGAGTTCCGGGTGGGCATGGGCTCCACGGGCTCCGCACTCGGAGCGGCAGCCGGCAACACCGGCCAGGCAGTGAGGGGCTTAGCACCCAGGCCAGCAGCTGCGGAGGGTGCGCCGGGTCCCCCAGCAGTACTTGCCCAACGGCACTGTGCTCGAATTCTCGCCTGGCCTCAGCTGCCTCCCTGCGGGGCGGGGCTCAGGACCTGCAGCCCGCCATGCCTGAGCCTTCCCCCGCTGTGGGCTCCTGTGTGGCCCGAGCCTCCCCAAGGAGCGCCTCCCCAAGGAGCGCCGCCCCCTGCTCTGCGGCGCCTGGTCCCATCCACCGCCCAAGGGCTGAGGAGTGCAGGCTCACGGCTCGGAACTGGCGGGCAGCTCCACCTGCAGCCCTGGTGCGTGATCCACTAGGTGAAGCCAGCTGGTCTCCTGAGTCTAGTGGGGACTTGTAGAACCTTTATGTCCAGCTAAGGGATTGTAAATACACCAATTGGCACTCTGTGTCTAGCTCAAGGTTTGTAAATGTACCAATCAGCACAATGTATCTAGCTCAAGGTTTGTAAGTGCACCAATCAGTGCTCTGTGTCTAGCTAATCTAGTGGGGACTTGGAGAACCTTTATGTCTAGCTAAGGGATTGTGAATGCACCAATCAGCACTCTGTGTCTAGCTCAAGGTTTGTAAATGCACCAATCAGCACCTTGTGTCTAGCTCAGGGTTTGTGAATGCAGCAATCAGTGCTCTGTGTCTAGCTAATCTAGTGGGGACTTGGAGAACTTGTGTGTCTACCTCAGGGATTGTAAACACACCAATCAGCGCCCTGTCAAAACAGACCAATCAGCTCTCTGTAAAATGGACCAGTCAGCAGGATGTGGGTGTGGCCAGACAAGGGAATAAAAGCAGGCTGTCCCAGGCAGCCCTGGTAACCTGCTCAGGTCCCTTTCCACACTGTGGAAGCTTTGTTCTTTTGCTCTTTGCAATAAATCTTGCTTTTTCGGTCCGCACTGCCTTTATGAGCTTTAACACTCACCGCGAAGGTCTGCAGCTTCACTCCTGAGCGAGCGAGACCACGAACCCACCAGAAGGAATAAAACTCCAAACACATCCAAACATCAGAAAGAGCAAACTCCGGACACGCCGCCTTTAAGAACTGTAACACTCACCGCGAGGGTCTGCGGCTTCTTTCTTGAAGTCAGTGAGACCAAAAACCCACCAATTCCAGACACAATATGAGCTACTTGTCCCTTATCTATAAACAGTACCTACACTACCTACTTAACCACACAGTTACTTGGGATGATCACATAATAACTTAATCTTTCAAGTAAAAATGTATTGGTCACCTACTGTGCACCAGGCATTGTTCTGGGTGCTGGGATGTGGACACAATAGTGAACAAAACAAATGTATATTATGCTCTCAGGAAGTCTTTCCTAGTATCAGCAATGGGCAAAAAATAACTAAACCAATACTTGCAATGATTTTTTTGGGTATGACACCAAAAGCACAGGCAACAAAAGAAAAAATAAACAAGTGGGACTACATGAAACCCAAAAGCTTCTACACAGCAAAGCAATCAATCAACAAAATGAAGAGGCAGCCTACAAAGTGAGCGATAATATTTGCAAACCACATATCAGATAAGGGGTTAATATCCAAAATATATCCAGGAACTTACACAACTCAATAGCAAAAAAAAAAAAAAAAAAAAAAAAACCACCCATTTAAACAGTGGGCAACTGAATAGGTACTTTTCCAAGGAAGACATACAAATGGACTAATAGATATATGAAAAAAAAATGTTCAACATCACTAATAATCAGGGAAAGGCAAATCAAAACCACAATGAAATATCACATCATACCTGTTAGGGTGACTGTTGTCAAACAAAAATAAGAAATAAGTATTGGCAAAGGCGTGGAGAAAAGAGAACTCTGTACACTGTTGATGGGAATGTAAATTGATACAGCCATTATGGAAAACAGTATGAAGTTCCTCAAAATATTAAAAACAGAACTACCATATGATCCAGCAATTTCACTACTGGGTATATAATCAAAGGAAATGAAATCAATATATCAAAGAGACACCTGCACCTTTGTGTTTATTGCAGCATTATTTATAGTAGCCAAGATACAGAAAAAATCTAAGCATCCACTGAAAGATGAATGGATAATAAAAATGTGGTATATATACACAATGGAATATTACTCAGCCTTAAAAAAGGAAACCCTGCCATTTGCAACACTGTAGATTAACTTGGAGGACATTATGTTAAGTGAAATAAGACACAGAAAGACAAATACTGTATGATCGCACTTTTATGTGGAATCTTTAGAAAGTCAGGCTCATAGGCCGGGCACAGTGGATCATGTCTGTAACCCCAGCACTTTGGGAGGCCAAGGAGGAAGGATTGCTTGAGGCCAAGAGTTCAAGATCAGCCTGGGTAACATAGCAAGACTCCATCTCTACTTTTTTTTTTTTTTTAATTAGCTGGCCATGGTGGTGCATGCCTGTAGTCCTAGCTACTCAGGGGACTAAGGCAGGAGGATCACTTGGGCCCAGAAGATCAAGGTTACAGTGGGCTATGAAAATGCCGCTGCACTCCAGCCTGGGTGACAGAATGAGACACTGTCTCTTTAAAAAAAAAAAAAAAAAGTCAAACTCGGAAGTGGAGAATAGAACTGTGATTGTCAGGGGCTGAAAGGGGATGAAAATGGGGAGATGTTGGCCAAAGAGTTCAAACTTTCAGTTATAAGATGAATAAGTTCTGAGGGTCTAATGTATAGCTTGCTTACTGTAGTTAATAATAATGTTTAATAATACTGTATTATTTACTTGAAATTTGCTGGGAGAGCACATCTTAAGTATCCTCATCACACACAAACACACAAAAGATGGTAACTTGCATGGTGATGAATGTGTTCATTCACTTAATTGGACTAATCATCCCACAATGTATATGTATATCAAATCATCACATTGTATACTTGAATATATGCCATTTTTGTCATTTATGTCTTAATAAAGCTGAAAAAACAAATATATTGGATGATGATAAGATGATAAATGAAAAGTAAAGCTAGGTAAGAGAACAATGGCTGGGGACAGTATTATATACACATAATGCCACATGATACATGGGGTGCTATTCAGAGAAGACCTCAGTGATGAGGTGGCATTTCCGTGATTTGAGAAAAATATGTCAGCTGGCTTTATAAGCTGCAAAATATTAAGGATATTTATTGTTACTGCCATGAATGAATGATATTAACATACCTGTGCGCACTCTGAAAGACATCAATGTAAATTTCAGATTTCTCCTTCCTCCACAAATGCATCTGTTGTGGACTCAATTGTATTTCCCCAAAATTCACAGGTTGAAGCCTTAACCCTCAGTGGGTCTCTGCAAGAGGTGGAGAGGATTCAACCCTGTTCTGCTGACTGCAAAACTCTTACCTATTATTTTACTGCTGTTGACATTTACTTATATTTCCTTTCCATATTTTTCTAAGCATATATATGACATGTAATATAACATTAAACTTGTAATATATATTTATGTCCTGCCATTTAAAAATAACATTGCATCATAAATAATTTCAAAGGCTCTTTTTTAGTTTTATAATATATATGAGACATACATTTCTTATTGAAATTGATTGTAGTTCATTTTTTATCGTTGTTACTTTTATTTGGAATGAAATCTACTTTATCCACTGTATTTTCTAGCTAGTTATTGCTGGTATTCAAAATGCTACCAATTTTTATTTACATCATATCCCAGGAATTTACTAACCTATCTTATAGGTTAGTAAGAACTTCTTCTCATTCTTTCCAATACTATTTCTCATATTTTTATTTCATATATTATTGGCATTGGCCAGAGCATCCAGAACAATCGTAAATCTAATTTTAATGGGAATACGTTTTGCTATTTAACATTGTTTGCTGCTGATATGGGATAAATGTTCTTCGCACACTGAGGAAATAGACTATTCTCCATATTTTTTCTAAGAAATTTTTATTAGATATGAACTTGATAATATTAGGTGGCTTTTCTACATTTATTAAACATTAATTTTTATATTAAACCTTCTGAAGTATCACATGTATAAAACTTCTTTGAAATACTAATATAATCTGTACTTGGTTATCAAAAATGATTATTATAACATAACGTTAAATTTTGTTTGATAATGTCTGAACTTATCTTACTCTGAAAAAGTTTATGTAGTCAAGATAGGAATTATTTATTTTGTGATGGTCTGAGACCTCATTGGCTTGGCCTTAAATCTACTTTAGAGATAATTTTTTAACAAATAGTTCAATTTTCATCCATGATTATTTGGTAGTTTTATGTTCTCACAAAATATCATCCATGTCTTTCAAATCCTCAAACGTATTAATAGACAGAGGACATCTGTTTTTCATTGCTGTTTTTCATTTGAAATTTCTTTTATTCTGTTTTCCCTCTTTTTCTGGGTAAAAATTTTACCCAGACAAATCTCACGATTTGTCTATTTTACTATTTTTCTTTTAAAACTTATCTAATTATTTATCAATTAAATTGTTCTTCTTTTCAAATCCACTAACATTTGCTCAATATTATTTTTCCTTCTATTTTCAATGCCTATGTTTTATCACTTTGATAAGTTCTGTGTTGAACATTCACTTCATTTATTTTTGTACTTCCTTAAGCCAATGATTTTGCTCAGAGTTTGGTTTTGCTGGTTTTCTGAAAATATTCTTTTTACATTGATTTCTAAATCATCAGAAATCATACTTTTTATTTCTCTTTTGACTCAGTATTTTTGGGGAAAATTTGTTTGTTTGTTTGTTTGTTTTGAGATGAGGTCTCACTCTGTCACCCAGGTGGAGTGCAGTGATGTGATCTCGGCTCATTGCAACCTCCACTTCCCTGGCTGAAGCGATCCTCCCACCTCAGCCTCTCAAGTAGCTAGGACCACAGGCGGACCCAAGACTGGCTAATTTTTTGTATTTTTGGTAGAGACAGGGTTTCACCATGTTCCCCAGGCTGGTCTCAAACTCCTAAGCTCAAGCGATCCACTGACTTGTCCTCCCAAAGTGCTGGGATTACTGTTATGAGCCCCATCACACTTGGACCTATTTTTATTTATTTCTAAAATTCCTTCCTTCCTTCCTTCCTTCCTTCCTTCCTTCCTTCCTTCCTTCCTTCCTTCCTTCCTTCCTTCCTTCCTTTCTGTCTGCCTCTCTCTCTCTGTCTCTCTCTTTCTTTCTTTCTTTTGAGCCAGGGTCTCACTCTGTCACGAAGGCTAGAATGCAGTGGTGTGGTCATAGCTCACTGCAGCTTTGACCTCTTGCACTCAAACAATCCTCCCGCCTCAGCCTCCCAAGTAGCTGGGATTACAGGCACACACCACAAAATGTGGCTGGTTTTTTTTTTGCTTGTTTGTTTAATTTAGAGCTAGAGTTTCACTATGTTGCTCAGGCTGGTCTCACTCCTGAGCTCAAGCAGTTCTCCCACCTTGGCCTCCTAAACTGCTGGGACTACAGGCATGAGCCACTGCGCCTGGCCTAAAATTTCTTTCTTACACTTTTGTTATTCACTTCTAATTTTATTGCACTATCTTCAGGACATTTGATCTGTATTTTCATTTGGGGAAGTTATTTTCTCACTATGCTAACCTATAGTCAATTTTTATAAAAATTAATGGGTGCCCAAGAAGAGGATATAGTTTCTGGATACAAATATACTATTAAATCTTAATTTATTGTTCAGATTTTCTCCTCTACGTGTATTTTTTAACTACCAGATTTGTAAAAGTAAATGAAAAATGTTTCAGAAGCTCTCACAATTACCTTTTATCCATTCTTCCTTTTTTTCTGGCTCTTTGATAAACAATGCATGTACATTACTGACTATTCTACCTTTGGTGTGAATTTTAACTTATATCAGTATAAAATTTCCTCTTTTGTCTCATTAATGCTTTTTTTGCCTCAGATTCTACACTGTCAGAGAATAATTTTCCCACCTCTGTGTTCTTTTCATTTGCATTTGCCAGAAAAATCTTACTCATTCTTTTAAGTCTAATCTTTTCTTTTTAATTTCCTTGGGGGGTAGGGGTGCATTTTGTAACCAACATGCTATATTTTGTTTCTTGTCTTTTAACTAGTGTCACTTACTAGCAAAGAAAGTGTGTTTTAATTTCTTTTGAGGGAACAGGCTTCACTGTTTCATGAGAACTGCAAGTTGCTTTCCTAATACTGCACCATTTGACTTAGTGAAAATTCTTCTGATGCTCTACATCTGATTGTCTGTCAGGGCTGGTTTCTATATTTTTCTTAGTTCTCATTAAGTATTTGAGTGGAAGTTGGCAGATACTGTGTCAGGGCCTGCAAGCAGTTGCCATTTTAAATTAGGCCAAGTTTTCATGCTTCATAACTTAACAAAAGAAACAAATTGCTGCTGGAAGTAAACTCTATTATGTGTTCATCTTTGTGTCACTCACCAGATTCAATTTCTGCCCAAGTGAGCCTGATATAGAACTAATACTAATACAGTTCTGTTTCACAGGTATTTATTGGCCTGCCAAGCACTGGGCTAGCTTTCATTTATTGATTCACTTTTCACAAAAATGTATTGAGCACTTACTTGTGCTAGGCACTGTTCTCACCCCGGAGATGAAGTGGTGAACAAAACAGTGTTTGTATTCTTGACGAGAATACAGTACATTGTAGTACCAAAAAAAAGCAATGTAAAATAAATATATAATTCTGTATATGTGCCATATGGAAAAATAAAGCCCAGTTAGAGAACAGAGAATGATGAGAAGAGGTGGCTGTTTTAGATGGCCAGGGGAGTGACGTTGGAGCCGAGACCTGAAAGAAGTAACAGAGCTGCCACAGGAGATTTGGGGCAAAAAGCTCCAGGCAGGGGGAGCAGTACTATGACCAAGGTCCTAAGACAAAAACAGGCTGCGGTCCGGAGTGAACCGTGATAATATTCCTCTGTGTCACTCAATCAGAATTCAAAGCCCTGCACAGAAGTAGCAGAGCTCGGGTTCATGTGCTCCCACCCTGGCGTCCAGGCAGAATGAAGAGTAACAACCTATCATCTCCCTCTGACTTTTGTAATAAGAGAGGGAGCACATGCAATCGGTGACTCCTCCCAAATTAGAACAAGAGTTAGCTGCTAAATAAATACAGTTCGTTCCTTTGGCTGCTCAACATACCTTTCCATAGGTATATATTTTTTTAAAGTTTCCAGTTAACATTTTGCCATGAAATCTCATCTCGATCTCATCCACTTCCCAGAAGAAGGCAACACAAAATTTCTTTGGTTCCTGTATCCAACCTGAAGTCTGGGATTTCTGCATGAGGACCATTTTTCTAATTCTTTTGGATCCCATCTCAACATTATAAGCCCTGTGGACTCAACTGTAAACTTAACCACAATAACACACCCTATATAAAAATAGTGTGGGGAAGAAGGAGAAGGGAAATCAACAAACACAAACACACGTAAATATGCATGCATTCTATTTAATATATGTATGTAAGTAAATATAAAATATTAAAATATTTTAAATGGTTTCTATTCTAAAATGTTTTAAATTATCTCTTAAATTTAAAAGGCAAAATATAAATTAAAACTGACACCTATCAAAATTTTAAATCAAATTATTTAAATAAAGCTGAATTTTAAATTTAATTATCCACCGCTCTGGGTATAAACTGCTGCTTGCGATAAATTTGATTAAAAGAAGTTACAACAAAAACAAAAACAAAAAGGTCTAAGTTTAGCTACTTCATCTTTTAAAGGATTTAAGATATTTTTGATGTAAAAAAAATTTTAGGTCACAAAAAAACAACATGTGAAACATACCACAAAAAAGGCATTCCAATATGCAAGGAAACTAGATCGAGGAAACAAAATCCTTTATATGACTGGAATTTTCCAAAGTAACTGAGCTATTTCACATTTCCACAGGCAATGCATGGGTGTTCCAGTTTCCCCACATCCTTGTCAGCACTTGTTATTGTGTCTTTTTTATTACAGCCACTCTAGTGAGCATGAAGTAGCATCTTATGGTGACTTTAATTTACATTTTCCTAAAGTCTAATGATATTACCACCTTTTCAACTGCTTATTGCTCATCGGTATATTTTCTTTGGTGAAATATCTATTCAGATCTTTTGGTCATTTATTTATTTATTTTTGAGACATAGTCTTGCTCTGTCACCCAGGCTGGAGTGCAGTGGCACGATCTCGGCTCACTGCAAGCTCTGCCCCCCGGGTTCATGCCATCCTCCTGCCTCAGCCTCCCAAGTAGCTGGGACTACAGGCGCCTGCCACCAGGCCCAGCTAATTTTTTGTATTTTTTAGTAGAGATGGGGTTTCACCATGTTAGCCAGGATGGTCTCGATCTCCTGACCTTGTGATCCTCCCGCCTTGGCCTCCCAAAGTGCTCGGATTACAGGCATGAGCCACCGTGCCCGGCCTGGTGATTATTTAATTGGGTTAATATTGAGTTGTAAGGACACAACCCCTTTATCAGACAGATAATTTGCAAATATTTTCTTTCACTGTGTGGGTCATCTTTTCACTTTACAATGTCATTTGAAGTGTATTAATTTTTAATTTTGATAAAGTCCAATTCATCCTTTTTTTTCTTTTATGTGCTTTTTTCTGTGCTTTTGGTGTCCTGTCTAAGCTTTTTAATTTATGTTCAAGGAAGACAACATAATTTTGCCTTAAAAATATATAATAGATACAGTTTTCTTACCTTTCCACCAATTTTTGATAAGCCTCATATTATGGTGACAACACTCTCTTCCTAATCTAGTGTCTGCTTTGCAAGGGAAAAATAAATCATTGGGGAAAGCGTTTTGCTATCAGTGCAGACTAAGTCTGCAGGTCATTGAGTTTCTCCATTGAGTTTTTGCCTGTGTATCATGCATTGTCTGTCCACACCTACCATCTGACTTCATGGATAACTTTGCACCACTGGCTTAGTCCTGTAGCACACAAAAATGCTCCATTTTGAAAGCAAAGATCACACTTCATAAGTTCAGCCTCACTGAACCTAAAATAAGACAAAGGGAGATGAGAGACAGTAATATTTAGAGCGCACTTGTGGAGTCAAATAGTCTTTGAGTTCCTGCTCTGCCACTTACTACTGACAATGAGAACTTAGCGAAGTTATTTACTGTCTCTAGACCACAGGTAGTCCTTTCATAGGCGGGTAACAGTTATAGTTAAGCTAGGCTAGCCCTGTACATACTATGCCTTCCATAAATATCAGTCATTGTTGTTACTTTAATTATTATTGCTGTCATTAATATTTAACTGAGACAGGCAAGAAAGAACCCCCAATTGTCAACTTTCAGAAAGTTCTTTTCAATCTAGATTTTTTTTTTTTTTGAGGTGGAGTCTCGCTCTTATTGCCCAGGCTGGAGGGCAGTGCCATGATCTCAGCTCACTGCAACCTCTGCCTCCCGGGTTCAAGCGATTCTCCTGCCTCAGCCTCCCCAATAGCTGGGATTACAGGCGTCCTCCACCACGCCCGGCTAATTTTTTTGTATTTTTAGTAGAGACAGGGTTTCACTATGTTAGCCAGGATGGCCTCAATCTCCTGATCTCATGATCCGCCCACCTGGGCCTCCCAAAGTGTTGGGATTACAGGCGTGAGCCACCGCGCCCGGCCTTCAATTTAGATTTTAAAGATACATAGCTCACGTCTGTAATCCTAGCATTTTGGGGGCCGAGGTGGGAGGATCGCTGAAGCCCAGGAGTTCAAGATGAGCCTGGGCAACATAGGGAGACCCCCATCTCTAAAACAAAATTTTAAAAATTAGCCAGGAGCGGCAGCGCATCTCTGTGGTCCCAGCTACTTGGGAGGATGAAGCAGGAGGATCCCTTGGGCCCAGGAGATCAAAGTTGCAGTGAGCTGTGATTGCACCACTGCACTCCAGCCTTCGTGACAGAGTGAGAACCTGTCTCAAAAAAAGAAAAAAGGAAGAACAAAAGATATGTAGGAAATCAGAGATATTTCTTGCTACTCAAAATGTGGTCTGAGGATCAGCAGCACCAACATCACTTGGAAGTTTGTTAGAAATGCAGAATTTCAGACTCCACCTTACTGAACTAGAACCTGCATTTTAACAAGATGCCCAGGTGATTTTTGTGTGCACATTCCAGCTGGCGAAACCCTAGAATCTCTCTAGTGTGGTAGGTGGAGAGGTTGTGAATGCTCTGGCCTACTGCTTTACCTCCTTAAACTACACCCACCATTCCCACAATTCGAGTACTAAACAACCCTCCCTTCATTCCCCTAACGTTCTTCAAGGAGCTCGTGCTTTGGCTTGTGGCTTCCTTTATGGGAGCAAAGGCAGCTAGGGAGAGTCCTGTCTTATCTGAGAGGCACTATTACGGTTCATCAGCATTTAATCAGGAGGCTCTGTCATGAGCGGGTTTGCTGTACTCTTTCAAGAAAAAGCAAACAATTAGCACAGAAAAGATATGGATAGATACATAGAAGGATTTGGTTTTCCCTTTCCCAGGAGCCAATTACAAGCTGACAAAACCAGCTATCAAAGCTTGCAGTTAATCTTTTAGAGTCAACATCTGCTGAAACTGCTTCAATGCAGTGTGGCCCTTCTGATGGGCATTTGTGGATTGGAGCTCTTCCCAAAGTCATAGGCTTTTCCTGAGAAAAAGTCATCTTTTCCAGTATGAATTACTAGAATGTATAAGACTTGGACCTTGCTTGACTGCTAACTCATCTGTCCCCAAATCTTTGAAAAGCAGTGCCTCCAAATGGAAAACACAAGTTCCCTCTCTCATTTTTTGATTTAGAAGCCCCAGGAAAAAGCGTGGGAAAAGTCACACCGGAAAATCACACATTTGAGATTCTGTTTGACTGAAATAGAAACTGAGATTTGCTAGGAACTTCTTGGATCAAAGAAGTGGTGGGGTAGGGTCGTGGTGGTGGGTTGGAGTTAAATGGCAACTTTCCCAAGCAACAACGGAAGGGTCTACGAGAAAGTGTTTCTTTTTCTTAACGCCCACCCCTCATAAACCAGCAAGGAAAACATAGCAAGGAGGCTGGTGGAGTGGCTCATGCTTGTAATCCCAGCCCTCTGGGCAGCTGAGGTGGGAGGATACCTTGAGCCCAGGAGTTCAAGACCAGCCTGGGCCAGGTGGTGAGACCTCATTTCTACAAAAATAAATTTTTTTCTTTCTTTCTTTTTTTTTTTTTTTTGAGAAGGAGTCTCGCTCTATCGCCCAAGCTGGAGTGCAGTGGTGACTACAGGTGCCCACAACCACACCCAAATAATTTTTTGTATTTTTAGTAGAGATGGGGTTTCACCGTGTTAGCCAGGATGGTCTCTATCTTCTGGCCTTGTGATCCGCCCGCCTCGGCCTCCCAAAGTGCTGGGATTACAGGTGTGAGCCACCGCACCCAGCCAAAAATAAAAATTTTAAAAAATCAGTCGGGGCCAGGCACAGTGGCTCACGCCTGTAATCTTAGCACTTTGGGAGGCTGAGGCTGGTGGATCACTTGAGGTCAGGAGTTCAAGACCAGCCCGGGCAATGTGGTGAAACCCCATCTCTACAAAACATACAAAAATTAGCCGGGTGTGGTGATGCATCCCTGTAGTCCCAGCTACTAGCGGGGCTGAGGTGCGAAGATCGCTTGAACCTGGGAGGTTGAGGCTGAAGTGAGCCCAGATTGCACCACTGCACTCCAGCCTTGGTGGCAAAGTGAGACCCTGTCTCAAAAAAAAAAAAAAAAAAAAAATTAGCCGGGCATGGTGGTGCGCACCTGCAGTCCCAGCTACTTGAGTACTGAGTTACTGAGTCCTGGAGTTCAAGGCTGCAGTGAGCTATGATCATACTACTGCACTGCAGCCTAGGTGATAGAGAAAGACCCTGTCTCTATAAAAACAAAAACAAAACCCTGAAAACACAGCAAGGAGAAGTATTATAACCATAGGCATTGCATGCAAAGGCTTTGGGGGACAAGATGACATCGAAGTTGAATTTTGCAGGGCAAATGAGTTAGAGGAGAGGAAAAGTGGTCAAGAGGACCATTTTTTCTTAAAATATAACTCACATACCATAAACATCACCCTTTTAAAGTGTACAGCTCAGTGTTTTTAGTATATTTACAAAATTGTGCAACCATCATCACTATCTCATTCCACAACCAGCATTCATCACCCCAAAAAGAATCCCATAGCATTAGGA
The DNA here is from genome assembly GCF_000001405.40 of Homo sapiens. NCBI lineage: Eukaryota > Metazoa > Chordata > Mammalia > Primates > Hominidae > Homo > Homo sapiens. The sequence goes on along the minus strand of NC_000003.12, from coordinate 66,532,757 downwards.
GTCACTCCCCATTCTCTCCTCCTCCTAGCCCCTGGCAACTAATCTACTTTCTATAACAAGACAATTTTTAAAACAGAGAAAAAGCAAGCCTGCCAGGTGATGAGGTAAAAGTTCTTCACAATTAATAAGAGTAGCTCAAAGGTATTCTTTCCCCATTTTAAAATCCAGCTATGGTGAGGCCATCAGATCAGGAGACTGGCTGCCATTGAAAAGACAGTTTGTTATTCACAGTTCTCAAGAGGAGGGGCAGGGTATGTCATGCAGGGCCAGGTCGAGAAGCACCAGGGACAATCAGGAGGGAGAAGGAGGGAAGCAAATGCTTGGGCCAGAGCCTTTATTATGGTTTTTACAGGAAGAAATGGGCAAGGCAGGGTAGTCACATTTAGAACTGAATAGTTTGAATAATTTCAGTGAGCTCAAAACTATAGGGGGTGGTCTCTAATTGTCCTGTACCTGGCCCAGTGTGATTTAGGGCAGGAGGCTAGTGTCCCAAACTGCAGGAGCCTAATGAAAGAAGGTGGGTAGGAGGTATGGACACAGGATTGGTTGGTTTGCATATGAAAGGCATGCTCTAAAGCAGTTGTTTGCTATCTCTAGGAATTAGCTAATCTTGAGAGAAGCAGTCCCTTCCTGGAATAGAAAGGCCTCCAGATATCAAAGCGCCATAAAATGTGCAAAATAAAAAACATGATTAATACACACCAGACAACGTCATCAGCCGGGATATATATATCAGGAGATCAGACCAGTGTCTAATACAAAATGTTTTCATCTGTTTTTGCTTCTTCTTTCTAAACTTAAATACGTTGAGTTTCATTTTAAGCAATAAGATCCATGAAATCATGGGGCTGATATACTTAGTACATTTTCCTATTTTTTTGTTGAGACAGAGTCTCACCTTGGCCTCCCAAAGTGCTGGGATTACAGGCGTTGAGGCACCATGCCCAGCTACCTCGTATATTCTTTAAGTGCATGTTAAAGTAAGTACATAGCAAAATTACCTGAATAATGTCACACAGCACTCATGTTTTGCATGTCCCAGAATGAGATGCATTGATCTAATTCAACTTCTTCATTTTATGGAGGACAAATTTAAAGCCAGAAAGGGCAAGTGACTTGCTCAGGGTCACATAACTATTTCTGGTAAAAGACGAATTAGAATCCATTACCCTTGACTCCCCATTCCAATGCATATTCTCATCTGTGTAATTCAAATTTCACTGGTGTTAACAAAAAGCAAGGCAACCACTTTGAGTCACTCTTACCAGGGACCTGCTGTGCTATTCTAATAATTTCATGGTCCAGTCATCTGTTCAGAACTAACAGTGTCATTTGCACAAAAACAAAAGCACCTCTTCTGGTTTGTTTATCTGTGTTCCTCATTCTCTCCTGCAAGTCACTATGGAGTGGGAAGGAAGGTCTTCTAACTGGATTTCAGATTTCCAGTAACTGATGCATCCCTTGCTCTGAGAACTGGGCCAGGAGAACAGAAGTATAATCCTGGTCCCAACAAAAGTCTAGTTCAATTCATACATTAAAAAGATCAGCATCTAGGCCGGGCGCGGTGGCTCATGCCTGTAATCCCAGCACTTTGGGAGGCCAAGGCGGCTGGATCACTTCAGGCCAGGAGTTCGGGACCAGCCTGAACAACATGGGGAAACCCCGTCTCTACTAGGGAAACCCCGTCTCTACTAAAAATACTAAAAAAAAAGTAGCCGGGTGTGGTGGTGCCGCACTTGTAATCCCAGCTACCTGGGAGGCCAAGGCACAAGAATCGCTTGAACCCAGGAGGCGGAGGCTGCAGTGAGCCGAGATCGCACCACTGCACTCTAGACTGGGGAACAGAGCAAGACTGTCTCAAAAAAAAAAAAAAAAAAAAAAAGATTAGCATCTAAAGAAGGGAATGCCATGAAAGCCACACTATGGAAGATTTCAAAAAGTGCATAACAGCTTAGATAAAGGACTTGAAATTTTATGCATAAATGCCCATATATTTTACAAAGCAGGCAAGGAACTTCATTAATATAATGCATGACAAGAAAGCAGTCCAGCCCGCTCGGCAGGCTTTTCCTTGAGGTAACTGTGGTCTTAATAATGGTGAGAGCTGACACTGAGTCCTCACTTCCCACCAGGCATCTGTCTAAGCCCTCAGTACATGAAGAAGGCATTACGATTCTCTTCACTTTACAGAAAAGGCTACTGAGGTCAAGAGAGGTGAAGTAACTTGCCTAATGTCATACTCACAGTTAGTGATAGAACTGGGATTCATACACTGGGATGTCTGACCCCCAGGGCCCAGGTCTTAGCCACACCATGTAAAGGACTCCTTTCCCAACACCGTGTCATCCCTTTTTCAAGAAATTCATGTGCTTTGTGTCTGGGCACCTAACTCAAATTGAACTGCCTTGAAAATATTGAAATATTAAGATTTAGAACTATTCCTGGCACAGATGCTCAACATGAAACAGCTCCAGGGCCACTAAATAGACTGCAGCTCAGGCAGGCCTGCTGTCGATATTGATTGGTTTCCTTGCTACCCTGTTTTAGTTCTTTCTTATTCAATAGGAAGCTCATTAGGAATTACTAGAAGGCCCTTGGCCCTAGCTCCCTGCACAAATTCAGGATGAAGTTTTGTGTGTCATTTCCTAATGAAATAATTACAAGTCTAATACTATTGCTGTATTAAGGGTTTGCTCAGTTTGGTTAGGGGTGGAGACTCAGGGGGAGGAACTGATTTTTTTTTTTAAGGTTTTAGAAAATGTTTTTTCCCCCTTCACCTTCTTCCACACTTTCAGCTGCAAGTGGTTCCCCCTCAACTAATTTAGGCCACTCTTCAATTCCTAAAACTATTCCATTTCAGCGCTAGGAAGAGTATTACCAATGTCTAGCTCAGTGCTCACATCTACTGTTAGTATTGTGGTATTAATAGTAAAACTTCATTGCTTATGATATACAATGTTTTGTTGTTGTTGAGTTTTTTTGTTTGTTTTGTTTTCTGTTTTTGAGACAGGGTCTCACTCTGTCAGCAGGGTGGAGTGCAGTGGTACAATCATGGTTCACTGCTGCCTCAGTCTCCTGGGCTCAAGCCATCCTCCCATCTTAGCTTTCTAAGTAGCTGGGACCACAGGCGTGTGCCACCACACACTCGGCTAATTTTTTTTTTTTTTTTTTGGAGATGAGGTCTCCTTCTGTTACCCAGGCTGGTCTCAAACTCCTGAGCTCAAATGATCCTCCCACTTCAGCCTCTCAAAGTGCTAGGATAACAGGTGTGAGCTACCATGCCCAGCCGATGATAGATTTCTTGTTGTGCATTACATTAATGTAATTCTGTGCCACTTTTGTAAAATATTATGATATATATACATAAATATCCAAATTCTGCAACTAAGCTCAATAAATTAGAGTAAATATAAGGTTATCCCTGTCAAAACATCGCTTATCACTTATATTCTGACGTGATTTTTTTTTTTTTTTTTTTGAGACAGGGTCTCACTCTGTTGCCCAGGCTGGAGTGCAGTGGCACGTTCACAGCTCACTGCAACCTTGACCTCCTGGGCTCAAGTGATCCTCCCACCTCAGTCTTCCGAGTAGCTGGGGCTGTGGTGCATGCCACTGCAGCCAGCTCAAATGAGAATACTTTTTTCCTTTTTTTCTTTCTTTTTTTGAGACAGGGTCTTACTCTGTTGCTCAGGCTGGAGTGTAGTGGCACATTCATGGTTCACTGCATCCTTGACCTCCTGGGCTCAAGTGATCCTCCTACCTCAGCCTCCCGAGTAGCTGGGACTATAAGCACATGTCATCATGCCCGGCTATTTTGTTTGTTTGTTTTTGGTAGAGACAAGGTCTTCCCATGTTGCCCAAGCTGGCTCGGACTCCGGGGCTCAAGCGATCCACCCACCCAAGCTTCCCAAAGTGCTGAGACTACAGGTGTGAGCCACTGCACCCGGCCTGATTTTTTGATGGGGAGAGGAAATAATGTTATTTCTAGAGTGCTGGAAATTTCCCCAAACCTAGATTATGCCCGTCAGTGAGTGGAAGATGGGAACATTTTCTATCAAGCATGTCATGGTGAGAAAAAGTAAAGTTTGGAGCTGTTTTTGCTCAACCTCCTCATTGAACAGATGATGAAACTGAAGCTCAATGAGCTTAGGTAAGTTAATCAAGGTCACCTGGCTGCATCAAGAACACACAGGGACAAAAAGCCAATGTTCCTATGTAGCCTGAAAATAGAACCATAGCCCAAAAGGAGCTGCAGCTCAAGAGAGGCCGGTCAGCTCCTGGTTTCTAGTGCAGTGGTGTCCAATGAATGTCATTAGCTAATTGAGGTCTGTACTTGTTTCCTGTTGCTGTAACAAATTACCACGGATGTAGTGGCTAAACAACACATATTTATTATTCTACAGTTCTGGAGTTCAGATGTTGGACATGGGTCTCACTGGGCTACAATAAGGTATTGGTGGGGCTATATTCTTTCTGGAGGTTCTGGGAGAGGATCCTTTGCTCATTTGGGTTGTTAGCAAACTTCAGTTCTTCACAGTTGTAAAACTGAGGTCCTAGTTTTGTTTTAAATTTTTTTTTTTTCTGGCTGTAAACTGAGAGTCCTTGCCAGCTTCTAGGGATGGTTGCATTCCTTGGCTTTTAGCCCCATTTTCTATCTTCAAAGCTAGGAATGGCAGGTCAAGTCCTTGTCATTCTGCATCTCTCCCACTTTTCTTCCAGAGGCCTACCTTCCTCTGACCACAGCTTCCAAGGTTTCTCCCTTTTAAGGACACGTGATTAAATTTGGCCCCTCTGGGTAATTCAGGATAAACTTCTAATCTCAATAGCCTTAACCTTGATCACATCTGCAAAGTCCCTTTTGCCATTACATGCCCATGGGTTCCAGGGACTAGGACGTGGGCATCTCTGGGGGCCACTATTCTGCATATCAACCCAGTCCCTCCAGGACTCTGCCTCTACCCCAAAGAGGAAACAGTTTGGGCCCCCAGCTCTCCAACTAACTACTCAGCTGTCATAACTGGACTCCTTCCTTCCTTAATTCCCGTGGAAGTGTATTAACTTCCTCCAAAACACAAGATTAACAATATCACTTCTTTGTTCAAAATATGGGGTGGCTATTCCTCATCCACGTAATTGAATGTAACTCCTCACTCTGGCCTTCAAGGCTTTTGGGCCTTTGGTGATACTTTCAGCCTTCCTTTCACTCATATCATCACAATTCACTCTTGCAAACTATTTTCTTTTGTCAAAGTGAACCACTTGTAACCAAGTGACCAGCTCAAACCAATTAACGTTGCTTAAGCTGTTACAGATGGCACAGAGCCAAAACTGAAAGTCATGTCACTCAGGCACATGCAATGAAAACTAATTGTTAACACCACCAGCCTGGCAGATCAGCTGCATTGGCATCACCTGGGACTACTTAGAAATGCTTTAAAAGCTTGGCCCCCCCCCGCCCCCCACCCCATACAGAGAAGACACATTTGAGCATTGCCTTCTGTCTCCTTGCTCGTCAATTCTCAATAAAGCTTTTACTTATCTCAAAAGTCAGTGCCATAAGTCTTGGCTTCTGTGTGCATCACCCAGCGAGCCCAGTGCTCAGTAACACTCCAAATGCATCAGACACTTTCTCACTTCTGTATTTTTGTCAACATTATTTTCTTTGCCTGGAGCATCCTTATCCTTTCCTGTCTGCATTTCCAAATCCTAAAGTTTTCCACGCTCAACTCAAATGTCACCACTGCTTTGAAACTTTCCCTGTTTTCTCCCACCACCTTAAAGGCTAGAAATACATTTTTCTTCTAATTTCTCAGGGCCCTCATCTGTCCATTTTTGTTGACACTAAGCACATTTGGTTATCTGTTAGAACAAATTACACCAACACGTAGTAGCCTAAAACTATAACTAATCATTTTTATATTTCATAATTCTGAGTCAAAACTTAGGTCAGGACAAAACAGGGCTGGTTTATCGTTGCTCCATGATTTCTGGAGCCTCAGCTGAGTGGACCTGGGCATCCCTCTTGCCCATTCTCTTTCCAGAGCTTCTCCACATGCCTAGCATGTACTTCCACATAGCATGGTATCCTCAGGGTAGTGGGCATTTGTACATGGTAGCTCCAGGCTCCAATAGACCAAAATGGAAGCTGCTAATCCTTTTAAAGGCAGCCTGGAGCTGACATAGCATCATTTCTGCCTTACTTTACTTCCCAAAGCTGTCACATGCCAGCTTTCAAGGGAAGGAGAAGTGGACCCTCACCGTTCTACAGGAAGGGTATCAAATAATTTGAGGACATCTCATAAAGAACAGAAATCATTGCCTAGGTACTTAGATGTATACCTGATCTTTTCTCCAAGGCTGTGAGTTCTGGTGTATGATTTATTTTGTAGCTCCCATGTTGCCTAATGCAGTGCTTTGCCTGTAACAGGTGTGCAGTAATTTTTGTTGTAATAATGGACAAATGTGTTTAATAGATTCTTCTAGCCAAAGGCAATCACACGTAATTTTAAATTCTGCAGAGTAAAAAAAAAAATTGGGGGGCTAGAGGTCACTGGAGAGATTTTGAAAATAGATGACTATGTTCTTTGGAGGGCAGACTATAGGCATGATTCTATAGTCTTTATAATGTGAATTATGGGTAATCAATTTGGAGTTGTATTGAACCAATCTCTATAATTAGATTCCAATGAAGCACCTGCTTTCTGTCAAACTTGAGTTCATGAGTGGGCATATTACACAGAAACCCTTTTCACATCGATTTTCAATGCTGCCTAATAGTCTGTTTTGCTGAGTCAATCAAAATTTAAATCTGTAATAACAAAATAAAATTCTTGCCATTAAGTTAGTTTTTATCAGCTCTCTGCTCTGAGGTTACATAATATCAGCTTTTTGAAATTACAACCCTTGTTTAAATATATAGTGTTCCTTCTGAAATGCCGTTTGCCGCAGCTCTTCCAATTTTAATCATCATTATATCAGGAAAAAAATGCTACCTTTCTTTCTTGTAATAAGAACATTGAAAAGGTTTTGCAGAAATGAAAAATACATTTAACAATAGTAATACAATAATTATAATAAGGCTATTAGTTTTATATAAAGAAAATGATTAAAAGGTAATGTGAAGAGTAAAAAAGCATGAACTTGAAAAAAAGGACTCCTAAATTGAAATCCTAGCTCTTCTACTTCTTAGAAAATTGCCTAATTACTCCGAGCTAGTTTTTCCTCATCTGCAAAACAGAGCTACTAATATCTAACTCACAGGGTTGTTGAAATGATTAAAAGGACAATGTACATTTCTAGCACGTTGAGAGTATTCAGTAAGAGTTAGCTATTATCATTTTTATTGATTAATGGTTACTTAGTAAGGATACTGTCTCTAAAGAAGGGGAGGAGGAGGAAGGAGAAAGGGAGGATAAAGGGGAAGAATGCATAAAATTGTGAAAGGCAGGTAAAGAAGAGCCAGGAGGGGTAAGGGACGTATGCGGAAATGCACTGGGGGCATTGGTGGGGATAAGTGACGTCTTCTCAAAGGATGTTGGCCCCGAATCGTTTGATAGAGAAAGGGAATATATAAACAGGCAGCGGTGAGACCATACATGACAACAGAATCCTGAGCCATAATCTTTGTAGCAACTGCCTTGGCAAGCCAAACCGAACCTCTGCAGCAGCCACTTCAGGAAACCAAACCACAATCTATGCAGTCAGGACTCGGTCAATGACTGCCAAGTTCTCTATTTTTTGCCACCACTTCCAACTCAAGACCAACCAGAACCAGGCGCGGTGGCTCATGCCTGTAATCCCAGCACTTTGGGAGGCTGAGGCGGGCGGATCACCTGAGGCTGGGAGTTTGAGACCCAGCCTGACCAACATGGAGAAACCCCATCTCTACTAAAAATACAAAATTAGCCGGGGGTGGAGGTGCATGCCTGTAATCCCAGCTACTCAGGAGGCTGAGGTAGGAGAATCACTTGAATCTGGGTGGTGGAGGCTGTGGTGAGCCGAGATCATGCCATTGCACTCCAGCCTGGGCAACAAGAGCAAAAACTCCATCTCAAAAAAAAAAAAAAAAGACCAACGAGAAAAAGCCAAATATGCTCTCAAACCAATCACATAAAACACCCCACTTCTTATGGGCATGACCCCAGCTGCCCCTTGCCTACAACTTCCAATCAGAGCACACCTGAAGTCTTCCCTTATTCTCTCGATAAAGACACCCCTGGCAGTCTTTGAGTCTCTGCCAAATGCAAGCGATGGTGGCTGACTCCCTTGTATATTCATTTCTCAGAGCTGCCATAAGAAGTTACAAGTTTGGTGGCTTAAACAACAGAACTTTATTCTCTCACAGTTCTAGAGGCTAGAAGTCTGAAGTCAAAGTGTCAGCAGGATTGTGGTCTCTCTGAAGACTCTAGGGGACAATCTGTCCCTTGTCTTTCTCTTAGCTTGTAGTGTTGCCGGCAATCAGCATTCCTTGGCTCGTAGATGCATTGCTCCAATACCCACCCCATCATCACATGATGTTCTTCCTCTGTCTCTGGGTCCCATCCTGTCTTATAAGGACACCAGTCACCATGGATTATGGGCCCAGCCTACTCCAGTACAATCTCATGTTCACTAATTACATCTGCAAAAACACTGATTCCAAAGAAGATCACATTTGGAGATTCTGGGAAGGACATGAATTTTGAGGGGACACTGTCGAGCCCAGTACACCTTGCTGTAGCCAACTCCAAATGAACAGTTCTCTATTCCCACATGGCTTGTGAGGACAGTGGCAGAGAGCTGGCGAGTCAAGGGGGCAGAACAGTGGGGAAATCATAGGCCATGCAGCAGGGTAACTACTGCCATAATAAACACTCCCCACAATTCAGAGGCTTTGTGCACCAAGTCTACTCCTCACTCAGATCATAGTTCATGATGAGGGTGGGGTGGGGGAGGGGTGGGGTTTCCATGCAGTGGCTACTTAGGGATCCCTACTTCTCTTTCTTGACTCATTTCACCTCTACTCATAGTTCACCAGCCTGAACTCAGTGCGACCACACCTGTTCCAAGGGAGGCAGGGACATGTATCATAGCCAGGTGCCCAAGAAGAGGTCACATATCAGTGGTGGTCTGAAGCCAAATTGTGGAGAAGAGGAAGGCCCATCTCCTCTGTCCATGCTCCGCTGCCCTACAGCCAGATGTACCAGGACCCCCAAACTGCAAGCTTCACAAGGGACTCCTCTGAGGACCACTGTCTAAACTATGCCAACCTCCTGGACCATCCTTTCCATGGTCCCTCTTTACAATATGACAGTGAGCAGTTTATAAATGATGAAGGCATAATGTGTTAGTCATCTGAAGGGGCACTTGTAATTTACCAAGAGATCTAGATTTCCCCCCAAAGAAATGAATCTCTAATAGTAAAATCACAGCTCTCAGAAGCAAAGCATGTGAGGTAGTAGGGATAGGAGGGCCCTTCTAATCACAGAGAGTGATCTAATCACATCCTGTACCTAAGGGTCAATCAGACCAGAAGGGCTTCATCAGAAGGGGCTTAGTGGCCAGGTGTATGGATTTTAAATAGGCTCCAAACTGTTTCCCAGCTTATCTACTTACCAGCTGTATGAACCGGCACATGCTTCTTTTAACATCTCTGATGCTTGGTTGCCTCATCCATGAGACAGGGCAATAATAGAACCCACTTCACTGGTTGCCTCTAAGAATTAAATTAGGTAAGACACAAATTATGCGCGCAATGAGTGGTAACCATTGGTAGCCAGAAAGAGCAGCTTACTTGGTATTTTTTCAGTGATAATGGAAAAACTTAAATTTTAAAATCCCACCTTCTCAGTATCTTAGTATCTAAATACGTTGTCCAACACACACATCCTCCTGATCAATTGGGAGCCCCAGCATGGGGATACCCTCCTGTCTTCATCTTTGTACTCCCCTCCACTGTGCCCCCTGCCCGCCTGCCTGTCACTTTGTATGGCGTGAGTGTGTATCAAAGCTCAATTAAAGCTCCGGGTGCTGGGGAACAAGAACGTGATCCTTGAGTCATTTTAACAACTTATAATTAATGTAATAAGAGAAGCATTGTTAATGCATTAAGGAAAACAGGGCTGTCTGCCAGAGAAACAAGCAGATCTTCACTTTGGAATCCTACACTTAGACATTGCTGCTTTCACCTTAATTCTCAAGGCACCCTTTGGGACTTCGCTGGCTGAAATAGAATTGCAGAGGACACAGCATTCATCATCAGGCCTCAGGTGACAGGCCTCTTAGGCAGCACCATTGCTGTCATTTTTTTTTTTAAACAAAACTCCCTTCAGCCTGAGAGTTCATGTAGTAAAGTCCACATGGGACGAACACCACCTGGGACCCAGTGGACATTTGGGGAGTCAGTCATATGTCAGAGCTGCACTCCCTAAAATGCTGACATCCACTCCCACTCCCATTCCACATTCCATCTGCAATTGGGATGAAGTCCCTGATATGGTTTGGCTGTGTCCCCACCCAAATCTCATCTTGAATTCGAGTTGCCATAATCCCCACGTGTCGTGGAGGGATCAGGTAGAGATAATTGAATCATGGGGGCGGGTTTTTCCCATGCTGTTCTCGTGATAGTGAATAAGTCTCATGAGATCTGATGGTTTTATAAAGGGCAGATTTCAGTGATAATGGAAAACTGCACACGCTGTCTTGCCTGCCGCTGTGTAAGACGTGCCTTTCGTCCTCCACCTCCTGCCATGACTGTGAGGCCTCCCCAGCCATGTGGAACTGTAAGTCCATTAAACCTCTTTCCTTTATAAATTACCTAGTCTCAGGTATTTCTTCATAGCAATATGAAGATAGGCCAATACAGTCCCCTCTTAAAAGTCCTCGGTGGGAATGAAACGGAGAGCTGCTCTTTTCAGTATGGTTTAAGGAAAACTTCTAGCAGATAGATGAACATCATAGGGTTTGCCCCATCTGTGCTGCTTGGCTGACCCTGGGGGCCTTGGAAGAAGCTTCTCCGGTCGTCGTGGGGCCCCCATGGCTCCTGCTCACAAAAGTTTTAACAGCCTAAGTTTGTTCTCTCATGTACATGCTAGTGCCAGTGTATAAGGAGACTGTTTTCTTCGTACTCTGACTAGGCAAAATTTAACAACTGTTTTAATGTCTTATTTATTTACATAAGAAAGAATTCATGGCCGGGTGCAATGGCTCACGCCTGTAATCCCAATACAATGGGAGACAGAGGAGGGAGGAATGCTTGAGGCCAGGAGTTCGAGACCAGCCTGGGAAACATAGTGAAGCCCTGTCTCTACAAAAAAACAAAATACTAAAAGTAGCTGGGCATGGTGGTATGCACCTGTAGTCCCAGCTACTCAAGAGGCTGTGGTGGGAGAAATGCTTGAGCATGGGAGGTCGAGGCAGTAGTGAGCCATAACCACACCACTGTATTCCAGTCTGGGTGATGGAGCAAGACCCTGTCTCAAAATGATTGTTTAAGCTTTTCATAAGGAAATGTAGAAACCTTTAGTTTTGTCCAAGATGAACATTTCACTTTCTGAGTAATGAGTATGCCTAAAAGCTGTTGAGTCACTTGCTTGAGCCCACTCCCACTATGTGGAATGTATTTTCCTTTCAATGAATCTGCTCTTTTCTTCCATTGAAAAAAAAAAAAAGAGTGCCTAACTCCAAGAATTATGTACATTATTCACCTGTCACCATCCTAATTCATATCCTATTCATGTCCTTTGTACACAGGAAACTATTCTATTCTAGAAAAGAGAAATCAGGCTTTGTTTTGTGTTTTTCCTACAACTTAAAATTCCTGTGGGCAGTAGTTGGGTAATATTTTATCTTTGTAGTCCCTTAACTTAGCATTGTAAGGAAATGTGAGTTGTACTACAGGAGATGGGAGAGCTTTGCCTAGTCATTTACTCAATTACTCACCCTACGATGTGCCATTTACCGTTTAGACATGGAAGAAAGAGCAAAGAGCAGCACAGACAACCTCCTTGCTCTTGTGGAACTTATATTCTAGCACAGGAAGACCCACTCTATGCAAAGAAACTAAGTATGAATATGAAACTCTTAAGATAATAAGCGCTATTCATTTTTTAAGCTGATGAGAAAGAGATGACTAGGAGGAGGAAAGAGGCAACTTTAGCCAGGGAAGTCAGGAAAGGCCTCTCTGAGAAGCCAAGAGCCGAGCTGAGCAGAGCTGGAGGCACAAGAAAGAGCTGTCTGTGAGATCCAAGGCAGAGTGTGGCAAATGACGACCCCCAACCAGATCCCACCCACCATCAATTCAGATAGAGGGAACAACACATGCTAAGTCCCAGCACAAGGACCAGGAGGACAGCAGAGAGGCTGGAATTAAAGACGGAAGATGGAATTAAAGTCTGAGAGACAAGCAGAGAGCAGATCCTATGGGACACAGGATATTTTTTGTCATCTCATCATATGCTACCATATGTTATGGGTAAGATGCTTTTGTCTAGTCTCTACCTCAAAATAATTTCTAGTAACAGAAAGCAAGGCCTATGTTTTATCATTGTAATTGACAAACTCTACCCCATCTTCCTTGAACGACTTGGCCTGGGGGCTCACGAATTCATCACTTGCCACCCTATTGCTTAGAGCAGAGGTTTACCAACTAGAACAGATGAGCCTCATCTCAGCTCTGCTACTTACAGCGGTGTGAACTTGGGCAAGTTATTCAACTTCTCTGTGCTGCAGTTTTCCTCACCTGCAAAGTGGCGCTGCTACTACCCAACTCAAGGATTTTGTGAAGATGCAATACATGTAAAGCACATAGTAAGTGCAGCTGCTATTGCTATTATTGAGCAGAACACTCACTGGGCACATTAAATGTGGATGCCTGGTCCCACCTCTAGGTATCTAGATTCAGTAAATCTGGAGTGGGACACAGAAATCTGCCAGGAGGTGTGGAAGTCACACATTGAGAAATACTGGTCCAGGAAGACAGGTGTGGGACCATCTGGTCTGGCAACCTGACCTAGCCTAAGGCACTGATAAACGGTAACTGTCTATCATTGAGTGGGTAGATACTCTAAGGGTGTGGGGTGGGATTTTTTCCTATGCAAGCTCAAACCTGAGGTTGAGCAAGAACGGAGGTGGAGGTAAGGATAGAAATGGGTTGGGCCTCAAATCAATCCTACTCTGTGATGACAATATTAAGTATTCTCCATTGTAGGCAGAGCCCTGGGCAGATTAAGTTGGGATATGGACAACAGGCAGGGAAATACTGGGTACAAGAGGGTGGTTCCCTGGCAAAGGCCCCACCCTCAAGCCTGAATATCCATAGCCCTAAATGAGAACAGGCATTTCTGGTTTTGTGCCCAAAAAGCTACCTTTTGGCCCCCCACACCCCCTATCCTGCCCACATATAAATCCCAAACTCTACGCTCCAGAGCAGACCTGCAGACCAGCAGACCAACAGACCAGCAACAGCAGAACGATGAGAGAGAGAAAGAGAGGAATGACACAGCAGAGAGAGAAGAGGGACTTCTGGACGCTGAGGGGAGTGTGGCCGGGGACAGTAGGAGAGTAGTCCAGCTGCTGGGCGGCCAAACTCCAGGGGAAGACCGCCTTCCCACTCCATCCCCCTTCTGGCTCCCCATCCATCTCACTGAGAGCCACCTCCATCACTCAATAAAACCTTGCACTAATCCTTCTAGCCCACATATGATCCGATTCTTTTGGGACACTGGGCAAGAGCTCAGGATACAGAAGCCTGTCACACTGGCCCTCTGCCCTTGCGGTAAGGCAGAGGGTCCATCGAGCTGATTAACACACAAGCTGTCTACAGATGGCAAAGCTGAAAGAGCTTGGTAACACTGGAGTGCAGGCACCCACCCACCCCTAGACAATACCACAGAGCTGAGAGACCAAAGCACTCACCCCAGCCTCTGTACCTGCCCATCCTCATGTTTCCGCTAGGGGTTTGAGCCGTTGGGGTAACAGCTGAGCCACACCCTTGTTGCATGTCCTGTGAGGGGAATCAGGGAACTCTCCTGTTTCAGTTGTATATAGAAAAATAGTTCTGTTCTGTAATTCTCATTAATCTCTTGTGTTTATCTCCATTCTTATCCTGTGGATGTCAGTCCTTGGATTGCACTTCATGGGGAGGGTATTACAAAGGGAAACAAGGCTTCCTCTCTTTCCCTGTGCCCCATTAGGTAGAGCTACATGGGTCAGGGAGGTAAATGAGTGGGGTGGGACTGGTGTGAGATAATAGAGAGTGGTGAGGGCTATGGTGAACCCAAGAGCACAGGCTGTACTTAAAGGGCTTGTGGCTCCTTCCCTCCAGCCAATTGTTGTCACACAGAAATTCAGACCAAGAATAGTCAGATATTCCTATTTTCCAAAAGAAGCCAGATATCCAGATTTTTCTGCAATATATTTCTCATTAATAAATGTTGGCAAGTAATTCATTTTTTTAAAACCCCATGCGGGCCAAACAAAACACATCTGCTGGCTGGATCCAGCCTGTGGGTGGGCTTTCAATGTGCAAACTCCGGTCTAGACTGAATAATTCCAGCTTTGGGACCTATGCTGACATTGTCCCCCCACACACCCACCCCTACTCTACCCCATGGCCTGGTGGTGGGACAGGACCTATCCAAGGGCAAGGAGCCTCAATCCTAGCTGCATATTAAAATCACCTGGGGAAAGAAAAATATATACTGATGCCTAGGGCCCATATCCAGATTTTCTGATTTAATTGGTCCAGGTAGAGCTCCTCAGTTAATATGGATTCACAGTTCAGCTCCACTGTATTTGCAGGAGATGGTCTTGGGACCAGGGTGCCCAGAAGTCTGAGAAACAATGCCAGGCTAGAAATCTCTGTTAAGGTATTGGATTTTCTCTCCTTTCCCCTTGTCTATGGAGAGCAGTTATATTAAGTTAAAAAGAGTTTGACATTATTAAAAGTTTTGTCTTTCAATTTCCATCACAGTCACTTCTAGGTCATCCCTAAATTCTCATATTCTAGAACAACTTTACAAGGTAGAGGTCTTGGTCCTGGTCCTGGTTTCAGTGGGGTCAAGAAGGGACAAGCTAAAGGTACCTTGCCCATCCTGCTCCCCTCCACTAACGTCCACATCGAGAAGCAGCATCCCATGGCAGGGCTGAGTTTGGAAGTTCCAGGTGACAGCCAGCAGGTCAAAGGGAAGATTCTGTAACATTGAGGAGCTGTGCCAGGCTGTCTCATGTAGCTTTAAGGCATACCACCTCGTTCCCAAACAGAGGAAAGTGACCCTTAATGTTGGGGCTGGGAGTTGATACTTGGGTGATAAATTAATTTTAATCTTTGATACTTAGCCAAGTGTTTGGTTCAAAGTGGTTTATAATTGTGTGTTGAAGGAATAGAGGAGGAGACAGTGAAAGAGAGAGTCAATGGCTGTCTTTATTGCTTTTCTGCCTTTTGAGGCAATTCCTACTCTTCTCATTCCCTCCCTATGAGTAAATGGGGGGTCTATATGGGAACTGGGTCCACGAAACATTGTTTTGTATTGGCTGCTGTGCTTCCCAGCAAGTTCACAAGTTGCCAGGGTGGTTTCATACAAAGGCTTCAATCACATGTATTAATTGGCCCTTAACACACAGGAAGACACCAGTGAGGTTTTATAGTGTGTGGAGGTTTTTTGAACCAGGAACCAGATTCCTAGTTTTCCCTGCACCCACTATTTTCCCTTTGAAGTCAACAGGAGCCCTGCTCAGGGTGTCTAGAGAGAAACAAGGATCTGGTCTAAGTGAATTGTTAGGAAAATGTATTAAAGTGCTAAAGGAAGATTAAGTTACCTAGAGAAAACACACTTTGGCCAGAAGGAACTGCAATGAGAACCATCTGAAGGAGGTCCTGGGGTCAGAGAAAAGAAGAAAACGTATTTTTAAAATTCAATTAATGCATGCAGTTGCCTCAGAGGAAATAAGGACCCATTGTCCTTTGCATGTTTAAAATATAAATTGCCAATTAACAATGCTATTGGCAAATTGCTCTACAATTAAAAACATAGAAATGTTGTTTGAGGCAATTAGAATAATTGTCATATGTTAATTATGGGTTGATGGAGTTTGCATGCTGCCAGCAATTACCTTTTGAGCCTGAGCTTTTCTGAACAGAATCCAAATCCATAAAGACATTGATATAATAAGAACTGTCTGCTTTGTTGGCGTGCCTGCCATATTTTTAGTGTCTTGTAAGGTATATAATTACCTTTAATTAGGTTTCCAGAAGAAAATGTTTAATATATGTTTGACTAGGTCATCATTAAAGAACCTTGTAACCAGTTTGAAAGGAGAGGAGAATAGGAGGAATACAGACTTGGGAGTCAGGTAAACCTTGGTTTAGATATTTACTAGCTGGGTACATTAGGCAAATTGCTCAGCCTTTCTGAACCTTAAAGCAAAATGAGGAAAATATAACTTACAGCAATGCTAGGAGTATTATATGAGATAATGTTTATATATTCCTAAGCCAGGTGCTCAATAAAAGCAATGATTGTTTTTCTAGAAAGAGTAGAGATATCTTCTCAGGCTTGAGGCTCCTATTAACTCTTTCATTATATAAAATCCTTGAAGTTACTATGCTTGCAACTAGGACTGTCAAATGTGGCTATAAAGATTATGCCCTGCACAGCTTCTAGGGTAGTCACTGACATTGGAATCTATGTGACTAGTGCCCCCTGGGGTTGTGCAGTGAACAAACTTCACAACTATACATGGCCACTCTGCTTGCAACCAGGATCCTAAGTTTATATCCTTCTTATTCTTGGTCCTCAGACAAGCATGTTCTGTTTTTGTTCATTAGACCTTCTCCTAGCTGGGCTTTTTCAGCAGTATTGATCTGCAGTAAGCAGATTTCCACCTGCAGGCCTGCAGTATGTTTTTGTAAATAAAGTTTTATTGGAATGCACTTACACATATTCTAAATGAATAAGTTCATATTCATGTTGCCTAT
The DNA here is from genome assembly GCF_000001405.40 of Homo sapiens. Classification (NCBI taxonomy): domain Eukaryota; kingdom Metazoa; phylum Chordata; class Mammalia; order Primates; family Hominidae; genus Homo; species Homo sapiens. The sequence goes on along the minus strand of NC_000003.12, from coordinate 66,515,803 downwards.
GGCTGCTTTTGCGATACAATGGTGGAGTACAGTGGAGTTGACCCTTGAATAACATGAGTTTGAACAGCGCAGGTCAACTTATACATGGGTTTTCTTCTGCCCCTGCTGCCCCTGAGACAGCAAGACCAACTCCTCCTCTCTATCCTCCTTCTAGCCTACTCAGTATGAAGACAAGAATACAGACCTTTATGATGATCCACTAGCACTTAAGTAGTAAATATATTTTATCTTCTTTATAATTTTCTTAATAAATAATATTTTTTCTTTTTCTTTTTCTTTTTTTTTTTTTTTTTTTTTGAGAAGGGTCTCACCCTGTCACCCAGGCTCCAGAATGCAGTGGTGCAATCATGGTTCACTGCAGCCTTGACCTCCCAGGCTCAGGTGATTCCCCCCACCTCAGCCTCCTGAGTAGCTGGGACTATAGGCATGCACCACAGTGCCTAACTAAGTTTTTTACATTTTATTTATTTATTTTTTAATGTAGAGACACGGTTTCACTAAGTAGCCCAGGCTGGTCTCAAACTCCTTGGCTCAAGGGATTCTCCTGACTCAGCCTCCTGTGCTGGGATTACAGGCATGACCCTCTGTTCCTGGCTCAATCTTATGACTTCAGATTCTCTCATCCACACCCCCCCAAACCCTCTGGTACCTTGTAGCACTCATCTACTGACCCTCAAAAAGATTTTAACTCTTGACCCACTTTCACTCTCACAGTAATCTTTCTGTCATAATTCTTGGTAATTTTCATAACCATGCAAATGATCTTTTCACTCTCCTGGCCTCCCACATTTTGAATCACATCATCTCCAGTGATTTTGTTTTCATTCATCATTTGACAAACATTTATTGAGTGCTTGACCTTGCTCTTCTATTCTCAGCTTCTTGCTCCCACAGTCATACCTTACCTTGCTAATAATAGCAACCCCTTTACAATCAAGCATGCCTCTTTACAGCCACATCTTCTATTTTACCTTCTCATGTTTCCTTGAACCTCCATCACTTATTCTCCCTCTCAGCCAATGATCTTGCCTTCTATTTCATTAAGAAAATAGAAGCAATCAGAAGAGAATAGCAAGGCGGGATGCAGTGGCTCACACCTGTAATCCCAGCACTTTGGGAGGCCGAGGCAGGCGGATCACCTGAGATTAGCAGTTCGAAACCAGCCTGGCCAACGTGGTAAAACCCCATCTCCACTAAAAAATACAAAAAATTAGCTGGGTGTGGTGGTGGTTGTCTGTAATCCCAGCTACTTGGGAGGCTGAGGCATGAAAATTGCTTGAACCAGGGAGGTGGAGGTTTTAGTGATCCAAGTTCACGCCATTGCACTCCAGCCTGGGCAACAAGAGTGAAACTCCGTTTCAAAAAAAAAAGAGAGAGAGAGAGAGAATAGCCGGAAACTCCTACCACCATGGCTACCTGCACTGGATAATGAGGTACACCTCATTTTATTATGCTTTGCAGATAATGCTTTAAAAAAAAATGGAAGGTTTGTGACAATCCTGCATCAAGCAAGCCTGTCAGTGCCATTTCTCCAATAGCGTGTGTTCACTTTGTGTCTCTGTTACATTTTGGTAATTCTCACAATATTTTTAACTGTTTCTTTATTATTATGTATGTTTTAGTGATCTGTGATCAGTAATCTTTGATATTACTGTTGTTATTGTGGGGAGACGCCACAAACCATGCCATAGAAGATGGTAAACTTAACAGATAAATGTGGCGTATGTTCTGACTGCTCCAGCAGCCACAATTTCCCAGTCTCTTTCCCTCTTCTTGGACCTCCTATCTCCTGAGACACAACAATATTGCAATTAGGCCAATGAATAACTGTCCACTGGCCGCCATGTGTTGAAGTGAAAGGAAGAGTCACACATCTCTCACTTTAAATCAAAAGCTAGAAATAAGAAGTTTAGTGAGGAAGGTATGTTGAAAGCTGAGATAGGCTGAAAGCCAGGCCTCTTACACCAGTTAGCCAAGTTGTGAATGCAAAGGAAAAGTTCTTGAAATAAATTAAAAGTGCTATCCCAGGCCGTGCGCAGTGGCTTACACCTGTATCCGAGCACTTTGGGAGGCCGAGGTGGGTGGATTTCCTGAGCTCAGGAGTTCAAGACCAGCTTGGGGAACATGGCGAAACCCTGTTTCTACCAAAAATACAAAAAATTAGCCGGGCTTGGTGGGACATGCCTGTGGTTTCAACTACTCAGTAGGCTGAGGTGGGAGGATCGCTTGAGCCTGGGAGGCAAAGACTGCAGTGAGTCAAGATCACGCCACTGCACTCCAGCGTGGGTGACAGAGTAAGACCCCTTCTCAAAAAAAAAAAAAAAAAAGAAAGAAAGAAAGAAAAAAGAAAAAAAGAAAAAGTTCTACCCCAGTGAACACAGGAATGATTAAAAAAAAGCTAAGCAGCCTTATTGCTGATATGGAGAAAGTGTAAGTGGTCTGGAGAGAAGATCAAACCAGCCACAACATTCTCTTAAGCCAGAGCCCAATCCAGAGCAAGGCCCTAACTCTCTTCAATTCTGTGAAGGCTGACAGAGGTGATAAAGCTACAGAAGAAAAGTGTGAAGCTAGAAGAGGTTGGTTCATGAGGTTTAAGGAAAAAGCCATTTCTATGACATAAAAGTGCAAGGTGAAACAGCAAGTGCTGATGGAGAAGCTGCAGCAAATTATCCAGGAAGATCTAACTAAGATCATAGCTGAAAGTGCCTACACTAAACAATAGATTTTCAGTGTAGATGAAACAGCATTCTATTGGAAGAAGATGCTATCTAGGACTTTCTTAGCTAGAGAAGAAACATCAATGCCTGGCTTTAAAGCTTTGAAGGACGGGATGATTTTTTGGTTAGGGTCAATGAAGCTGATGACTTTCTAAGTTGAAACCATTGCTCATTGACCATTCTGATAACCTTAGAGTTTTTAAGAATGATGCTGGCCAGGCACGGTGGCTCACACCTGTAATCTCAGCACTTTGGGAGGCCAAGGCAGGTGGATCACGAGGTCAGGAGATCAAGACCATCCTGGCTAATACGTGAAACCCCGTCTCTACTAAAAAAAAAAAAAAAAAAAAAAAAAAAAAGATGCTAAATCTACTCTGCCTCTGATCTAGAAATGGAACAACAAAGCCTGGATGATAGCATATCTGTTTACAGCATGATTTCCTGAATATTTCAAGCCCACTGTTAAGACCTACTTCTCAGAGGAAAAGATTTCTTTCAAAATATCACAGCTTATTGACAATGCTCCTGGTCACCCAAGAGTTCAGATGAAGATGTACAAGGAGATGAATGTTCTCATGCCTGCTAACACAACATCCATTCTGCAGCCCATGGATCAAGGAGTAATTTCAACTTTCAAGTCTTATTATTTAAGAACTATATTTCATAATGTATTTCAGCTGCCATAGATAGTGATTCCTCTACTGGATCTGGGCAAAGTAAATCTAAAATCTTCTTGAAATGGTTCACCATTTTAGAAGCCGTGAATGTTCTTCAAAATTAACAGGAGTTTGGAAGAAATTTATTTCAACCCTCATGGATGACTTTGAGGGGTTCAAGACTTCAGTGGAGGAAGGAATTGGAGATGCAGTGGAAATAGTAAGAGAACAGGAATTTGAAGTGGAGCCTGAAGATGTGACTGAATTGCTGCAATCTCATGCTCAAACATGGGCAGGTGAAGAGTTGCTTCTTATGGATAAACAAAGAAAGTGGTTTCTTGAGATGGTATGTGCTTCTGGTGAAGATGCTCTGAACACTGTTGAAATGCCCAAGAATTTAGAATTTCACATTAACCTAGTTGATAAAACAGAGGCAGGATTTGAGAGGATTGACTCCAATTTTAAAGGTTCTACCATGGGTAAAATGCTATCAAATAGCATGACACGCTACAGAGAAATCTTGCGAAAGGAGGAATCAGTCTATGCAGCAAACTTTACTGTTGTCTTATTTTCAGAAATTGCCACAATCACCTCAGCCTTAGCAACCACCACCCTCATAAGTCAGCAGCCATCAAACATTGAGGCAAGACCCACCACCAGCAAAAAGATTACAACTTGCTGAAGGCTCAGATGATCATTGGCATTTTTTAGCAATACAACATCTTTAAAGTAAGATATGTACTTTTATTTTAGACATACGCTATTGCACGCTTAATAGACTATGGAACAATGTAAATATAACTTTTGTATGCACTGAGAAGCCAACATATTTGTGACTCTGTTTATTGTAATATTTGTTTTATTGTAGTGGTATGGAACCAAACCTGAAATATATGCAAGGTGTGCCTGTAATCTGCCTTCCAGCTTCTTTAAGACTCTTTGGTCCAAGGTAAAATCATCCTCTCCCCTTGTCCACTCTTGGCTTTTCAAGAATATTGCTCTCACATTTCTCCCCTTCCCTTAGTACATTATTGATTTTTTTCTGTTCTCTACAAATGTATTTCCATCATTAAAAATGCCATGTTATTTCTCTCATCTCAAAATAAAACAAACTCTCCTGACTCCACTTCCCTCTCCAGCGATCATCCCATTTCTCTGTTAGCTTTGATAACACAACTCCTCAAAAAGGCTGTCATCATTGTGCCAAATTATTATTACCTTCAGTTCTCTCTTTAATACTCTAATCTTGCCTTCGTTCTCTCTACTTCACCAAAAGAGCCATCGTCAAGGTTACAATAAATCTGATGCTAAATCCAATGATCAGTTCTTAGTTTTCACCTAGATCTTCCAAAAGCATTTCCCACAGTGAACTATCCCTCCTACTTAGCTTCCAGAACACCATGTTCTACTGGGGGGCATGGGAGAGGTGGTGAATCATGGGAGAGAAACATTTAGGAGACCCTGGGACACATTTGGATTGACTGTATTGAATGCAGGTGGAGTCAAACTCTGTGTAGAAGCCACACTCTTGTAAAACAGATATGTTGACTGAGAAGTAATAGGTCTCTCATTCATGTGTTGGCTAGAGGAACTTAGTGGCTGAGGAGTGAAGGAGTGGATATAGCAAGAGGAGTCAGCCCTGAGTTGAGTACTATTCCCCATTTCATAAGTTTTTGACCTTGGCCAGGTTACCTATGCTTTCCAAGCTTCAGTTTTCTTATTTATAAACAGCCGACGGAAATGCCTACTACAGAGGCTTGCTGTAAAGGATAAATGAATGAGTGTTAGAGAAAGGCTGGGATCATAGTTGCAAACTCAAATGCCTGGTGGGGTGGGCAGGCAGGAAATATAAATTAAGACAGCAGATGCCTACCTCCTAAAGGCAGGTCAAATTCAAATTTTTAAAAATAAACACTTCAGGCCAAATTAATCCCCTTGAAGCCCAAGTTTGGCCAGCGTTTTTACCTGGATGATGGCTGAAACATGGTAGATGTTGGTTAATATTAGATTCCCTTTGAGCTAGAAATCTACCTCAATCAGTCCTTCAGTCAACCTAGAGGTTTCATGTCTACTGCATTCATTCCGCATATCTGTCCTGAGCCTTTCTCATGCCAGGTGCTGTGAGAGACCCTGAGGGGTAGAGTGGAGGTCCCTGGCCTCAGGCTCCAGCCCTACTATTAGAAAGAGTCAGATACAAAATGGGCTGACAAAATCTAAAAATAACTGGAAACTGTGAAAGGTGTTATGAATACAAATAAAAGAATGAGGTTTAAAACAAATTTTGAGAAGGAGCTGGGAATCTACTATAATAAAGTATACGAGAGTGCTGGTTTAAAGTGTGAGTTCTGGGCCAGGTGCAGTGGCTTATGCCTGTAATTCCAGCACTTTGGGAGGCTGAGGCTGGAAGATCGCATGAGCTCAGGAGTTCGAGACCAGCCTGGCTAACATGGAGAAACCATGTTGCTACTAAAAATACAAAAACTTAGCTGGGCATGGTGGCACACACCTGTAGTCCAGCTACTCGGGAGGCTGAGATGGGAGGATTGCTTGAGCCTGGGAGGTGGAGTTTGCAGTGGGCTGACATTGCACCACTGCACTCCAACCTGGGATACAGAGCAAGACCCTGTCTCAATAATAATAACAATAATAATAATAAAGTGTGAGCTCTGGAGTCTAATTTCCTAGCTGTGTGATCTTCAGCAGATTACTTCCTTCTGCACCTCAGTGTTCTATTTTATAGAAAGAAAAGATTTTAATAGTTCTGCCTCATAGGGCTGTAGGGAGGATCAAATGAGTTGATGCATTTGAACCACTCAAGTTATTCCCTGGTGCATACTGTAGTAGGTTCTCATATAGCTTAGCTATACGGCATGCAAAAGGTTCTAAGTGTGCATTTAGAAACTAGAATTACAATTAGGGTGGCCAATTTGTCCTGATTTTTCCAGAACTTTCCTATTTTAGCACTTGAAGTCCCATGACCTGGGAAACCCCTGAGTTCCAAACCTGGGTGGTTGGTCACTAGAAGTTTCTGACCTGGCAGATCTGATGATCCGGCAGGCTTCACCCTGACCTACTGCACTCAAAGACACGAAATCCCTTTGTCTTCCAATAGTCTGTGGCTCTGGGGCCTGCTTCCTGTGAGCTGCTTATAGCCTTGACTGGAAAATGAGGTTTGCATACAGAAAACCGTTCATTCATTTGATCATGTATTCGTTCAGTAATATGTATTGAATGCCTGCTATTTGTCAGGCACTGTTCTAGATCCTGGGGACCTAGCAGTCAACAATACCATCAGATTATAAACTCTCTGATGGCAGGGACTTAGCTAACTTGATTTTGTAAGCAGCACTGCTTAACAGTGATGGCTTCTAAGAAATGAGAGCTGGAGAAGAGTGCAAGACAATATATAAGGAGGCAGTAAGCTATGCTTTGCAGAACTTAAAGGTTAGCACACAGCTAAGAGATATAATCCCCACCACTGTCACCCGCTACCAAAGCATACCCCCAAACTCTGTATCTCAGTGTCAGTTTTATGGCTAGGATTCCATTTTAAAATATTCATTTATTTGTCCCATATGAAAAATGGAGTAAACACGTTAAGCCTTATCTGATCTTTTCGGGAAGAATAGATCTTCAATTATTTCATCCTCTCAATCAGTTATTTTACCTGGATGCCATGGGGTTACATAAGAGAACATACCTTTTATAAATAAGCAGATCCTCTGCATTTCTCTCATACCTGTTTCTAAGAGAAGTGGAAGGGAACCTGTTTTGTGGCCTGCTGAAGAACCAGAATATTTATTATCTAAGAAGTTTTGTTCGATGGCATCAGCCAGTTAGCCTGTTGCGTTCAATCAAGGGCCCTGACAAACACGTCAGGAAGGTCAGCTGATAACACTAATTTTTTTGACACTCCTGATGACGGGTTTATTTGATTAGATTTTATTCCTCCCCCAAAATCCACTCACGTTTTATTGCATGCTCACTTAGCCACACTTGTTATCTCAGTTATCTATGGCTGCATAACAAGTCACCCCAAAATTTAGTGGCTTAAAACAAGAGCTTTTTTTATTGGTCATGATTTTGCGGGTCAGGAATTTGGGAAAGACCCTTGGGGATGGCTTAGCCCTGCTCATGTGATGTTGGCGAGGCTCATTTGTGCAGTTGCATTTAGCTGGTCTGTGCTAAAAGGTCCAAAATGAGTTCACTCTCATGTCTGGGGTTATGATGCTGGCTGTTGGCTGGGCCACCCAGTTTTCTTGCACGTTGCCTCTCTCTCTCCATGGTCTCTTCTCCTCCAGGGCCTCTATTTCTAGGAGGGCAGCCTGGACTTCCTTACATGACAGCTCCAGGTAGGAAGTGGGTGAGAGACAAAGCTGCCAGGCCCAGAACTGGTAAGAGCGTCACTCTCACTGCATTCTATCAGTCAGAGCGAGGCACAAGGCCAATCCAGATTTAAGAGGGAGAGAAAATAGACTTTGCCTCTTGAGGGGAGAAACTGCTAGTGGCCGTCGGCAGACAATTATTCTATACAGCTGCCTTCTCCAAATAGTAACCAGTCAAGGCACTTCAAATAAGAAAGAGTTGCGGAAAAGACAAAGACTTTTCTTTGATTTATAGCATCTAAATCCAAGAGGAGTGTCAAGCTCCCCCAGGGAAATAAGGATATTTAAATGATTATCTAAAGAATGTAGCTCATGGATAAGAATGACAGTGAAAAGCATATAATATGTGTCTGTCTGTAGGTTTATAATAAATTTGAAATGTGTCATAAACCCAACTGTCCTTTTGGAAACAAATATAACAGGCTATAAAATTTGCAAATGCTTTTTATTAGTCTGAATGCATGGTGAAGGAAAAGAGAATTGAATGGCACGAGAGGATTTTACCAAAATCTCATGGGCAGCAGATGTTTTGCATGCGCTTCAATTTAGGTGCAATAATGTCAGCCACATGCTTGTCTTTATTTTTGAAATTACTTTTTTTTTTTTTTTTTGAGACAGAATCTCACTTTGTCACCAAGGCTGGAGTGTAATAGTGTGATCTCAGCTCACTGCTACCTCTGCCTCCCTGGTTCAAGCGATTCTCCTGCCTCAGCCTCCCGAGTAGATGGGACTACAGGCGCATGCCACCATGCCCGGCTAATTTTTGTATTTTTAGTACAGACAGGGTTTCACCATGTTGGCCAAGCTGGTCTCGAACTCCTGACCTCAGGTGATCCGCCCACCTTGGCCTCCCAAAATGCTGGGATTACAGGCATGAGCCACTGTGCCCAGCCTTAAGGTTCACATTTCTGAGAAGCTCCAGGTAATATTGATGTGGTCAGCACACATATGTGAATAGCAAGCATGTATAAAATAAAATGGGGGAGGAAAGAGGCTTGATAATTCTCCCTCCTTGCAGGGCAGGCAGGACTCACTCAGCAAATATTGTCTCTGTGCCTACCATGTGCCTGGAATTGTGTTAGACAACAGGAATACCAAGAAGGGATTTAGACTCAGTCTTTTAACTTACTTTTAACTTACTGAGCTACTAGACTGGAGGAAGAGATAAACAGGAAAAATAATCAAAAGTGAGAATGATAAGAGAGGGAGTGTGATTGGGGTAGGTTAGCTGTGAGCCTCTTCCTGCTCAGCACCTAATTAGGGTATAATGTGGGCAAGGGGATTGATTTCAGAGTTTCAGTAACTTCATATGTAAGATGACAATCTCTAAGGTATCTCATAGAATTCTTCAGTGAAATTAAGCCATGATGTGAAATAATGCCTAGCACATAGTAAGTGATCAGTAATGTTAACCACTGTTGTTATACAAGTACTGCTGGGTATGGGGGGAGAGAAAAGTCTAGATATTTATCCTTTAAAATTTTAACTTATTAATCATAGAGGGAACTTTGAAAATCTATTAGTAAATATGAAAAAGTAAAGAAATCACATCCATTCTCATGGCATCCCTGAGAAAGAAGCTCCATGATACACTTCGTAAGACATTCACTGAATATAAAATATGTGTGCTGGTGGTTGTGATGAAACTTGTGATTTAAGATTCTATTTATTCCTGATGCCGCGTGACCTTGGGACAATCACTGAACCTCAGCTTTCTCATCTGTAAAGTGGGAACAATAACAATTTTCATATTCAAAGTTTAGGAGGCTCAAATGTCAAAATAGATCTTTGGGGTTTTTTGTTTCTTTGTTTTTGAGACAGGGTCTTGCTCTGTCACCCAGGCTGGAATGCAGTGGCTCGATCTCGGCTCACCGCAACCTCTGCCTCCTGGGCTCAGGTGATCCTCCTGCCTCAGACTCCTGAGTAGCTGGGACTACAGGCATGCACCACCATGCCCAGCTAATATTTTTCTTTTTAGTAGAGAAGGGATTTCACCATGTTGGTCAGGCTTGTCTCGAACTCCTGACTTCAAGTGATCCACCCATCTTGGCCTTTCAAAGTGCTGGGATTACAGGAATTGAGCCACCGTGCCCAGCCCAAAATAGATCTTTGGTGTCCACAGAACTGGTTTGGAATCTTGGCCCTGTCACTTATTAGCTTGTGTGGCCTTAAACGTTTTTCTTAGCTCCTACCTCACTGAAAAAAGTACATAAAGCACTCAACAACATGAAAGACATATAAAAAGTGCTCCGTAAATGATAGCTGTTGTTATGATGTGACAGTGCTTTGAAAAATGTAAGGTATATGACTTCATAAGATTATTATTATGTTATGATCAATGTGCTGTTCTTTATATACATTGCAGTGTTAGTTCTGAGTGGTTGGCAGTGAGGCATAAACTTTGAATCCTCCCTGCACTCGCCCTCATGTACTTCTCGGAGTGACATTTGCAAAGGCAGCAGATTGGGAGTGAGAGGTGCGGTCTCTGGTGATGATGTAATTAGTCCATCCCATCATCATCACCGTCAGAGGTAAGGGACTGCCTCCTACAATGACCATTACTCCAGAATCTCAATCTCAGAATTATGAAATGCTCATACCTTTGACATATTTTTTTTCATCCTTTCAGTGAACCAGTAAACATTTCACATTCACAAGGCAAGGACAAGTGTCAAGGTTCTAGTTTGTGTTAGAAAGTGGACTCTAAAGGTTTTTGGCCCCTGTCGATGGTGCTCTGTGGAGGAGGGCAGATCCTGTGAAGGGTCACAGCTGAGCTGCAGGCAACAACCATTCTTGCTGTGGAACTGCAGCAGCTGCAGCTTGGCACTGTCTGGGCATTAACCAATATTCCAATAGCCAGAGATTGCACAAGAAAACTACCTCCACCAAAGGCAAATGTTGGAATGGGGGATGGGGAGATCTCAAAATCTTTCTCTTTTTATATTCTATTCCCAGACTCATTAGCCTCCTCTCTTACCTTCTCCACCCATCCATCTCCTTGACAAGATTATTGCGACGAAGGAGTTAATGAGTACACAGTTTTATTTTCCTTGGAAGAGAGATAGAAAACAGGCTCAAAGCAGGGCTGTCATCACCCTGCAAGTCTTCAGGGGTTTCATAGCTAATTATTAACCCTTTGTCACATTCCTGGACAAGAAACTTTCCTGCTGAAACAACCTGCTAAGATTTTCCATCTACATTATACATATGGGCTCTCAGTTTTTCAGAGTTAACAAATCAATAACACCTTGAAAACAATGAGATGTAAACAGTTTATAATGCCCCTTTGGTCCTTTATCAAAATGATCCTTCTTTACTCACTCAGCACCCAGGTCAAGTACCATTATCCTTGTTTTCTATTTTTCTTTTATATATATATTTTTTTTGAGATGGAGTTTTGCTCTTGTCACCCAGGCTGGAGTGCAATGGTGCGATCTCGACTCACTGCAACCTCCGCCTCCCGGGTTCAAGCGATTCTCCTGCCTTAGCCTCCCAAGTAGCTGGGACTATAGGTGTGTGCCACCATACCCGGCTAATTTTTGTATTTTTAGTAGAGATGAGGTTTCACCATGTTGGCCAGGCTGGTCTTGAACTCCTGATCTCAGGTGATCCCCCCACCTCGGCCTCCCAAAGTGCTGGGATCACAGGCGTGAGCCACCGTGCCCAGCCCCTTGTTTTCTATTTGAGAAAACTGAGGCTCCAAGACAGAAAATGACTGGTCAAAGGTTTCACCCATAACAAGGCCTGGCTGGAACCCAGCTCTCCTGAATGGTGACCTGGTGCTTTTTTAATGTATTGAACACAGTGTAAAATCTCACCTAACATTAAGAAAGCCCCTCTGAATCTCAGCATTCTTTAAAACCACTAAAGACCACCACCTAGAACTATAGCAAACTGGCACAAATTCAGTCCCCAGGAAGTTGTGTTAAAAAAAAAAATTCCTATGGTTAACCTTCTTTCTTGTTATTTTGTTATTTGCTTCTCTCCCCAATAGATTTCAGGCTATTTAGATTTTGGGTTCCTCTCTCAAGCATGATTAACTTAGGATGATTAACTGCTAGGGCTTCTGGAGTCAAGAGAGACCTGCAGAGATTCTCACTGGGGTTTGATTCCATGCTATCCCTGGGGTAGATGAAAATGAACTGGAAAATCTAAAATCCCCGGATGACTCATTTAAGGAATAAGCATTTAGAAAGATCAAAGTTGCAGTGTGAGGAAAATAAGGACCTACAGCACCCAAATCAACTGTTGCTCTGTGCTGAATGGACCAAGACTTGCACTTTTATGAGCAGAGACATAGATTCCCTTAGACATTTGCTGTTGTTGTTGTTGAGATCTCCTTCATCTTAGGTGGTGGCTGCAGATGAATTCCCCCCTGAGCTGGATATCACTGCTCTCCAAGTTCACACTCTCATTGCAATCACAAGCAGGTTGCTAGTATGTGGGCAAACTTCCATACATGGTATGGGGAGCAGACATGACTTCATGCTTTGCTGTAGACGAGAGGAACTGCCAAGGCTTAGGCGCCCTGTCCCCCCAAGTGTGCCCCGGCTTTGGAATCCTTTTCTCTGGCTGCATGGTAACCAGACCACAAGGGATGCTTTAGATTTGTGGGCACTCCCTCACCTTGCAGATTCTTAAATTCTATCCTCCAGAAAACTAAGATTCCAAAAAGGCATCTCACAAGTACACCCATACACATTTGAAAAAACATTTTACAAGAATTACCCACTTTTATAGTACTAGAAATGAGACAAACCTGAAAGATAATTTTAGGTCAGCATCTCAAGTAGTTCAATCAGTTCAATTCATTTTTTGCTGCATATGCTGTTTTATTGTGGGGTGGGGACAGGGAGGATCTGACAGTTTCATTTCAGGAAACGGCTGTGGGTATTCTGCATCAAATTACTGTTTTGTGTTCTTTGTGTAAAACTTAAACACTGACTGAGAGGACTTCATAAATTTAGGGTCTTTTTAATTCCATTCCCACTGCTTATTATTATTATATTTACCAAAAGGGATAGAACAAAAGGACATATTTCTTCTCGTCCAGATGGAAGGTGTATGTTTATTTGGATTACATATGAAACATAAAAGCTGGTTAAAGCTCTGGGTGGGATGGGTCAGGTGCAGCATTTTTCTGATAATATTTCTTGGGAATTAGATTTGAATTGATTTACCCACATATTTGAGCACTGCTTTGGGCATCACTGCTGAGATCATGCAAAATTAAACAAGAAAAAAATGAGGCGCAATGAATTCAGAAGGGGAAGAAGGAAAAAGGGGAGGAAGGGATAGGAAGATCACATTTTGGCTAAAGAAAAGAGGTGATCTTATGGCTGAGGGAAAGTTTAACACATTTAGTGCATCTCAATTAAAGCAAACCTCTTAGATTGTGTCGAAAATGGAATAAACCCTTTAATTTTTTTTTTTTTTTTGCCTTTTTTCCCTAAGGTTCAACTTCTCCTCTTTACCTCCCACCCCACCCCACTTCCATAAAACACAACTCAGATTTAATGTTCTGGAGCAAATGTTTTTCAACAGACTTGACCTGCTTAATCTTCCTGACAATGTGCGCAGTTATGTTAGTAATTTGCATACTCTTGGGAAGGGATATGAGACACTAGCAAACCAAAACGCCCAGAGGGCAGCTATATGTTACAGTGGTAATCTTTTTCTTTTTTTCTCAATGTGTGTATGTCTGCTTAATGTTACCACGTACTATCGTAACACACTACTACTATGGTCTGATCTTTAAGAGCAAAAGTTAGAAGCTTTGTTAACTATTATTTCTCCTTTAACTCTGTCTCTTACGAATACACAATGGCTTCTTGAAAATTATCTTAAAAAGACTCTGATTAAAACAAAAACCCAATGACAACAACAAAGCAACCCCTTTATCAAAGGCTGCAGCATTTCTAGAAGTACCCTTCAACTCACTAGCTGGGAAGGAGAGTGCACTTTTTTTTTTTTTTGAGACGGAGTTTCGCTCTGTCACCCAGGCTGGAATTCAGTGACAATTCAGTGACAAGTCTCTGCTCATTGCAGCCTCCGCCTCCGGGGTTCAAGCAGCTCTCCTGTCCCAGCCTCCCGTAGCTGGTATTACAGGTGTGCACCACCACACCTGGCTAATTTTTTTATTTTTCATTTTTAGTACAGACGGGGTTTTACCATGTTGGCCAGGCTGGTCTCGAATTCCTGACCTCAGGTGATCCGCCCGCCTTGGCCTGCCAAACTGCTGGGATTACAGGCGTGAGCCACCACTCCTGGCCGAGGGTGCACCTTTGAGACTAGGTTTCTGCAGCACACATTCATTTTAGTAATCAAGGACATATTGCTGGATTTAGGACGTGAAGAACAAGTCAGGAGCAGATGCTCCAGGCTGCTCGAGGAGGAAGGGGACCACGCCTAATGAAATAACCAAGGATGTCCCAGTCAGGAAGAAATGTGTTAAGTTTTAAACCTGTGTCTTCGCTTTTGGAAGGAACCTGGAAAACGGACGCGGGTTTGCTTCTAATCTGCAGTCCTGCTTGCAGCCTGAGGAGGACGTAAAAAGCCTTGGGGCCAGACAGCCCCAAAACGGGGGCGTTTTACCCTCTTAACTTTCTCTCCCCTTCTTGACGCAGAGGGCGTATCTTCACGCCTCCTTTCCCCAGCCCGCGTTCCCGTTCTCCAACAACAACCTGCGTGTCTCCTTTAAGAGGCGGGGGCCGTCCCTCCCTTTCTCCTCCCAGTCTCCCGCCCTTCACACCTTGGGTGGGAAAAGAGTGTGGGGGCGGGGTAGCCGGTGAAGCGGGAGGGGCGGGATCACAGCGAGCGCTCCAATGGCCCTCGAGGCTGGCCACGGTGGACTCCGGCAGCCAATGAGCAGCAGGCGGGGAGGCGTGGCGGGGCGCTGTTGCAAAGCATCCAACGTGGGCCAGCAGGCGGCCGCGGAGCGCGGAGCCTAGGGGGTGTGTGCGGGCGAGCGGCCGGGGGCGGGGCTTGGGGGACCGGCCGGGGCTGGGCCGCGGGGAGGCGAACAGCAAGCGGCTGATTGTTCGGCTGCGAGGTCGGCGGGACTCTTGCTGCGCGGAGGAGCCGTGCGGAACCCGAGGCTGCGCGCGCGCGCGCGCTCTCTGGCCGCGGCGTGGGGACAGCGAGGCGCACTGGGGCCTCCCAGCGCGGGGCCGGCCGCGCCGTCCAGCCCGAGGTCTACGGCTTTGCGCTCCGAGCCCAGAGGAAGATGCCTGCCGGCACCGAGCTCGGGCTGCGGGGCTGAACGCCTGTCTTCCAGGCGCAGCGGCAGCACTGCCCTCGGCCGGTGTCGGTAGCGGCACTCGGCGTGCCCCGGGCGGACGAAGAGCGCAGGCTGGGTACACCTTGCCCGAATCGGCGGAGTTCGCAGCTAGCGCGGGCGGGCCGGCCGGCCCGGATGGGCGCGGGGTTTGCGGCCCCCGCCGGGTGCTCCGGAGCGGCCCGGGCACCGGGGGCACGCTGAGTGCCGGAGCCGCGGCCGCAGAGAGAACTTGGGGCGGGGGCCATGCCCCGGTGCGGAGTCTAGAGCCGAGCGGAGCGCCCCGCGGGCCCGCCCGCGTCTGCGGCCGTTCGGGTCCTCACAGTCCCCGCGCCCGGAGTTCGCAGCGCGCTCCAGACAAGATGGCGCGGCCGGTCCGGGGAGGGCTCGGGGCCCCGCGCCGCTCGCCTTGCCTTCTCCTTCTCTGGCTGCTTTTGCTTCGGCTGGAGCCGGTGACCGCCGCGGCCGGCCCGCGGGCGCCCTGCGCGGCCGCCTGCACTTGCGCTGGGGACTCGCTGGACTGCGGTGGGCGCGGGCTGGCTGCGTTGCCCGGGGACCTGCCCTCCTGGACGCGGAGCCTGTGAGTGCCGCCCTTTCCGCCCTCTCTGCGCCCCGGGGCTCTGTCACTTGGGGATGGAGCGGCGGGGGTTCGTACTCAGGGAGGGGGTGCGGACTGGGTTGTGTGTGTGGAGTTGTGCGTGCTTGTGCGTGTTGGAAGACTGTCAGGTTGGAGTGGCGGAAGGGAGATTCTGCGTGGAGGTCCGGGGGAGTAGGCGTGCGAGAGAGCCTGGAGAAGAAGAGCGTGCCTCGTGGGGTCTGGAGACGAGCGAGCGTGGGTCGTAGAGATTTGGGGGTTAGCCAGCACGCGTCGTGCGGGCCATCTGGGGGTGAGTGAGTGGGAGTCTGGAGCTGAGTGTGTTTGCGGGTGGGTGGGTGGGAAACGTCTGGAGAAGAGTGTGAAGAAGTCTGTGGGGGTATGTGGGTGCGTTTCCTTTTCCTCTCCTGTAATCCAACTATTTGGTGTCTGAGCTCCTTGGTCTTCCAGTGGGTAATGAATGAAGGTGACTGTTGGGTCCAGTCTTTCGTTTACATTATTTATTAGTTGATAGTGTGTGTAGCCGTCTCCTGATCCCCGAAGACCGTGGTGGCCTGACTTGCCTCTCTGTGCGGGGCAGAAGGCAGTCTTCCCCCGAGGACCCCTGAGTTAGAGGGCTTTGACAGTTCCTGGCGACCTGTGAGTGCTGGGAGTTTGTCCTTTTACGCCTGTTTGGCATTTTACGGAACTGTGTTCCAGACCCTTCCTGTGTGTTCCCTGGGGCCCCATTGGGCTTGATGATCCAGTGGGGTGGGGCCCACCCTCAAGACTCTCTCCTCCATAAATGGTGCAAATGAGTTTTGGAGAAGTGCTGCTTCAGGAGAGGGTGCCAGGGGCTTGGCTGATTTAAGCTGTTTGTTTCACCCGAAAGAGGTTCTTTTCTGTGCTGTCAGGATGTGGGCTTATTAGGACTTAGTGGGACACTTCTTACAGGAGATTTGACAGGAAAAAAAAGGCATTAGACTTCTGTGTAAACATGGTAGAATAGAATAGTCTTCTTTTACTTCTAACAAATCTGGTGCATGAGTCAAATCCCGTTCAGTTATGGGTAATTAGCATCTCTGTAGAACCATTAGTACCTTTCCAGAAAAGGCCTAGCTTAAATAGTCCGCATTTCGGTTGAATAATTGGACATTTTTCCTAGAACATAGGAAAGGCACAGCAGTAACCTTAGGCATGACTATGGCTGTTTTAAAAAGAGAAAACTGGTGTCACAAGTTGTAACCAGCACCTGTGGCTTGATCGAAGAAAATGTGGCCTGTGTTCTGACTACCGTGAAGGGAAGAAAAGTTAATTCCTTTTAAATGTAAAGATCCTGTACCTCTCAAAATGGGGCACGAATCTTTAACTTGGCCCGAGACACTGCTCCATGAACAAGTACTACAGAGTTCTGAAGACAACCAGGAACCCTTTAGTTACAGTTAGGTTTTCAATATCTACTTCTTCTGTGGAATTTACTGAGTTAGTGAAAATCAGTGGTCGTAGGGTGGAGGCAGAGCTTTTGTGAAGTACTGGGAGATAGAGCCCAGTATTGTCCTTAGGTAGTCTCTTATTTAGTCTGGGGTATTGTGATTTTTCCCTTACATACGGTAGTTTTTTTTTTTTTTTTTAAATAGAATCATGTGGGCAAAATCAGATTAACTTCTTAAGTGTTCACCTGTTGGAAGAGTGACTCCCAATGCCATGTGTCAGTGGCATTGTGGGGAAAGCACTTAGTTCCACAGAAGTAACTTCCCAGAGAGGGCAGGGTGTCCTCTTATTTGCACTTTCCTATGGTCACAAGATCCACTTTGCCTTGCCCTTTAATTTTTGGAGCAAAACATACTGGTTATTTCTTTAGGCTTTCTGTTGCCTAGGAGTGACATTTCACATGGCATAAATACCTTCAAAATTGAAGTCCTTCTCTTTTACTCACACATTTGATGATCGAGAAATACCAAAGTGGGTATTTTGAGCATCAGTAGACTTTAGTATACTGATTATGGTGTTGACTGATTCGATTTTAAGATATGAGCAGCATGATTTCTGGTTAGTATGTAGCAACACAGTATGCAGTGCAAAATGGCTATCCTTTGAAAAATATTTGTGAAGTTTTCTTATTTCTGATTAAGGACAAATCAAGCAAATGTGTTCTTTTTTTCTAGACTTCAGACTTCTGAATTTAAATCATTAGTCTCCGTGAGTCTTATTCTGGAATTTCCATAAGAGTATTTATATGGTTTGTATTCCTGGCTAAGATTCAGCAAGACTTTAGGGGAGAAAGTGTCTGTATATGATATAATGAAATATCTTGTAGTTTCACCAAGTTTACACGCTCTAAGCCCACGGTGTCTAGAAAATGCTTTGAGCTAGTTTATAAACCCATGAACTGGATTTACTGCAGCTAGTTCAAACAACTTCAGGCTGTGGGTTTGAGATAGCAGAGGACCTGTGGCTTTATGGGACCTTTTTTTTTTTTTTTTTTTTTTTTGTAAACAGTGCGTCTGATGTGGAAGTTGCTTCTAGGCCTGATATAAGAAAAATAAAACTTTTAAATAGTGAATGTAAATGCAGTGTGAATAGAAGAAACAGAATGGATAATGATAATCGGTTCATTTTTGGGGCCTGAGGATAACTTTTCAGCACAATAACTTACAGTTGTAGTAGTCAAGCCATAATTTAAGTCTCCCAGCCCATTACGTAGGTGAGATTGGCATGGTCCAACTAGCACATTCATAAATAGCACCAAGCCACTGCCAAGCCTTATTCCAACTTCCCAGAACCTGAGAAGAAGTTGAACTTCTTAGAACTCAGATATTTGCTTTCTTTGAAATTATTTTTGAGAGCATGGCTTCAGAAGCTATTTAAGAAGTATTAAATACAGTTTACCTTAGACTCTTACCTGTGCCGTAAATTTCAGCAGTGTTTAGTCACAAAATGTTGCTAGTTTAAATGTCCTGAGAGCTGAATGGTAGCCCATTGGGATTGGGATTAGGATTAGGAAGGCAGGCCTAGAGGAAGAACAAACCCTGATTTTTGTTCTCAGTGTGGAGTGAAGATGACAGAGCATTCTAAAGCAAGGATATTCACAAAAGTGTATACCAAGTGTGGTTATCCTAAGCCACATTAAGATGAGTTTATTGATTTTGATCTCTTTGTACTATGTGTTTGCAATACCAGATCAGTTAGCTTAAATCTAACCTTGCCAGTTTTGGCAAAGAAGTGGTACTTATGATTACCTTAGAAAATAAACACCAACTGTGGTTGCCATTGTGGTTGGGAAGCAAAGAGGGCCTTTGTCTTTCAAATTTTACAGCTGTGCTGGAAGGCCCAGGTGTGCAGGGTGTTGTGAATTAAGGGTTTGGAAAATACTTTCCATCCTGTTTATGCAAATTAAGTTTAAAGTGCAGATCACCAAATTGTTCTGGAACCTAAACTGAGATTCATGTTTTTTTTTTAAAGTAGATTGTTGTATGGATGGTCCTGAAATATTTCCTTCTCCATATCACTTAAACTCAACAGACTTTGAAACAAAAGTCTTCCGATTTGTGGGACAGGGAAGAACCTGGGTTGTTTGGAATAGGGAGCATTTTAAACACAGGTTAATTGCCAAGAATACAGTCTGAAAGGTGCAAGTGCTCTTAGAGTTTCAGGGAACTTTAGCTTGAGCTCAGAGTCCTTTTCTTTTGCAACAAGTGTCTTCCCTCTTGTTGGGGGATAACTTGTCTGTTGATAGCTCTCTGACAACTTTTTTTGAGTAAGGTGAGATTTCTGGCAAATAATATTGGTTGTCGTGAGAAAAAGGCACACTGTTTAAGTCTTGCTGATATGAAATTGTGGCCGTAATATCTATTCTTTGAGTACTGCTAAAGTAGGAAGTGTCCAGAGATTCCCAGCGCCCCATGTAAATTAACTGTGTATTGGCACACAATGTCCCTCTTGCCTTTAGGACATGTCAGAACTGTTCCTGCCCCGCTTTTCAAGGGACTGTTTTAAAAAGTAGTGTATTGTCTCTTTGCATAATTATATTTGGTTACTAGATTTTACAGACTTTGGACTTTTGAACATATTATCAGCAGTAATTCTCGGAACCATCTTCAGAAAGATGAAGAAAAATTAAGTGTAGTGTGATGAGAGCTGGTTCCTAGTGGATGTCCTCATGTCCCATCTCCCCAGCTCTGCACCGTTAGCTGAAAGCTTTCCTCCCTCCAGTGTTAATTACTTTGCCTGGGTTCTCCCTGCAGCTTCCCTGAGTCCATTGGGACGGCCTCTGGCTGACCTTTCTCTCCCTCAGACACCATGATCACAATGAAAGGGCCTCTCCCGCTTCTGCAGGGGTGTCTCCTTGGTGCAAAGTCTTCAGCCTCCTCTCTTTCAGGGTGGACAGGAATGCAGGAGAGAGCACTGGGGTTTTGTGTGACTTAACAATGCACCTGGCCCAGTGCTGTGCACCTGCTAAAGCCCTGAAGGTCTGTTAGATAGGAAGGCTGGGTGGAGGTTGTTTAAAATAGCCTATAGTTATTTAAAAAGTGGCATGCACAGGAGAGGGAAATCTAGAAGAGGGATTCATTGAATTGAAAGTTGTTATATGCAGTAAAGGATGTTGGTTGTATCAGAGTCTTTCTTTCTTCTTTTCCTCGTTTGTTTAAAACATAAAAGGGATTCCTCTGACCTACCCCATAGGTAGAAGGACTTTAAGTTTCACGAGCAAGCCTAACTTTCAATTCCTTTTGAATGAGCTATGTGACATTTACTCACTGGGTACGTTCCCCCTCCTCAGTGACTGCAATTTGAAACCCTGGGGGTCTTTTAAAAGCGAACAGAACTCTGGGCCGTGTTAATATTCAGAGCTGTTTACAATGGATGCAGTTTCAAAGGCTGATGGCATTGTCTTGAGACAGGAGGGAGGACGGGTGGAGGAAAAATTCCCAGGCAGGGAAGGGCAAATATCTAAAAATCTCCAGTGTTTACCAGCCTGTGGGAAATTTAGGGACCGTTACTGTTATTTTTTATGACTTAAGCATGACACTGAGCCACTAGGGTTCATTCTATCTACCTCATGGCTTCAGTTCTTGTATGTCAGTTATGTGGTTATCTTGTGCTTTTGTTTCAAGTTAAAGTGTGGAAATTGGTAAGAAACTCAGATCTTATCTCCTCTGGAAAGAAATAGAGCACTTTGAAGACCAGTGGTTAACATTTTTATAATAGTTTACCTCTGGGACCTGCATTTATGTTTTGCTCAAAGAATTTGATATAGCTGCACAGTTTAGAAGAGCAGTCCCGACTGACCAATTAATTGTCCAATTATGACTAGGACTGAGAAGTTTTTTGCTGAAATACTTGATACATGACCATTCTTATTAAGCAAAATGAATGGATCAATAAAGATTGCAGAAAAAATTTGCAGTTTATTGATGGTCTAATTTCTAGTTGAAAGTCGGCAATTTGTGTCTCTTTTTTGTAGGGGGTGGTGGGTATGCTTGTGAACTTTTCTTATACAAAGGCTTTTTGCTTTATATGTTCTTATATTCTTATATTTTGTATAATTTGTTATCAATGGTTTTTACCTAAGTACTTTATGCATAGTCTTTTGAAACACAAGTTATAACTTCAATCTGTTCATAGAAGTCCTTCAGTTTTTTAAGCTGTTTCTCCATTTCACTGGGTTTTATACTTTTCATTTCCTGCCTTTAGTTCTTTATATCTTCTAAATGGGCATTTGCTACCCAGCTGTCTCCTGGTCTCCATTTGGGTTATTGACTGGGGGAGAGAATGGGCTAGGGACAAAGCTTTCCTCACCTTTACTGTGTTAAATATGCAGGGGCTCTTGCCGCTGGTGGTCACACCCAACTCACACTCGTCATTAAGGAGTGGCGGTGAAGGGGTTGAAAGTTAATTCTGTGGTCCATCCCTGGCACCTCCAGTCTACAGCTACATGTGTGATTTTGGGCAAACCTCTTCATGTCTAAAAAGACAGAAAAATGCTCTATCTTATAGAAGCTGTGAGGACAAAGTTAGATGATGCCTATATTTAGCTAGGTTCCTCAACTTGGGTCCATCTACTTTATGATGATTCTGGAGCACAATTTGAAGGTTAAAGGCCTCAGTAGCTCCAATTTATTATCCTGTCTCACAGCCAGTCTCTCCAAGCCAGATTCCTTCCTTCTTCCCTTCCCCTTCCCTCCCCCACTCCCTTCCCTTCCCTCTTTCTCTTTTTCTCTTTCTTTTCTTTTTCTTTCTTTCTTTCTCTGTTTTCTTTTTCTTTTTTCTTTCTCTCCTCCCTTCTTTCTTTTTTTCCTTCTTTCCCTCCCTCCCTCCCTTCGTCTTTCTTCCTTTCTTTCTCTTTCTCTCTCTCTCTCTTTTTTTTCTTTCTTTCCTTTCTTTCTTTCTTTTCTTTCTTTCGACAGGGTTTCACTCTGTTGCCCACGCTGGAGTGCAGTGGTGCAATCAAGACTCACTGCAGCCTCAGCCTCGTGGGCTCAAGCAGTCCTCCCATCTCAGTTGCCTGAGTAGCTGAGACTAGAAGGCTCATGCTACCACACCCAGCTTCCAAGCCAGATTGCTGGTGACAGAGGCTTTCCTGGGAAATGTTTACCTTTCTGCTGTGAAGGAGTCTTTTGGAATGGGAAGATGGCAGCCTTCTCCTGTGAGTTTTGGTGATATGTATGAAGCGGCCTTCTCCCATGGATTTTTGGTGATATGTATGAAGTGCCACAAGTGAACCTCATGTACCCTTGGAAATCTTAGCCAAACAGGCAGGAAGCTATGAACAGTTGCAACAGATTATATAATTAGCAAAAATTATTGAGGTATTTTATAAATCTATTCCAGTTGTACAAATAGTTATGTCTGTTTACCACTATCCTTTTGGAAGGGAGGCAGGTATGGGAAGGTGGCAGGGAAGTGAGAGGCCCTTAAACTAATCATTTTATCCTATTATTTCCCAGGGTTTCATTGAAACTGAGCCCTACCAAGGTGCAAGTAGCACCTCTCAGTCAATAGCTTGGAAAAATGCAGGTGTGCTCTTCCAAACAGGGTTAAGTTACAGACTTTAGGGCTAACTGAATCCTCACTGTACCCGCTTCTCTTTGGAAAACCTTGAGGGAGGAGGGAGGAGGGAGGACAGGAGACAATTGTGGAGTTGTATGCAAAGAACATTTTTCATTTGTTTTGGTCTGTTTGGAATTGCATAGTAACTTTGTAGGGGACACAGGCGGGGAACACAGGGTCATTTGAGGAATCTGGCAAGGATGCCACCTGAAAAGCTGTTTACTGTTTGCTATCACTCCTTGTGCACCTGTACCTGAGTTCCTTCCCCAGTGAATGGCCATGATTCACAGCCTTGCCCACGTGAACGGCCACGATTGTTTTCGTCTTTATTACTATTTAATCTAGCATAACCGGTAAGGCCCATTGTGCGAACAACCAATCTGTTCATTTCTGCAAGTCCTAATACATTTTGGTTTCCTTATGAACCAGGATGCAGGTTCTAATTACTGCTTGTTCAGTTTGTTTTGGCAAAAGGTGACATTTAGAGGGTTTAAAGAAAGCATGGCCTCTTTTTAAGTGTTTTGCGTTGATTAGTTTTTGAACTTTTGTGGTCAAAAGTTCTAATCTCTTATCTTTTATGATCTGCATTCTCAAGATCTCACATTATTGGGAAGAAAATGAAGGAAATGAGTGAAGGTCTCTCTTACAAGCAGAATTAGCTGGACTTTGAGAAACACGATGAACGTAATGCAGGGTTTTTCTTCTTTTTTTTAGCTGATTAGAAAAAAAACAACTCACAACTTTATTTTCTAAGACTCCTTTATGCAGCATTTAACAGCTTCCCCCTCCCTGTTTTGCTCCTTCCACCAATTTATAATTTGCCATTGAAATATTTTACTGCTTATCTTGGTCAAAGCATACATTGCACTGAACTTCTTTTCTTCCGGATTACCTACTTGATGATAGCCTGTTAAATGCAATGAGAAGGATTGAACACTTCTGAACTGGAGGATAGATAATCTTGCTGTTGTTTCAAATCTTGTAGTTCCAGTGCTCTTTTGTTTGAAAGCATTTGTCTCTCAAGCATTAGCACTTTGGGCTGGATAACAAGAAATTAACAAGCTGGGCTCTGCTTAGAGAAAACTTACAACTGATTAGAAAGTAAGCTGTTGCAGGTACAGCTTCTTTTTCTTGAGAGATGATCTGAAATACATAGCTTTTAGAAAAAATTTTGAATTAAGGGAACAGTTGATATGCAGGCAGGTAGTTTAAATAAACTAACTCACTTCTGTTGCTCTGGAGTGTTTTTTCTTACCTTTTGAATATGGAGAAAGGTAAATATCTACACAAGTGGACAGAATAATGTAATGAACTCTAGGTATCTGTCACCCATCTTCAACAATCATCAGCTGTCTTATTTGATCTATTTCCCAATATGCTGCTGCCCTTCCATGTTATTTATTTATTTTTTCTTTGGAAATAAATCAAAGGCATATCATTTTATCTGCAAATGTATAGGTTTTTTTTAAGTTAACAGCTTTATTGAGATATAATTTATATACCATACTATTTACTGTAGGGTGGTTTTAAGAAATTGGAAGTTTTGAAAAAATTGACATTCATTTTAACTGTGTTTTTCCAAAGGGCGTTTTGGTAAGCTATATATTTACAGAATGTTTATTGGGCACATTCTGTGTGCACCCTAGTTTATATGTTCTCAAAATACAGATTTTTTTTCTTTTGTAGGAGGTGTTTAGCAAGCTCTTTTGTGCTAGTCCTCTGCCAGAATGTGCAATTCTGATTAACCTTCCACTTTCTCCACATAGCTCTTACTTGGGAGGTTTCTACCAAGCTATTAATTGTTGATTAAAATCCATTAGTGAACAAACATAATTAGAAATGGAATAGATCATTTAAAAAGTGATGTCTCAGATACTGTTGTTTAGTAGAGGGATAATTAGCCGTTGGTTGTAGTTAAGTCATGAGTCTGAATTGAGTTAACTATTGTTTACTTTGTAAGGCCTGACCCTCCAGCTGTGGCTACTTGAGGCTGCTTTAAATAGAGTTAGAGGCAGCCTGTAAGAAAAATCTTCAAAAAGCAAAGAACTAGGTTCCTGGAACCCTCTGTGCTTGATTTAAACTTCACACAGATTTGAAAATGTGTTCTCCAAGTAGCTGCTGCATGGTTTGTTTTATTTTATAAAAGTCCATAGTTTAATTTCTCCTCAGTCCGGTACTTTGTTGGTGAGGGGGCTTCTTTAGAATGGATTTTTTGCTAGCTGCAGCTTCATTTAGGAATCTGAGTGGGAATTACTAGTCCTCCAAATTCCATTCACTTTATCCTAGTTTTTGGAATGACTTCCATCTTCTATCTGTGAAAATCAAATTCCAGGTAGATTATGGAGTGTTCGGTGGCCTTAAAAGCTGTCCAACATGGTCAGGTTAAACTGGTGGATCTGTGAAGCTTAATTAAATTTATATGATAACCGATTATACACCATTTACAGTGGGTTCTCTGTTTAGAAAAGTGGAAGCACGCTCCAATGCATTTTTTTTTTTTAAATTATGGGGCAGAAAAGCTTAGTATTGAGAGATTCTATGAAATTAAGTGCTGTTCTGCAAATTAGGAGAACACCATTCTTTCATCTGGTTTTAGCAGTGTGGTGGTACCTTGACCCAGCATCATGCCTCCGTCTTAGTTTTCGTTTTATTTTTAATTAAGAAGAATTTTTCTCTGTGTCTGTGGTTTCCTCCCTCCACCTGGGCTGGTGTGAGTTTCTGGCACACAAGCTCCCAGTGCTTGCAAAACTTATAAACAGTCAGAAGAGCTCGTTGCTTCCAGGAAGTGAATTGTTGATGCAATGAAGTGATGGATGCAGAGGCTGCAGCTCGAAGGGAGCAGGGTTTCCTTCCATCTTGGAGGAGGGGAGATCCAGAAAACAAGCTGACATGCCCTGTAGTTATTAAGATCTGCCTCATCCCAAATTCCTCTGATTGTTTTCTCAGATTTGGAGTCTGTGTAGGACTCTTTGCTTTGGGTGGTTTGGCCTTATCCAGGGCTATGCTTTACCCAATGGAAAAATCAGAGACTCTTCTATGGAGATTTTTGGGTTCTTTCACAAGGTCATTTGAAACAATACTTAGAAATGAGTAAATTATATTCATTTCATTACTATCCTAAAATAAAGATTGGCTGACCTTATTATTTACTTGGGAGAAACTTTATGTGAAGTCGTGGTGCTCAGAATGTCTTTCTGGACAGAAAGGAGACCACGTTTTCATGGAGTTTCTTAAAGGGGTGCTTGCCCAAAGAGGCATAAAAATGATTCACCTGAGAGGAAAAAATTAATTTTCTTAAAGTCATGAAAGTGAGGATGTGGTAGAATGGGAAACTAGCTCATGGCTGGGCCTCAGGAGACGTTGGGGTTTCGTCCCAGCTCTGCCACTGATTGGCAGCATAACCTTGGGCTAGTCACTTCATTTCCTGTCTGTAAAGGGATGTATAATTTCTAAGACCCCTCATTTTTAGGTTCATGATTCTATTCTAATTGAAGCAAAAAGGGAGTAAACTTATATTTCATTGGATGGTAAGAATTAAATTGATCTGTATCTAGGATACTTAAACATTCTCTCTCTCTCTGTGTGTGTGTTAGACACACACACACACACACACACACACATACACACAAAGGGTCCCACTCTGTCACCCAGGTTGGAGTGCAGTGGCGCAATCATGGCTCACTATAGCCGTGACCTCCCAGGCTCAAGTGATCCTCCTACCTCAGTCTACTGAGTAGCTAGGACTACAGGCATGTGCCACCACACCTGGCTAGTTTTTATTTTTTGTGAAGATGGGATCTTGCTGTGTTGCCCAGACTGGTCTTGATCTCCTGGGCTCAAGTGATCCTCCTGCCTTGGCCTCCCAAAGTGCTGGGGTTACAGATGTGAGCTACCATGCTAGGCCAATGTTTGCTACTTCTGAGTGAAATTCTCAGATGGATACCATAAGCAGCAAAGAGAAAAAAGGGTATGTGCATGCAGAGTCTCAATGAGGGACCCTTTTGTGAGCCTTGAGATATTATTGAGGAGGAGTGAATACTCCACAAAGAAAGTGGTGCTTTCCTTCATTTTTACCTCCTTTTCCCCTCTGGCCCAAAGAAAACTGTGGAGGCTGGTACAGATCCACTTTCGATCTTTGATTTAGAATTTTAAGAACTTAGGTAAAAATTTAAAGAAAAAAAACCAGGAAAATAAATTACAGGCATGTTTTCCCAAAGGGTCCTTTCTCAGGGCCACTGCAGGCAGCATCTTTCTCAGGCAGTCCTTCAGTGAATACTTGCCATAAGTGAAGTTGTAAATGATGCTGAGAAACTGCCTTTAAGGACTGGATGGGCCACCTGTCACATTCTATAGTCATGGCCACAGGAAGGGCAGCTACTCACTGCACTGCCTGTTCTTTCTGGGCCAGCTTGCCATCCCTTTTACCAGGGAGATCTTTCGTGTATCCCTTTCAAGATAGAAACTCAGCCAATTAACATGTACAGCCTAGTGGCTTCCTTTTTCTTTTTTGAGGCAGAGTCTCACTCTGTCGCCCAGGTTGGCGTGCAGTGGTGTGATCTCAGCTGACTGCAACCTCTGCCTTCCTGGCTCAAGTGATTCTCTTGCCTCAGCCTCCCAAAGAGCTGGGATTACAGGCGCCTGCCACCAAGCCAGGCTAATTTTTTTTTTTTTGTTTTTTTTTAGTAGAGACAGGGTTTTACCATGTTGGCCAGGCTGGTTTTGAACTCATGACTGACCTCAAGTGATCCATCCACCTCAGCGTCCCAAAGTGCTAGGATTACAGATGTGAGCCACCACGCCCGGCTGTGGCTTTTTCTAATTTTGAAGTCTGACTCTGTTTTTGGCCAAATTCATATTAAATTTACCCATCTACCTAGGTTTGCATTGGTTACCTCTTAGTTACACTGTTTTTGAAAATCTTGAAAATTATGACAGTAATTGGACTCCTTAAAATACTTTTCATGGAGAATCTAGAAGCTTTTATTTTCTTTGTTCTGGATGTCCACTTTTCTTCGACGTGGAATTTGTTAGTGCCTTCAGTGGAAATTCTTGGGCTTTTCTTTTCCTTCCACTCATTCTTTATCGTGTAAATTTTCATAAAACGAAACTTCCGGATTTAAAATTTATTTTTATTTTTATTATTGTTTTCCGGAACAAATTCTTGGAATTTGGAGTTTTGTTTGGGGATACAACTAAAATGCAATGAAGTTGGAGGAACAGTTAGTGGTCTGGAACTTCTTGACAGAAGTTTAACAACAATTAGGGACTACTTTAGGAATAGAGTGTCCAAAAAACTAGACTTTACAAAAAAAATTCTCCCTTTAAGAACCAAAGATGACCTTTTTCCATTGTGCTTTCTGAGCTCAAAACAGGCCAAATGATGTTCCCACCCTTCTTCGAGCCTCGTGTGTCAGTGTCACACACTCTCCCTGTTACTCACTTGGTCTCGTTCTGGTGAATTTATTGTTGACATCTCGTCCTTTCCCGGAGGAATCTCTGAGTCTATCTGATTAGGTAACTCTTCACACATCCCTGTATGTGTGTATGTGTGTGTGTGTGTTTCTCTCCACTTAGACTTGAAAGCAGCAGGGATCATTCAATTTCATGTACCTAGGAGTCCCTTGATAATTATTTGTTTATTGCCTTACCACTTTGTCTTGGAGCTTGGTACATTCTTTCAGGGCAGAACGGATCCCCCAGTTTCATTGTTTCTCTAAGGGGTTCTGAGGTTTACCCCTGAAGTGTAATTTTTCCTGATTGGCCTGTGTGGAGGACTTCATAGGAGTGTTTTTAGAATTTAAATATCAGGAGTAAAAGGCCATTTTCTTTGTGCTGAGGGTCTGTTTTCCCCTCTGGAGCCAGCGGCTAAATGCAGAGGCTTTCTTCAATTGCTGTTGCTTC
The DNA here is from genome assembly GCF_000001405.40 of Homo sapiens. Taxonomy (NCBI): domain Eukaryota; kingdom Metazoa; phylum Chordata; class Mammalia; order Primates; family Hominidae; genus Homo; species Homo sapiens. Next base: position 66,487,244 of record NC_000003.12, on the reverse strand, counting down.
TTGCAGTGTGGCCCCTCAATGAGAAGTCATAGCTTGTGGTTTGTCTGATTTTATATGTCAGAACTTTTAGAGAGAATATTTGACCTAAAACAAAAATTATGGATAGTCCTCTCTTCCTTTCCCATTTCTCCTTATTTTCTACTTTCTGCTTGAGAACCACTTCAAAGAATCAGATGTGTTGGTGCCAGACGCCGTGGAGTTATTGTTAGAAGAATTTGGAAATATAATTGAAAGCAAACTTTGTTGAGCAAAGCAGATCTAGGCAAGTTTTTACTTTGAGGGCGAAGGGAATTCCAAGTTTTTCCTCTATTTGGAGCTGATGTCTCAGAACACTTGTTCTGTGAGATGAATCATCTGTGAATTCTACATCTGGGAGTTATATATTGGGAAATGGCATTCTTTTTAAATGTAGAAGAAACACAAAAGCGTAAAGTTACAGTGTAGTTGGAAAATTCTAGTCAGAGTTTAAAATACTAGCATTGAGGTGAAATTGGCAGAGTGATTGGACGTGAGTCTGTGATACCTAAAATAGACATGTCCATACATGGAAAACAATACGATAGCCACACTTACTTATTGTGACCCTTTTCGTTTGTTTTGAGACATTTTTAAAAAGTCATAAACATCAGCTATTCAGAATCATTAGTTGAGTCGATTGTGACTTGAGAATCAGAATTTAAGCGTTTGTCTTGAGCTCTTTAAGTTCAGGTGCCTTGCTAACCAGTGAAAAGCCCAGAGCAGTGCAGTATTTCAGGGTCTTCAGGGGAAGATAATGTTGTGTCCTTGTCTTCTCAGAGTCCTGCATTCCAGGCATCTGGTTATGAGGGGCCATGGTTGTGGGGATGCAGCAGCTGTGCGGTTCATGACGCACGGTGGTTAAGAGGCAGCTCTGGGGCCTGGCTGCCTGGGTGACCTTGGCAATTTACTCCACTTCAGTTTCCTTTTCTGTAAAATGGGGATAATTGTAGTGCCGACTTCCTTAAGCTTGTTATAAGGAAAAAAATGAAATATTTAACACAGGGCCTAACACACAAGCAGAAGCTTGAGGAAGGGTAGCTATAATGTTATTATTATAACTGTCGCAATAATAGTGTACCTTTCTGCAGCAGGATATATCTGTGTTAACTGATCATCACCATCTTAACTCTATGAAAAATATTGTCTCTGTTGTATACATGAGGCCCAGAGTAGTTGAATGACTTGTTTAGAGTCTAGCACTTGCCAGTTAGAATTCAGACCTGCGTGTACATGTTTAGAAGAAAATACGGTAAGACTAGCACTGCCTTCTTTCTGGCCTCCCTTTGACGTCTCTGAATTCCTGGAGGCCGATTGGTCTTTGGTGGCTTGAAGCACCTAGTGTAGTTCTGGCTGTACAGCTGGTGCTCTATACATGGTGTCTTGAATGTGATCTTGAAGAGCGTGTTTCTTTGTTGGTAGGCGTGTGTGTCAGATCCATTTTTGGTTTGCCTGTTTGGTAAAGGGGGTGGTAACATGCACATATGTTTTGCCATCTGTTGTTTATTGTTTCTGTTAGGTTGTGGTTTGTGTTCCTGTTCCATGTTCCTTTGGTTTCTGGAGCAACTGCGAATATTATATGCTTGGGGATCAAAAAAAGTAAACTATTTATAAACAGTAAAGTATCCTTGGGTTTGGAAAGTGTTTTTCTCAAATGCGTGTATATTTGTTGGCTTTATGATCATCTCACTGATGAATCGTTAGATAATTTGCAGACTGAGACACATCTAAAAGATGGGCGAGTCATGGTCCAGCCTTGTGTAACCAGCTCACAGACAGCCTTGGTGATAAGGCCCTGGTGTTAACGCTGACCCGAGTGGTGTATTTTTAACTCAAGAACATATAAACAGTTTAGCCTGCTGATGGAGTTTATGCACCGCCTGAAATCTTTGGCATGCCTTGGATTTGTGGCTCTGTAAGATGTACGTAGTCCTGGGAGAGTGCTGTGGCCGCCAGTGACCCACTGCCCCCACCCTTCATTCAAAAGAAAAGGAATGTAGCAGCAAGATGGAAGGAGAAAGGTGGAATTTATCAATAATTTTGTATGATAATTTTTCCTTTTTTTTTTTTTTTTGAGAGGGTCTTAATCTGTCACCCAGGTTGGAGTACAGTGGTGTGATCTTGACTCACTGCAACCTTTGCCTCACAGGTTCAAGCAATTTTCCCACCTCAGCCTCCTGAGCAGCTGAGGCTACAGGTGTGCACCACCATGCCTGGCTAATTTTTGTATTTTTTGGGGGTAGAGACAGGGTTTCATCATGTTGCCTAGGCTGGTCTCGAACACCTGGGCTCAAGCAATCGCTGGCCTCGGCCTCCCAAAATGCTGGGATTACAGGTGTGAGCCACCATGCCTAGCCTGTAGTATAAATTTTATCTTAAATTTTTTTTGTCATTACTATTTCACTTTGTTATGCAGACTTTAGAGGGAGGAGAGAGCTTTTTACTCACATCTGTTTGCAACCCCTTGCCCCCAGCTGTAGGGGTCTTTGCAGAGTTGCAAATTGGAGCACATGAATCCCATTGTTTAAAGCTGTTACTGTCCACCTGCCCCTCATCGCGCTTCTTACCTGGCCCCACCTGTCCCAGCCACCACGTGGGGCTTTTTAAAAAGACTTTTTAAATACCACCATGTCCCATGTCCCTCACCCACCATTTCCTCTGTCTGGAGAATGGGTCTTCCCTCTTCGCCTTGCAGATTTCTGTTCATCTGTCTTAAACGTTTCTCCCCATAGAAACCATGGCTGACGTTCCCTTTAAGTTAGATTCCCATCGTGAGGATTCTGCAGTGCTATGTATAGAAGTTTTGTGTGAATGTTTGATTCGTTTCTGACTACCCCATTAGTCTGTAAGCTCCCTGAATGCAGTGACTGGCTTTGTTTCCAATCCACCATTGTATTCCCAGAATCTAGTGTGAAGCCTGTGACACATTAAATGCTCGTGACAGATACCAGTGTAGATAGAGATAGTGGCATTCATTCTGTAGAGTCCTGTATGTCCTGTGGAAATACCTCTGCCAGATAGAATAATTCAGACCTCCCAGGCTTCATCTGTGTATTTCCTGAATATACCTTGCTTGTTTAGTAGCTTCCTATACCCCTCACCACCCTCCACCAAAGTCTCTTAAGTGTTGAGAAACTTAGAAGAATGGAAAGAAAGAAGAAACAAATAGAACCGAAGTTGAAAAGATGACAGGCTGTTTACCTGCCACATTTAGAATTGGCGGTCTTTTTGGTCTCTCTGAATTTTGGAAAAGTCCCATATGCAAGAATTGTCACTGAAGTGGCTTTGTAGTTAAAGCAGTGCATGTGAACTGTCCCCACATGAGGTCCTCGGGCGCCTCGTCCCTGCTGGATTGCTGGTGGCTGTCCTTGGCAGGTGGGCCAGGCTCAGGCGCTCTCCTCTGTGTTGCGTTTGGCGAGGGAGCCCGCGGTGCCCTTCCCAGCTGTTGACATGGTCTCTCATCTGCTCTTTTGCTGGAGCCGCGTTTTGGAGCCTGCTTTTCCAGAGTTGACACTGCAGGGGAGGGTGGCTTCTTCCATAGACCGAGGCTGTCTAGACACCCTTCCCCTTGTGGTTATTCTGCTCAGTTTATGCTGAGCCCTCGCCAGGCAGCTGGTTTCGGTTGCTTGAGCTCTTACTTTGCTCAGGCCTCTGCTTTGACAAAAAGGATGACCAGGCCAAGGTAGCTTTTCTCCCTCTTTGCTGCTGGCAGAGAGAAAGACTGCTTTCCTTGACCAGAGGGAGCTGTGAGAACACTAAGGACAGGTTACCCTGCCCTCTGTGGACCCAGCCCAAGTAACTATGTAAATTGATAGAAGCTTCTATGGCAGGAGACTTCAGGCAGATACATTTCTAAATCTGGGCCTTTTTAGCTTGGACTTCAGATGTGAGACATTGGCCCCCACCCCCATCCTCAGACACGCAGGATCTCCATCCATGGCAGAGAGAGCACTGCGAACCCAGCTGGCAGAGCTCCTCTCTGGGCAGTCTCCCAGGCATGCTAGCAAGGGGCAATGGGAAGCTGTGTTCTCCCTGATGAGCTCAGCCTCACATGTTTCTTTTAATGGCTATCGAGATCTTGGACTGTGATGCTGTAGGGAAGCCTTTTGTCCCCAGTGAGCTGGAATAGTCTAGGCAGATTACTGTCTTGGTGGCCTTACGGGGGGTGCTGGAGGGGGTGCTATTGATCTGTTAGCCTAGTTACTATGTCTTTATTACTTTTGATTTTCTGGTGACAAATGTTAGGCATTTATTGAATAAAGAAGAAAGTACAAAAGAAAAAACAACTGATTTCATTGTTCGGTGATAAATATTATCACTGGATAGTGTATAAATTTCCAGTAATGTGTGAGGCTGAATACCTATTTCAGTTATGTTTTAAAGACTCAATATCTTGAATATTTTCCCTGACTTTAAGCAGTTTTTAAAATGTGCTTTAATATTTATTGTATAATAAATTATTACACAACTTACATAAAACTTGTAAAGTTTCTCTGATATTGGGCATTTAGGCTTTTTCCTAAGCTTTGATAGACATCCTTATGCATAAATGTTTAGCCATTTATTTCCTTAGGATGAGTTACCCAATTCAGATAGCGCTGGATATGCAGATTCTTAATATTTTCGGTACCACTGCCTCTGAGAAAGAGGCTGCCAACTTACATGTGAACTTGTGCTTGTCCCACACCCTCACAAACATTAAATGCTGTTTATTTCTGTAATCATGTACCAGTTTAATGGATGGAAATTGCCTCAGATTATTTTAATCTGCATTTCTTTGGATGTTGAGGCTGAAGACTTTACACAGGATACTCCCAGATATTTCCTTTTTCAGTTTCCTTCCTTTGTTGATGCTCAGCCCAGTACATCATCTGCTGTCCTCCACTGTGGTCTTTGGGCTTGAGCACAGTACATCTCTTTGGTACTAGGGAAGCTGTGTTTCTGAGAGAGCACAGGTGTAATTGCATAGAAAACTGTGCTCTCAACAGGCATGTCACATGTTTTGACTCTGAACCAGGACATCTTTGGGTTCTTCTTAAACAGATGTGGACGCGTGTTGCGGAGGGGACTGTTGCAGTGGCTCTGTTGATCCTGTACTGCTGCAGCCTTCTGCAGAGCCAGCCTGCCTGTGCCCAGGCTGCCCGGTCTGTGGCCAGGGTGCCTGGTACCTACAGCTGGTAGGAATCAGCGCAGATTAGCGTGGCTGAGAACCTTTCAGGAACAGCTTCCAGCAAATGGAAATTATTTTAAAACAAATTTATGTGGTTTTTCTGTCAAACCTACTTGGAGCATAAACAAGGTTGAATTGTAAGCTGCTTCCCTTCTGCAAGCGAGCCCATGTTTAGAATGTGGCTTTCAGCAAAGTAAACATGGTCTCGAAAGTGAGTTGTCATTGTATGCATGTGCTTTGAAAAGTAAAAGTAGTGCACTGAACGAGCATTCTCATAGATAATTGTGATAGAGTTTTAGACATCCCTTCTCGTTTATTTGTCTTCCTGCCACAAAGATCACTACTTCCTGTAAAGGTTTTAAAGGTAAGGAGTAATTTGGTATTGAAAGGATTAAGGGAAAGAAATGCCAGGTCAGTTTCTGTGGTGAGAAGCATTTTAATTTTGCTCCTTTGCCATGGGGAATATAAAAAACATCTTTTGAAATACTTAATTCTGTGTGCATGCGTGTGTGTATACACGTGTGTGTGTGTGTGTGTGTACATAAACCCTCCGGTCTGTGCATCTTTGAATTCTCTGCCAATTTCGAGGTGGTTCCCCCCACCCTAGGGACAATGTCGGCTTTATTAAATTGGGCACAGCCTCCCTAGAAGGTGAAACAATGCTTTTAATGTTCTGATTATATATTAATGAACAACCAGGCCAAGGGGCACTTGCCAAAAAAGCTACAAAGTGAGAAAGCCACCAATATCAGAGTGAACTTTGCACTCTGAAAGTGTGAATGATGTTGGGTGAAAGAGTTTATGGCGCAAGGGGAGCAACTGGAATCTCTTTGATGTTGTGTAGCATCCTGGCCCCATTAGACTTTGGGCCTTCCCGTTTAACTGCATCTTTGCTGGCGAGGGCAGTGCTGAGGTGTGGTCTGAAATATAGAGGGACCTCAGCCACAGAGGACTGGCATACCTGTGCTGGGCAGGGGGACCGTTGGCCATTTCTATCTGTTTTCAATCAACTTCAACAAATTTTAATCTAACACTGAAACATATAGTTTCACACCCCCACCCTCCCAGCTTTTACTCTGGAGGGACTTTCCAGAAATAGCATGCTATTATTCTCAAATCCGCCTGCCCCAACCACAGAAAAGGGTTAGATCTTAATCTTAATCTAACTGATTTATTTTCTCCCCATTGTGGTGACATTTCCTCCTGCCTTCTGGCTTGGTCTTAATTTTTGAATGGCCACTGGGAGCCCTGCTTTCCACAGCCTTGCTAAATAATTTCTCAAAGGAAGAAAAGAAATGCTCTTTCAAAATGCCAAGAATGTGTTTTCTGTGGGAGGGTAAACTCTAGCTGAGGTTTTCTGCATCTGATGGACTCATGGACAGAGCTTGGGAGCGAGTATAGGACAATCTGGGAAGCACACAGAAGCTGATGTTCTTTCTGGGTGTTCTTTTGGGTGTTCATTTATCTCCTGGCACGTAGAGGGGCAGTTCTTTCTGCATTTCTGTGGTATGGAAGTAGCTAGGTGGCATTTTCAGTCTGGAATTCTGAGAGCCTGCTAAGGTGGGCAACAGGACTTTTTTTTTTTTTAAATAGCTTTTTTGAGATGTGATTCAAATACCACAAAACTCATCCTTTTCAATGATAGGATTCTGGGTTTTTAGTATATTCGTAGATTTGCGTAACTACTAATCTAGAACATTTTCATCACCCCAAAATAAAACCCTGTACCCATTAGCACTCCCTGCCTATCCTTCCTTCCTCCCATCCCCCGGCAACATCTACTTTCTGTCTCTATAGATTTGTCTGTTCTGGACAATTCATATAAATAGAATCATGCAATATATGGCCCTTTCTTTTACTTAGTTACTTAGCACAGTGTTGTCATGATTCGTCCATATTATGGCAGGTATCAGTACTTCATTAATTTTTATGGCTGAAGAATGCTTCCATCATGAGGAGAGACTGTATTTTCTTTATCCACTCATCAGTTGGTGGACACTTTGTTTATTTCCACTTTTTGGCTGTAATGAACAATGCTGCTGTGAACATTTGTGCGTAAGTTTTTGTGGTGAATGTATATTTTCACTTGAGTATATACCTCGGGCATATACCGAGGAGTGGAATTACTGGGTCATATGGCAATTCTATGTTTGACTTTTTGAGGAACTGCTAGACTGTTTCCTGGAGAAGCTGTGTGCACCACGTGGCACATCCACCAGCAGGGTATGAAGGTTCCCATTTCTGCACTACCTCACCAGCACTTGCTATTATCTGTCTTTTTAAATTTTAGCCATCCTAGTGGGTGTGTTGTGGTATCTTGTGTTGTGGTTTTGATTTGCATTTCCATAATGACTAATGACACTGAGCATCTTTTCATATGCTTATTGACCATGTGTATATCTTCTTTGGAGAAATGTCTATTCAGTTTCTTTGCCCGTATTTTAACTGAGTCCTTTGTCTTTTTATTGCTCAGTGGTAAGCAGAGCATGTTTAGAAAGTACAATTTCAAGCAGCTTGGGGTATTCCCCTGGTTGGTAGTGTGCTTTTCTCTATCTTCCTCAGGCGAGAAGAGTTTTTATTTTTAAGACTTTGAAGATCTACAGGTAGAAGTGTAATGCCTCATAACTTGCCCGTCTGTTTGGAATCTCAAGGGAAAAAGAAAATGTGGCAGGAAAGAGCAGTGGTTTTCCTTGCAGTGAATCCAGACTACAGACGCTCTAGGGGAGCTTATTACATAGTGTCCCTAGGAGAATGGGAGAATTTGCTCTCCTGTAACCTAAGGAAATTGGCTGTGCATATGCATTTATGGAAGAGCCTGACCGTTTTCTCTGCATTTCCTCTGTTCCGAGGCAGGTCTGCCTTTGCCGACGGAGCTTTGCAGCTATAAATTAGACAGAAGTGCAGTATTGAGGCTGTCCAAGTGCAGGCAGGGTAATTGCTCTGGACAGGTTTACAATAGGGAGGTGTGAAGTGCTTGGTGGAGACCAGAAGCTGGGGGAAGGGAGGACGTATTGAACTTGGGCGGCTGCAGGGTGATGGGCTGACAGAGCTAATTGAAAACTATGGCCCCGGTGGCTTTTAATGGGAAAGGGAGCCGAGGCCTGCAGTGGTTTCCTTTAGAGCAAGAAACCAGAAGGAAAATGGCTCATTGAGCTACTCAGGGAGTTAGTACTAAATCTCTGCAGGCCTCTGGGGGTAGAGGGTCAGGTTTTCTGAGTTTTGTTTTTAATTTCTTACTCCTTAGTCCCATTCTAGATGAACTGACAGGAGGGTGGTGGTGAGCTTGAGAAAAGGCCTGCGGGGACATACTGGAAAAAAAAGCTGACCCGTACAGTGGAGACCCTTGGAGATCCATGAGTTAGGGAGATGGTCAGCGGGCTGAACTGCCTATAGACAAGTGAGATAATAATGACATGGTAGCCTCTGTTAGTCCTCTAGTCAGAGTTTATGGTGCCAGGGCCTGGGAATCTGCATTGTAAACAGCTGTTGGAGGAAATTGCTTTGGAGTCTTAAATGTGAGGGCAGACTCCCTGAAGGCACAGCCTACCTTATTGACCTGTGTGGTCCTCCTGGCACGCAGCAGGTGCTTAATAAACACCTGTGTGCTTATTTCCAAACCAACTGTGAGTTACCGTTGGGTTTTCTTTCTTGATAGTATCCAGGACACTGCTTTCTCATGTCCCTGAAACTCCTGCCTGCGCACACCTGTCGAGATAACCATGGGTTGGCTGTCCTACACATCTGCCCTTAAGTTAACTGTTATTTTCTGCCCCATTGGGGTTAACTGGTTACCTTTTCAGGACCACCTACATGCACTGAAATTAGTTGTGTATTAAAAGCAAAAACGTAGAACCAAAAACTGGATTTATCTCCATTTATTTCCAATTCCATGGTAGCAACGTGCAGAAAGTCCTTTTCAAAGGCGGCAAATAAACGGTGTGGAGATGGTGGAGGTGATAGGATTTTCCTTGAGATGTGCTGTGGTTAATGTGTAACCTCTTTCATAAGACTTATGTAGATGTTGATGCGGCCTTGAAGCCATTGCAGGCCCACAAACTCAGGCTGTGTGTCGTGTGTTTGTAGCAAGTCCATGGCTTTGCAGCTAACTCATACCCCCAAGGTTTAATTTTTTTTGGTCGAAACAACAACCAACATCTGTTTGGTAATCCTCCTATCCTACAGCAGGCCACTCCTATCCTGTAGTGCATCACTCAAATAGTTGCTGGAGAAGGCTTTATTAGATCACCTCCCCTCCTCTCCCCTCTTCCTCCCCCATAGGTGTGTCTCCAGCACACCTATGCGTGATTTTACATTTCTGGCTCTGATGATAACATCTTTAAAAATGAGAGAATGAACTTAAGTGAGATAAAGGAAGAAAGGTGGAAAGGATAAGGTTTGAGGCGAGAGGGGATTGGGCCCTCCTTTTTGAGGATGACTGAAGTATAAAAACTTATCTTCTCCTTGTAATAAGACATCTTGGTCTGAAGTCCAGACAGTTTGCCTCTTGGATGAGGTTATTCCAGCCCTACCTACTGCTCCATTGTGCCTTGGCATCTTTGGGGATTGTCCATTTGGAGGGGCCAGATTAGAAAAGGAAGAGCATGATTACAGCAATGTTTTACCAGCAAACTAGGATCATCTTGTCCTGTATTTTTGCCTTGCCAGAATTACCTGTTTTGTCTGAGAAGCAACATTAAGCACAGGAGTTTGGATACCGTGGAATCCAGAGGGCAAATGACCCGGGTCGTGGTGTGTCTGGCTCAAGAAATAACATTTTGAAGTGCCACCTGGCCCTAATGGCAACAGCAGCCATCAGTTAAAAAAACCAGCTGTTAAGTAAGAGCAAGAACAGGAGTGTTTGTGCAAACAACCTTTAAATTTTCTGATCCTTGATGAATGTTAGTTGGTTTGTGAATTATTAACTTCAGCGTGTGTGAGGAAATACTGGCTGCTTAAGTATATTTTTATGTAAGAAAAAAATAAAACTGACCACACCCTCAGCTGCTACCATTTTGGGCTCAGTTCTTGCCTGCTCTCACTCAACAGACGTATTTAAAGCAGAGATAGGAATGCCTGCTCCTCACAGACCACATGTGTGTCGTGCGTCACAGTGCATCAGTTGCCATCACAATTTCACTTTGAAGGGAACGGAAGTGTTTTGCAGCCTGCTGGGATGTATAAGTAGGATGATCCCTACCGGGCTGCACAGAGGATCCAGAGTCCTCATGAGGATTTTGGTATAGATACCAGTGTAGTTGGGAAGAATCCTGCGTATGGAATCAGAAAACTAGGTTTAGTGAATTATAGAAAGCTGGCTTGAGAAATCCATTTAATGTCACTCAGCCAGCAACTTTTAAAGAGTGTTTTGAGGCAGGTTCTTTAATGTGACCCTGGAGAGACAGCCATCTTTTTCTAGTGCTTTGATTTACACAGCAGTGTGTCTCGCAGGAAGAGGCCAGCAGATTTGACTGAGGAACTGCAGTGTGGCATCTTGGAAAAAGGGGATTTGAGGACTTTGAGAGATAGGAAGAGACTTGGAGAAATCCATTTGTGAACCTGGTTTCCACAGCTGTTTTTCAGAGGTCTCTTGGACCTCTTAAAGTTGATACTAATGGACTACTTATTTCTTTTGACTTTTACCTGGGAAAGAGAATTGTGATTAGGCCCTTATCTGGGGGAGAGGAGAGGCTAAGGGAGGAAGGGGTGAAGGATTAAGGAGTTGGAGAGAATTGGAACTGGCCAGACAGGGCTATTTGAGCTTCACATACCTTTGGGTATTGGTTGCTGAATTAATCCTGCAGTGTAAGTCACACTTAGACATGCCTAGGTGTGACTCTTGGGGTTCATTTACTTTACTACAGGGTTTAATCTCTGCGCATTTCGAGTGAGGAAAACATGCTTGCCATGGGAAGGAAGAAAGCAGGTGCTCTGTCTCCCTTCCCCACCTCTTCATTGTCCTCAGTTGCAATGCCATTTGATATAGGTAGTTCTGAAATACATTGTACGCTTTATTCCCAGGCTGCAGGGATTATTGCTGACATAGACCATGGGTCCTGCAGCCAGCCCCCTGTGTATGGAAATGGAAGAAAAGAAATCAAGCTGTAAAGAATCTCTGTTTTGGGGCTTTGTAGTGGCGAATTACGTGAATAACTGAATTGAAAAGGTGCCTGGTTTATACCATCGTGAATACCCAGGCCTTAGATAAATATTGACACTAGTAGTGTGACGGGCAGGCCTACCATTTGTCTCATGCCCCTAGGAATAAACGATCTTTTCTCAGGTGCTTGTGACCTTATAAACCATCCTGACGAGTTTGTGCAGGTGCTTTCTGCACTAGTTCTTTGAGAGTGGATGGTTTTCTCCCTGTGCTTATGTGAGCTTAAACCTAACCAAATCTAAAGCCACTTTGGCTTATTGATCCTGGTTCACTTTGCCACAAGTAAACGCAGTTGTCAGCACAGTTTCGCAGAGTCATGTTTGTGTAGCCATGCGGACTAGACCTGGGATTGGAACAGCTTTTATTTACTTTGATAATATTTCAGGACTGAGTGTGGTGGGGAGTAAGGAGAAAGGAAAGCCAGTTTGGGGAGACTTAGCTGGAGTACAGGTTGCATCTGATAGCTGAGTGCCTGCCTTTTCCAGCAAACTGCTCTCACCCCCAACCACCACCTTTTGTTTGGTTCCCTATATCTCAGGGCATAGAACAAAACCCACTTAATTTTGTTAGTGTGCAGTATGCAGACGCAAGTCATTCTCCACCCTTCTACCTCCCTACCAATGATAGCATGTTTATTGGAGGGAAGTCATGTTGGAGTCACTTGATTTAGGACAGGCTAGGCAGAGACTTTGACAAACCTCGATTTGTCAAAGGAGTGATTGGTAGAACCTGGGAGATTGTGTGTTCGTTATATAGCAAGTGTTAGGCTAAGTCCTAGCTGTTTTCATAGGGCAGCTGCCTCAATGTAGCTGATCTTGTGGATGTCTCAATTTGGTATGACCAGTGGGCTTGGATTTTCTGTTTGGATGTGAAGATGCTCTGTGAATTGAATGGCTCTTGTCTCTCTCTAGTGCACAGAGAGGCTGTGGAGTACCTAGAAGTACACATGGTGTTTCTTAGATTTCTGCCTGTAACTGAAACTCCAAAAAGAGTTTACTGATAATTGACTTTTGACAAGGCTCTTAACCACCTTTGCTGGTGATTGGCTTTAAAAGAAAGAACTCATATTCCACAGGTACCAGTATTCATTATTTGGTTAAGATACAGTTTAGCAAGTGGAATTTGCCGCTAGGGTCCACCCTGTAAGACACATCCTTTGTGAGTAAATGACCTGGACCTGCAAATGGGAGTGGGATGGTTGGGGAGGGGACAGGCGTGTGGTGGGGTGATGCACCCAGCCACATTGAATGTAGATGGGGCCGGGTGCTGTGGCTGACACCTGTAATCCCAGCACTTTGGGAGGCCGAGGCGGGCGGATCACCTGAGGTCAGGAGTTCAAGACCAGCCTGGCCAATGTGGTGAAACCCCGTTTCTACTAAAAATACAAGAATTAGCTGGGTGCAGTGGCGGGCGCCTGTAATCCCAGCTATTCAGGAGGCTGAGATAGGAGCATCACTTGAACCAGGGAGGCAGGGTTTGCAGTGAGCTGAGATCACACCATTGCACTCCAGCCTGTGTGGCAAGAGTGAAACTCCATTTCAAAAAAAAAAAAAAAGAACGTAGATGGACCTTGTGGAAGAGGTGAGGCATTGTTTTTAGGGACTTTGGCGAATGATTTAAAAAAAAGAAATAAAAGTGTGTTGTGGCCTAGTCATTTTCACAGCCAGTTTTCCATTTGACATAGTAAAATTTTAGTATGTTCAAGGATGGAGGTCGCATGCAGCATCTGCTATTTTCTGCTTGTAATTTCAGTGAAAAGGAAGTTCCATGTTTTAATAGCAGCATAGTCTGTGTACAATAATGCATGCTGAAATACTTTGTGGTTTTTGAATCTTGACTTCGTGTCTTCTCAGCCATTTCAACAACCAGAACCAGGGAAATCATCACTGCTCCACGCCTCTAAACAGGGAAAATGATGTGGTAGATGGTCTTTTAAATTTAGAGTGTTTCACGACGTCTTAGTACTGCAGAAAGAAAAACTTAGCCTTTTGGCTTTAGCTAAGCATTTCATGACACACGTAAACTTTAAGAAGCCCAGTGGAAAAAGTGAACAGGACGAGATCCCAAGTCGATAAGCTAGCTATTAAAGTCAGTGACTTCACTGTGGGCCAGACGGCTGACCTTTTAAAACTGTGTGTTTTCTTTAAAATACTTAGCTAGAGATAGTCGCGTGCCTCCCTGTAATACAGCGGATGTATTCTTGAAAAGTTGTGGGTAAATTCGCTTTTCTAATTTGGCTGATTTAATACCAGGGATCTGCTGTCTGTATTTGTATGATCTGCATTGTTTTGAGGCAGCTGAGAAAGAGAGGATAAACCTAGAAAATAATATTGGAAGGAACCTTGTACTTAATCCATTTGTAACGCCGAGCATTGTGGCAAATGCAAGTAAGCATGGATTTTTATATGAGCTTTATAGATTTTGGATGCTTGGGCTTTGCACAGGCACCAGGAGACCTCACAGAGATGTTAGTGAGCTGTGGGTGTGATGTCACACAGTTGAAAAATAAAGGACGTGTGTAAGTTCCAGTGGAGGCTGATAGAGGACTCCCGTACTCTGGGGAACTTCTGGCTTCCCAGGAAGGGTTTTTCTTACAAGCAGCTCCAGCCTGGAAAGGTAGTTACACCCACTTATGTCATTTGTCCCTTAAAATTTTTTGTGGATGGGGAATGAAGGAGATGCCAGTAGCACTAAGGTAAGCTGTTGTTTGTGCAGATGTATTTGTTGAAAACAAACCACTTTCATTTTCTTCTTCAAATAGGACATATAGGAAACCTATACATTGCTCTTTTGTAACCCAGAAGGGTATTTGCCTAAAATTGCCCTTCTCAGTCTCTTTAAAAAACAACAAAAACCCCTAATCACTACACGTCCAGAAGTGAGTCACCACTGAGTTTGCTTTTTTTTTAATCTTCTGACATACATTTCTGTAACATGAGGTTTTTGTACTAATATTTTCATTGATTGGATTATGTTAGAGAGTGAATTGTCAAAATGAGAGTTAAAAAGGCCCAAAATGTCCGATCCTTTCCTGGTCCTAGGAAAGTCCTAGACAAGAGTGTTTAGAATAGTGTGTAATGAATGACTCAGATGGAGGGAAGGGGTTTTTTGTTTTGATGTTTTAATCTGTGTCTGTCGCACCCAGAGGAAGTAATATATTATTGGAGGTTTCATTCTTAAAGAACCAAGAGTCACTGCTATAGAATTTTCTTATCACTTTATCCCAGTGAAATCCGTGGTTGTACCTTCTGCCGGAAAGGCAGGCTTGGAATTTGGCCACCCTGCTCTCATGACCAGGAGCAATTTTATGGGCCTGTGTTAAAACAGGTATTTTGCTCTTTGATAGCAGGGTTCATCTCAGGGCCCTTAGGTGTGAGCGTGTAGTGTGTAAAATCACTCACCGTTAAGTGGTGAATCATTTCAGTGTATCGGAACAGGAGATTCATCACAGCATCACTTACGGGTGGTGACTGTGCCAAAGTTTACGCAATTCTGTTGTGTGGCACATGGCAGTCGAAGAAGCTTTCCTTGTTAGTTTGCATCTTTCCTGTGACCATCCGAAGTTAGTGTTTTTTTTTTTTTTTTTTTTTTTTTTTTTTGAGACAGAGTCTTGCTCTGTCACCCAGGCTGGAGTGCAGTAGTGTGATCTCGGCTCACTGCACGCTCCGCCTCCCGGGTTCTCGCCATTCTCCTGCCTCAGCCTCCCCAGCAGCTGGGACTACAGGCGCCCACCACCACGCCAGGCTAATTTTTTGTATTTTTAGTAGAGATGGGATTTCATCGTGTTAGCCAGGATGGTCTTGATCTCCTGACCTCATGGTCTGCCTGCCTTGGCCTCCCAAAGTGCTGGGATTACAGGCATGAGCCACCACGCCTGGCCCGAAGTTAGTGAATTTTAAAGCTGCATCACATTTTCAGAAACACCCTGGATTTTGCATTGGTGGTTTCATAGGAAGCTAATCAGTCTCCTGAAAGTGGACATTTAGCAGGGGCCAGGGGCGGATGTGGAGGGGTAAAGGTGGAAGTTTTAGGAAAGGAAAACAGTAATCCGTGACCAGAGAAGCTTTGGTGGACTTTACAAAGCACTTGGTGAACCTGGGATTCCAAATGTATCCACCAGGTTAATGTGTCCTTTTTCTCAGTTTTACCCATCCCATATTTCCTGTCCCTTTTGCCTGACTTGTTTTCAGTACTCCAGAAGCAAAAGTCTCCGTTTTCTGCCGCAGTAGAGCGTGGTTTTCATTTATGAGAACCCTCTGCCATCCTTTAACTGAGAGAACCTCTGGGTTTTACCTCTGGCCGCCCTTCATCCCCGCCATGCCCTCCGTCCCTGCTGGTTGGGATGGATGAGCCTTTGCTCTCCCTGCAGCGGCTGGGGCCCTAGGCTGTCAGGGCACCTCGGGGAAGAGTTCAGTGGGAGCAGGGAGCACCTGGCTCCAAGGTTCCAACCCCCCTCTGTTCTGCAGAATGACTGGGCTCCCAGGAGGTAAAGATTCAGCTCTGTTACTGGATGGGGTGAGGATAGGGGGGCTATTGTGCAGGTGATGAGTTTGCCAAGTCCTGTAGAGCTTAAGGACTATGTGAAAGTTAGTGAATTAGTGTTTCTTTTTGGAGATGATAAAGTAGAGAATAGGCGATCCTGAATGACCAGACTTCTGACCCATCTCTTCCCGCTCCCCATTTCCAAGCCTCTGCAAAGCACTTCTCTAATAGCAAAGCCAAATGGTGGCTGTAGGCACCTCTTGCCTGCTGGGGTGGCCATGGTGATATTCCCTTTGTGGCAGGTCTGTGGGAGGGTCAGCCTCTGGCAGCAGCTATTCCCTGCCCAAATTCCTTTTGCTTGTAAAGTCCCCACCAACTGCAGAGCTGGTGTGTTGGAGCGCCTCTTCTTAATTAAATTAATTAATCTTTAGGGGTTAATGATGCACATACCATATTAACAAGAGACTATTATGGGAAATTTGTGGGCTTTCCTCAGTACTAAACTGCACTAAAGATGAGACTGCTTAAAGTAAAACAAAACAAAACCCATTATAGCTAATTATTTTGTTTCTTTTTGGCCAAACTAAGATTTTTGGTAGGAAAGATCCTAGAATCTCCCATTTTAAGGGGTAGTATAGAAAGCAAATGCTAACTGCCTTCAGTGATGGTGAGAAAACAAATTGGGCCTCTTGATTATCTAGTTCAGAACTTTTAAGTAAATGAACAAGGCGATACTCTGTTCTTATGGAAATCAACTTTAATGGCCCCATAGATTAATGTTCGTGAGGGACCTGGCACTGGGGTTTGCTAAGGTTTATATAACCCTTGACTTAACCGCCTGGTGGGTTGTGGGTCTGGCAGCATGGGGCTATTCTTCTCAACTTTGCTGTAAAACCATTTGTGTCTTGCCCTTTCCTTTCTAGGAGGTCCTGACTTCTTGGCCTTTTTGTTTGCTTATTTTACTCCATGCCCTCCATTCCTTATTTTACTTTTCTGGCCTCGTTTCCCAGGACTCCTCTTCAAAAAAACATGCTCTTCTTCTAGGCTTAGCTGAAATCTTGCATTTTCAATAAACGTTTCTCATTACAGCTGATCTTTCCTGCTCTGGACGCCATCTGGCCTTCATTCATGTTATCCATGCTAGGGATGACAAACTCAGATCTCGGGCTGGGAAGATACTGCCGGTGAATAAAGAGGGCATGGGTGAGACAATAAGGAGTGGTGAGGTCTGTGGTCATTGGAATGCTTGGTAAATGCATGTAGTTGATTGTTTCTGTTAGGAATGCTGGCCCTCCGATTATTTTCAAGAAAAGCTGAAACTTTAGTTTTTGGTGAAAACTTTAGGTTTCTACCAACACTGTTCAGTCAGAAACAAGCAAGTTTCCCTGCAGCCCAGCTTTGTACCCACAAACTACCAATTTGTAGCTACTGATCTACCATTACAGAATGCTTGCAAGTGTCAGAGCCTTTGGCTGTGTTATTTGGTCAGTATTCTTTTTTTTTTTTTTTTTTTGGTAGGGACAGGGTCTCACTATGTTGCCCAGGCTGGTCTCAAATTCCAGGCCTAAAGTGATTCCCCGACTTTAGCCTCCGAAAGTGCTGAGATTTATAGGCGTGAACCACCACACCCGGCCAGGAGTCTTAACTTGACCAGTGGGTTGTAAACCACTTCAAGTCACAGACTAGATCTTATCCTAATTTGTTATCAGTTTATCACAGTGCAGTATACCTTGTAGACAATAAATATTTGTCAAATTTGACATTTGTTGGGTGCTAGAGGGAAAAGATGTAGACTTGTACTCAAATTAGCTACAGACCAGGATGACATGTGTGAACTAGTAAGGCCGAGAAGCACATGTAAGACCTTATGGGATCACAGAGGTAGGCATGAGTTTCTTCTCTCAGTTAACGTCACGGGCGTTAGACTTCAGAGGCCCACACTGATTATTATAGCTGATTTTTAAGGAGTAAAAATAGGCAATGAGTCTGGGTCCATATATAGCTGTATGTATATAGTATCTCCTATTTTGAGTCACTGTAGGTTTCCCTTATTTGCATAGATAATGGTCTATGTAAAATTTTCAGAAATGGAAATAACTGGTGACTCATTACTGACTTTGTGAGATACAACTGCCCAAAAGCTTACAAAATGAGCTATTTGTATCATGTTGAGATCTGAGTGATTTTTTTCATTTGATTATTTGCAGAATATGTTCTTTTGCCATAGGGAATATGTGGCTGCTTAGCTTACTGAAGAGAGGTAGCAGCAAGTACAGAACCTTCTCCTGAGTGGAGATCCTTGGATAGGATACTAGAGGAATGATTCCAGTTCAAGATACAATTTTGTCATCTTAATATAAGCCTTTAATGTGCATTATCCGCTTGTTCAGTTGTGGTTTTTGGTTAACAAGGGGAAGCATCACAATACAAAAAAAGGTAAGAACATCTAATATTCTGGGATTTGAACGAAGTCTTATTCTCTTTTATAAAACCTTACAACATGGGAACATAATGTGGTGATTTCATTGGAGCTTGATGTGTACTATGTAATTCCTCAGAAAGTAAAAATGCAGCAGAAACAGTCTTAAAAGCTTAAAGGATTAAATAACTTAAACATTGTTGCATGTTCTTCCTTATTTGCACCCGCTGAAATTTTGAAAGGACGAATCACCTTTTTCCACCTTTTTCTGGTGAGTCCCAAGCAGGCAATTTTTTAACGAGTGGCTGACAGTGCACGTTCTGAGGTTGAGAAAGAGATGAATCGCCAGAGCCCACGGCTCCCAGGCCAGAGCTGGGTGCCCACTGGTGCTCAGAAGTTGGGTTGTTGGATTGCCTCACACTTACTTTCCAGCTGTATTAATGCAGTTTAGCAAACATCTGAAAGCTTAAAATATGCAAAATACTGTGGCGCTCAGGAGTCCAGACAGAATTGAGTAATGGGAAATAGGCTAGCCTGGAAACCAAACCAAGTATGAAAACCTCATTCTTCAGGGAATGCTTGTCACGGATTTAGGACCAATTCCTTCCACTTTGAATTATTCTGTTAATGTTGAAAAATGGAGCCATGGGTTGCGCTCCTCTTCACAGTGAGAGATTTTGTCTGTGTTCGTCAGTGGTCTGTGAGCAATGCTTGCTTTTGGGGATGAAGTGATAATTCTGTTGTCTAACGAAGTGGGGTTGTTTCCTCACCACAGCTTACTCAAAAGTAAACAACTTTTTATCCCTCAACTTCCAAGGAGTCAATGAATTACTGTTCACCAGCTTTGAATAACATTTGCCAAGTTTGTAATATGTGGTTCTGGTTGTAATCCAGGAAGGTGCTTGTCAGATTAGATAAATACCGTTTAAGCCTATAGAATTATACTCTGAGGGCAGTTTTTATTAAGAATGTCTTCCTCATAACTTCAGTTTTTGAAGGCTCTTTCCCTTGTTGAGATGGTTCAGAACTTTTTGTGTGCTCAAAGGACTTGTGTTAATATCAGTGTCCATCCCTCACCACAGCCTTTTACATAGTTCTCGAGTTATTGGGTAGCTCAGATTTGTGTTTTAGATTCAAGTTGCTTCTGTAGGTGACATTTAACTTGAAATGTTTGTGGATTATTTCATGATATAGATATATTCGTTGGTTATTTTGTAATTCAGACACAGCACAGTTTAATAGAAATTTCAGTGCTGATAGAAATAACCTCTGTCTGCATTGTACATTTTGATAGCCACTAGCCACGTGGTACTGTTGAACACTTGAAATATAGCTAATGTGGGCTGGGCGTGGTGGCTCACGCCTGTAATCCCAGCACTTTGGGAGGCCGAGGCGGGCACATCACGAGGTCAGGAGATCAAGACCATCCTGGCTAACACGGTGAAACCCTGTCTCTACTTAAAAAATACAAAAAATTAGCTGGGCGTGGTGGCAGGTGACTGTAGTCCCAGCTACTGGGGAGGCTGAGGCAGGAGAATGGTGTGAACCCAGGAGACGGAGCTTGTAGTGAGCGGAGATGCACCGCTGCACGCCAGCCTGGGCGACAGAGCGAGACTCCATCTCAAAAAAAAAAAAAAAAAAAAATAGCTAGTGTGGCCAAGGAACTGAATTCTTAATTTTATGTAATTTTAATTTCATTTAAATATACATGTAAATAGCCAGTGGCTACTAAATTGGACAGCACAGATTTAGATAGTGGTGGGGATTTTGCAGCTATTGAAGGACTTTAGCTCTTCGGATTCCTTGGGGTTGGGGCAAGGGGACTTGTTAGGAAACGTGCTCAGCGAGCAAACTGTTGTTGTGCACTGGTAAACAGTTTGCTTTTCAGACACGCCTGGATAAAACTTGAGCTGTCCTCTGCAGAGGTGCCTCTTGTGTGTTCAGCGAACGGTGGGCTGAACGGTCATCTTTCAGCAGATTAGCTGAAAGAACATCTATTGCTGGGCTCAGTTGTTCAGAGATCTGCGCACCCTTTGTGCAAGAGCAGGGAAAATTTGTGTTATGACAATGGCTGACAGAATGTTTAATTAAAGCTGCAATTGGCAGTAACTAAATTCTCCGAGGTTTCTTTCCTCTCCTCTTTGCTACTGAAAGGTGCAGAAATGCTTTTGACAGCATCTTTCCTACTGACAGATGAATTGTTTTGACAGGAGAATTTGAAACCTTCAACTGAAGACACATTCAGATGTCAGGCCTGGTACAGGGCGATCGTGTTCATAGAAATAAGTGAGATGCTTTAGATGTGTGTGCATGTCAGCTGCCACCTGAAAGAAAGGCCTCATTAAAGATTTTCACTGATTAACTCTTTGATTGTTCTTGGGATCTCAGATGGGAATTCACGCTGCTTGCTGCAGAGCTCTTGGGCTAAGTGTATTTTCTTAATTACTGAGAAATGCGTGTTATCAGTAAGCAGTGAAAAGTCTTGAAAAAACTAAGTAATTTTAAAAATTTGGAAAAAAAATGGCAATGTTGATAGCAACATCATTCACAATAGCCAAAAGGAGGAACAACCCAAATGTCATCTGTGATGAATGGATACACAAAATGTGGTATATACATACATGGGAATATTAGTTAGCCTTAAAAAGAAATGAAATTCTGCCAGGTGCAGTGGCTTACTCCGGTAATCCTATCACTTTGGGAGGCTGAGGTGGGAGGATTGCTTCAGGCCAGGAGTTCAAGACTAGCCTGGGCAATATAGGGAGACCCTCCCCCCACCATGTCTACTAAAAAAGTAAAATTTAGCCAGGTGTGGTGGTGTGTGTGCCTGTACTCCCAGCTACTTGGGAGGCTGAAACAGGAGGATCACTTGAGCCCAAGAGTTTGAGGCTGCAGTGAGCCATGACTGCACCACTGCATTCCAGCCTGGGTGACAGAGTGAGACCCTGTCTCTAAAAAAAATGAAATTCTGACACATGTGACAACATGGATGAATCTTGAAGACATTATGTTAAGTGAATTAAGCCACTCACAAAAGGACAAATATTCTATAATCTACCAACATGAGGTACTTAAGAGTAGTCAGATTCTTAGAGACAGAAGTAGAATGGTGGTTGCCAGGGGCTAGGACAGAGGGGAATGAGGAGCTAGTGTTCAGTGAGTACAGACTTTCAGTTTGGGATGTTGAGAAACTTCTAAAGTTCTGGAGATGGACGGTGGTGATGGTTGCACAACAGTGTGAAGGTACTCGGTGCCACTGAAGAGTACACTTAAAAATGGTTACAAAGGCAAATTTTATGTTATATGTATTTTACCACATTAAAAAAATTATGCTCAGGCCGGGCACGGTGGCTCACACCTGTAATCCTAGCACTTTGGGAGGCTGAGGCAGGTGGATCACCTGAGGTCAGGAGTTTGAAACCAGCCTGGCCAACATGGTGAAACCCTGTCTCTACTAAAAATACAAAAAAATTAGCCGGGCATGGTGGCAGGCACCTGTAATCCCAGCTACTCTGGAGGCTGAGGTAGGAGAATTGCTTGAAAACAAGAGGTGGAGGTCACAGTGGGCCAAGATCATGCCACTACACTCCAGCCTGGGCGACAGAGCAAGACTCGTCTCAAAAAAAAAAAAAAAAAAAAAAAAATTATGCTCAGAGTTTGTCTTCTTGAATTGGGCCAACAAGAAAGTGTCTCTGAGGATTTTATTTCATATTGTAGTTCCTGGGGAGAATGTGGTAACTATTTTCCTTATTTCCCAATAAACCTATTGAGGATCTACAGCTGGCTCCACTCTTTAGGCCCACTTGCTTCTCAGACTTAAAAACCAGAACAGCCCCTTGTCCACAGCAGAAAGGGACGTGAGCCTTGGTGGCTGTCTTCTTTTTTGCCAACAGGTGCTCTGAGAGGAGAGTTACCCTTTCTGGGTAGCACCCTAACACTTGAATGTTGATAGGTGGCTTTTCTAGTTAATTCCAGCTGACCCCGTGAAAACTTAACGTTTCCACTTCTAAGTGTGTTCATCTCTGTTGCTGCTTGTTGGCATCTCAGTGTTAAGTCCTGATACTGCTAGGCTTCTAGATAGTACTGGAATGGAAGACCCTTTGCTCAAGTAGCCTTACCTAAAAAGCAAAATTTTTATAACATTTTTGAAATGTGAATACATTTTGTCTGCTCTTTAAGGGAAAGACAAACCCAAGGGTGTTGTGACTTAAATGGTTTTATACCAAGTTGCTGAAGACTTTGGATACTTGCTGGGTGGGAAGTGAGGGAAGTTATCTCATTTCAGATAGTCCCAAACCGAGCCATCAGTTTAATTGCGTAAGACCTGGTGAGCCCTAGCTCTATCCAGGCCACATGTGTAAGCCAGAAACATATGTTCCCTTTGAACCTAATGGCCTCAAGAGTCAGTGGCCCAGATCAGAGGCAAAAACTGGCGATCCTCAAGCCAAATGGGGCCTGCAGATATGTGAAATCTTTTCAGTTTTTTTTTTTTTTTTAAGTAATAAAGCAACCCTGAATGGGCCAAACAAAACATGAATTCAGATCGTGAGCCTCTGAGAAGACGGGTCTGCACTGGCCCTTGTTTCGGGGGACAAGAAGCAAATGCCCCTTTAGGTGTGCGGCAGGCACTTCCGTGTCAGCCTTGTTACACACAGGGCAGGCTCACCAGCCCTCTCTTACTTGCTTGTCCTCTAAGCTCTTGCCTTTGTGGTTTCTGAGTATTTCTCTAATATCCCTTCCTGCTTCACAACTCCTGTTACCTATGATGATACAAAAGTTACAGTCATCGTAAACTCCCAGTATCTTTACACCCAGAAACAATATTTCCATCCCCCTTTTTATGATAATCTGCTCAAAATAGAAGAAAATCTCAGTCTATTAAGTCCTTTTTCTAATGTGGGAGAATTCTCTCAATTTCTAGATTTTCTTTCTCAAGTCTAAGTTGGGATTTCTGGGTACCCATTAACAAATACCCCCAGGCACAGACAAGCTCACACTTGAGTTCAATATGCGGTTTAAAGCATTACCACCTTCAGTCTTTATGGTAACATAATCTCTGGACAAATTGCTTTTAATTCAGGCTGTACCCATGAATACAGAAGTGCCATTAGTTTCAAGTGTAGTTTGACTTTTATTTAGATGAACGTCTCTGAGCTCACAGTGAAATGGCTCTCAGCTCTAGGTTAGTATTGATTGAAATGTCTCTGGAGTAAGTTTAAAAGATTGTTGCCACAATACGTGACACTTTCTGAGACAGACTTTAAACTCAAAATTAGTCGTACTGTTAATTGGCAGTAGTGTGAGTGGAATTAATAGCTGAGATGAAAAATGTTAACCTCTTTGGCAAACACGGGGCTGGGTAGACTTTGGAGGCAAGGAAAGATTACTTTCTGGCAAAGAAAGTTAGGGCCCATTTGGATCACATCTTTGTGGCTTCTGTTCCTGAAAGATGAAGCTGCTCTGGTTGAGATTGTGGTCCCCTAACAGAATAGTTGCCCAGCTTGCTCTTTGTCCGCCTCTAAGGGTATGGCTGGGTTATGAAGCAGGGAGAGTTTTAATTCTGAACCATTGACACAGACGCCATCATCTTGAGAAAGCTGCTCATGTGAGGCTTTCCCTGCCTGTGGTTAACACGAACAAGAATTTCCAGCAACTGGCCCTTTTCTCCTGTGTGACTGTCCCTCCCGGTTTATTCAGTGTAGGTGGGAATACTGTGTTCATAAGTAGCCTTATGATTCAGGATCTTACAGTGTTTACTTTCTAAACACTCACTTGAACTTTGACTATTTGTGCAATTTTTAGTCTTAAGCTCTTGTGTAGACCAGGGTTTTTCAACCTCTGAATCCTAGGATTGACATTTAGGGCCGCGCAGTTCTCAGTCGTGCAGGGCTGCCTGTGCATTGTAAGATATTTAACAGCATCTTTGGCTTGTATCCACCAGATGCCAGTAACACCCCCCACTCCCTGCCACCAGTTGTGACAACCAAAAATGTCTCCAGACATTGCCAAGTGTCCTCTGGGGGGCAAAATCATCCCTGGTTGAGAGCCACTGGTTTAGACAATGAAGGGGTTTTTTCCCTTTTCTCCTTTACTGCTGCTTGATGTTGATGCTACTAAAACATTAATTTAAAAAAATGCCGTTAAGAATAGCCTTGTACTTGATAGGGTGCAAAGCATTTGGACCAGGACACCTTAATGTAGGTAGGGAGCTGGTTTACCTTAGAATTTCTTTCCAAGTTGTTAAATAGTGAAATGATACTGATAGAAATTCGTTTGGGTTTTCATAGAGTTGCTTGGAGTGCCTTATTTATGGATGTAGGTGGGGAGGGGGTATGTCTGTAAATCTCAGTATCAATACGGTTACTTAATACATGATCATGGGATGGGGGCTTGGATTTGAGGGTGGGGGAGCCAGGAGAAGAGAAGATTTCTGAATTCTGGGTATGATGCCAGGTTGTTGATTCCGTTTTTTTCTCTCTCTGTCTTTACCAGAAACCTGAGTTACAACAAACTCTCTGAGATTGACCCTGCTGGTTTTGAGGACTTGCCGAACCTACAGGAAGTGTGAGTCTCCCCCTAAACCTCTGGTGGATGGAAGGATGGAGAGCTCTTTGGGAAAATCCTCTTGTATTGCAGCATCGCTCACTCCCCTAGATCCGCAGTGTAAACTTGTAGGAAGGAACATTTGTGTATGGACTGTGTTGATGAATTCTACTCCTGCTTATCTCTCCCTTACTGTAGGCTCTTGAAGGGTGTGTTACAATTCAGTAGGCATAGAGCTCCTGGAAATCCTGGGCGCATGGTGGGTGTATAGCAGAGTCCCTCCATTGTGGGAAGCCTTGTAACTGGAGTGACACATCCTGGGCTGGTACTTTCTCACAGTTCCTGCACCACCACGCCCAGCTAATTTTTGTATTTTTAGTAGAGATGAGATTTTGCCGTGTTGGCCAGGCTGGTCTCGAACTCTGGCCTCATGTGATCTGCGCGCCTTGGCCTCCCAATGTGCTGGGATTACAGGTTAATCAGCCCACTCAACAGTGGCATGTGAGCCACCAAACGTGTATTTCCCAGGAAGTGAAGTTATAGAAGGATGGACTATAGAGGCTTACCTGTTCCTCTCCACCTCCAAACAGAGCTAGGTATGACTGCCTTTGGAGCTCTAGGCTTGCTGTCCCTTGCAGTGTCTTGGAAATCAGGCTGCAGTCTTTCCTTCTTTTTAATGCATTCTGTTTTTGATGTGGATGTTAGGATTATCAGGAATTTTAGTTTCATGGAGACTTTATAGAAACCTTCACATATATGTAGTATACATATTGTAGAAAAATTGGCAACTACAGAAACGTGTGAAGAATGAAAATCACCAGTATTCTCACCCAGGCATACCCATTGTGAACACCTAGTGAAAACTATTACATGTACATATGTAATTTTAGGATCAAACTGTACATTGTGGTTTTATATCAGTCTTTCCTACTTATCCTTACATAAGATACTTTATCATGTAAATTAAAAGTTTTTGAATGTCCTGTTTTAGCTTTTATGTAAAACTACTATACGTGGATATTTCATATATTACCTACCCAGTACTTCATTATTATTTTTATTAGACATTATTAGGTAAGTTTTTTACCCATTTTTGTTATGAGTAACTGATAAAAGTCTTATTTGTTGTTTTTTGTTTGTTTGTTTGTTTGTTTAAGACAGGGTCTCGCTCTGTTGCCCAGGCTAGAGTGCAGTGGCGTGATCTCAGCTCACTGTAACCTCTGCCTCCCGGGTTCAAGTGATTTTCACACCCCAGCCTTGTGAGTAGCTGGGACTACAGGTGTGTGCCACCACATCCAGCTAATTTTTTTAGTAGAGATGGTGTTCCGCCATGTTGGTCAGGCTGGTCTTGAACTCCTGACCTCAAGTGATCCTCCTGCTTTGGCCTCCCAAAGTGCTGGGGTTATAGGTGTGAGCCATTGCACCCAGGCTTACTTGTTATTCTTTGATTCCATTATTGATGACATATCTAAAGAAATTTTAATTTCATCAGCTGGTACAATTTGCAAAATACTTGCATTCCAAACCCTCATCTCCAGATTCTCCAGATTGGCGTTTATAATTTCTGCTTCTGTTTAAAAAAGGTTTAGGCTTCCACAGTTAAAGAAGCATCAGAACAGGAAGGGGCCTTGGAAATGGTTTCTCTAGGACTCTCATTCTCCCAGAGGATCAGTGAGTCCATGGCAGGGGAAAGGAAGTTTGAAGTGGGTCACTGTGTTAGTTTGCTAAGGCTGCTGCCATAACAAACAAATAGCACAGGCTGGGTGCCTTGAACAGCAGAAATTCATCTTCTCACAGTCTGGAAGCAGGAAGTCCAAGATCAAGGTACTGGCAGGTTTGGTTTCTTCCGAGGCCTTGCACTGTGCCCTCACGTGGTCTCTCCTCTGTGTGCATTCATGGTGTCTCTGTGTGTGTCCAGATTTCCTCTTCTTATAAAGACACCAGTCATATTGGATCAGGGCCCATCACCTCTTCAAAGGCCCCATCTCCAAATGCAGTCACATGCTGAGGTACTAGGGGTTAGAGCTTCAGCATATGGACCCTAGGGGAACACAGTTCAGCCCATCATAGTCACCAAGATGATAAACCCAGGCCATCATGGAGCTTGTTAGGTTTGTAACCCAGTGCTTTCCCTGATCCAAGCTGTCTTTAATGCTTGTGGTTAGAATATATTCAAATTCTGTGTACATCTCCAAACTTAGTGGTTTCTTTTAGGACTGGACAAAATTGGAGAATTCCCTCTAGCATCATTCAAGCTTTCATTGAATACTTACTCGAGCATCTCCTCTGTCCAGGAGCTATTCTGGGTGCTGGGGCTACAAGAGTGAACAGGACACAGATAGGGCTGGGACTGGGGAGGGGCAAGTGAGGCACCCAACACAGGCGCAAAATTTATGGGGACACCAAAGACTCAGCAGTCAAGATAAAGGGTATTTTGATACAATATTTTGAAAGTCAAAATGAATGTAAAAAAAAAATGATGAGTAAAATATAAAAAGCTTAGATCAAGATAGGATTAGTATTACTGATTTCTTTCCTTTTGCCTTCAGTTCCAGGATGGCTTCACACGGTGCTGTTGCTGATTTTGTCTTGATTTAAACTTTTCATATTTTGTTCATCATGAATTTTGTTTTGCATTCATCTTCATATTTAAAAAATATTGCATTAATATAGTCTTTGTCCTCGTGACTGGGTTTTTGGCTGTCCCTTAAATTTTGTGCCCCTCCCTACCCAATTCCAGCCCTGCAGACAAACCTCTCCTCTCACTGAGTTTACATTAAGTTGAGGGAAGCCATGGACTGAATAAGGAAACCAGTAAGACTTATTGGAGATAAGTGGTATGGGGGAAATAGAACAGAGTAATGTGGGAGTATTTTTTGTATGAAGAATTTTGGAGGCTTGATAACGGAAACAGTGTGATCAGGAAGGTCCTGAGTGAGCAGGTGTGAATGATGAGGACAGGGAGCACTGCAAGTACAGAGCCTCAAGAAGGGAACAGGCTGAGGACCACTGTGCCTGGCATGCACGATGGAGGGGTGCGTGGCCAGAGGCCAGGTCCTTTTATGGTTTCAACCCTCACTGACCCCTATCTATCAGGGGCAGGCATGGTACATGCTCTGGTGAGCATTTTCAGTGGTGTTCTAACTCCCTGTTCCTGTTGTTCCTTGCCTAGACAGGCTTTTACCTTTCATTTGATTTGGCTCCCGTGACCTGCAGCCTGTACTCAGCACTTGTTAGAGTTTATGTCCCACCCAGCTCTAGAACTGAGCACTCCCACCTTTCCTTCATTGGAGATACTGGTTATGAGTCTCAAAAATATATTTCTCACTTAGGAACAGTCACAGTAATTGTAGCAGTGTGCTAATAAACCTTTGGAGAATACGACATCACTTAACCCTAACATCAACTCTGTGATATAAAACATTATCTTTTTTTTTTTTTTTTGAGATGGAGTTTCGCTCTTATCTCCCAGGCTGGAGTGCAGTGCAATCTTGGGTCACTGCAACCTCCGCCTCTTCGGTTCAAGTGATTCCCCTGCCTTAGCCTCCCAGGTAGCTGGGATTACAGGTGCCTGCAACCGTGCCCAGCTAATTTTTATATTTTAGATAGAGATGAGATTTCACCATGTTGGCCAGGCTGATCTTGAACTCCTGACATTAGGTGATCCACCCGCCTTGGCCTCCCAAAATGCTAGGATTAGAGGCATGAGCCACCACGCCTGGCCTGATATAAAACATTTTCTTTCTTTCTTTTTTTTGAGATGGAGTGTTGCTCTGTCACCGTGGCTGGAGTGCAGTGGCGTGACCTCAGCTCATTGCAGCCTCCACCTCCTGGGTTCAAGTGATTCTCATGCCTCAGTTTCCCAGGTAGCTGGGATTACAGATGTGCACCACCACGCCCAGCTAATTTTTGTATTTTTAGTAGAGATGGGATTTCGCCGTGTTGGCCAGGCTGGTCTCGAAGTCTGGCCTCATGTGATCTGCCTGCCTTGGCCTCCCAGTGTGCTGGGATTACAGGTATGAGCCCCCACACCCAGCCCCTTAAAACATTTTCCACCCAGCCCCTTAAAACATTTTCTTTGTAAGCATTTTCTCAGCTGGGTGCAGAAGGATCACTTGAGCCCAGGAATTTGAGACCAGCGTGAGCAACAAAGTGAGACCCTGTCTCTACAAAAAATTAGCTGGACATAGTGGCCCATGCCTGTAGTCCCAGGTTCTTGGGAGGCTGAGGCCTCAAGATCGCTTGAGCCCAGGAGGTTGAGGCTTCAGCGTGCCATGTTTGCACCATGCACTCCACCCAACAGAGCAAGACCCCATCTCTGAAAAAAAGTAATAAAAATAAAAGGAGTTTCTCTGCTTTGCAGAAGAGGAAACAGATACTTAGAAAAGTTAAACTTGCACAGTGTCACATGGTTGGTAAAGCTGAGAGTTGAACTCAAAACCTGTGCTAACCTTGGCGGCTGCACTACCTTAAATTCCTATATCCTTCATCTTAACTCTCACAGTCAACTGAAGATGAAGAGGAACTGAGGCATGGGATTTGGCTGAAATTGCGTGATTAGTGAGTGGTAGAACTTGACCCATGTTCTCCAGTATAATCCTGGTCCACACCATCTATGGCAACAGTACCGTCTGAGTGTGGGGGATGTTAAGACAGAGGTCATATCTTAGGGATTCAATATGATGTGGTGGGAAAAACTCTCATTTTGGTAGCAAATAGACTCACGTTTGATTTCTGGTTCTGCCCCTTACTAGGGTCCTGAGACCCTAGACAAGTTACTTAGTGCCTCAGCGTTTGCTTTCTTTCTTCTGTAACATTGACATCGTAACACATTGTTGGTGTTACTGTAGTTATTAAGATGATGCACAGGGCCTTGCACATGCGAGAGGCTCACTGAATATTATCCCTCTTCTCTCCTGCTACGTTTGGAACTGCCCAGCCCTCCAAGCTGGGTGCATTGTTTAGAAATGAATCTTTGCAGGCTGACTGGTTGAATGTCTTACCATTGTGCCTCCTATCCCTAGTGTCACTCCCTGTTCTGTGAGATGGATGAGATGAATTCCCTGCTGCCTAGAACAGTAGAACTTCTCACTGATAAAAGACCCAGGCCTTACCCTAAGGGAATTCTAAAAAGTCGTGGAGACAGAAAGAGGCTGTTAGGTGTTGAGGGGTGGGGAGGTGGGGAAGGATATTGAAGAAAAGAAAAAAAATCGTAGCTGACATGCTACTGCTTCAAAATTAACCAGTCTCCAGTGTTGCCCAGGCGCTGTCAGCTCTCCCAAACTTTATAGAGCCTTCAGTCTGGAGCCCTCATTGAGAATGGAGCCACAGGCTGGCAGAACAGCAGGCAGTGGTTTAGCAGTGGTTTTATTCTGGAGGCCTCAGAACCACATGACATCATGGGCCGGCTGGAGAGAGAAGGCGAGGCCCCTGGAGGACATGAGGACGCTTGTGCAGCTGCGTCCAAGCCACACGGTCTTCACTGCCCACAGCCCTGAGGAAAGCCCACCAGGGAGTGCCTCCAGCTGGGGTCCTGGCCAGCAGGCTCCTCTATTAATAAAAGGGGCTATTTATACAGTCCTCTGTAGATACTGCCTTCAGATCACAGTACTGCCGCCTGGCCCGCGAGTGCCTGCTGTGGGTGTTGCCGTGTGCTTGCCAGGGCCACTGACCTGGTAAGGAAGCCTCAAGTGTGCCCTGCCTGCTATTGGGTATTTGTGGTTCATCGCACTGTGTCAGGCTGCTGCTCCCCACAGTGGGTGTGTGTGAGCAGGGGTGCGGGGGATGGTAGTATGTTTAGGGAGAGGGTAAAATAATGAGGGTTGTCGTTTTGGGGTACTGCCTTTTGGCTGTGAATTACTATCACTTTTTTTTTTTTTTTTTTTTAAGACAGGATCTCACTCTGTTGCCCAGGCTAGAGTGCAGTGGTATGGTCATAGCTGACTGCAGCCTCAAATTCCCAGGCTCAAGCGATCCTCGCACCTCAGCCTCCTGAGTAGCTGGAACTACAGGCGTGCACAACCACTCCTGGCTAATTTTTTGTAGAGATGGGTTTTGTCATGTTGCCCAGGCTAGTCTCGAACTACTGGGCTTAAATGATCCTCCTGCCTTGGCCTCCCAAAGGGCTGGAATACAGGTGTGAGCCACCATGCCTGGTCCTCCTGCCATCTCTTAAGCATATCCTGTGTATCTGTCAATATCCTGAGATCTTAGGTTTAATTATTTCAGCTGGATCCTCCCAAAACCCTACAAAGCTGGCACTTGTATTATTTACATTCTTCAGAAGAGGGAAGTAAGGGACAGCAAGGCTGAGTGACATGCTTAGCATTGGATTGATAAAGGGTGCAATTGGAGTTGAGTGAACCAAGATATGTCTGATTTAAACATCTGAGCTATATAATCCCATCCTAATAATCCCTGTTCTGTAACTGTGCCTCAGTTTCCTTTCTTAAGGAGAGGTGATAATTTAGTACTTTCCTCAAAGTGTTAGCATGTCATTCACTGAGATATTGCACATAGAAAACTTAGGACAGAGTCTGGCACATAGTAGATGTTCACCTTTATTATTGTTTATTTTGTTAAAGTAATTATATCCTACGCTAAAATAATTTTATCTGGCTATCTTGTGTAGAAACCACGTATCATAAAGTCTCACCACATCAATTAGTTAGTATACATTATTCTCTAGTAACTAAAGCAGAATACAGTTATTAAGTGGCCCTGCTTCCGAAACCCATATTCCTATGTGATACTGATGGCTTTCACCCTTTTAAGAAACAAAACCAACTACAGTTTCAACGCACTGCCCAACTTTGACTACTATTAATTGCAGCTCTGTCTGTATTTGGGAGCAACCAAAGAAACAGCCACTATGTCTGCCAGTAGTGGATTGGCCAGATAAATTATGGTCCATTCATACCAGCAGAGGACTACTGTGCCACCAGTTAAACGAATAGTGGAGACCTCCAAGATATATTACTAAAGAGAAATGGCGGTACACAACAGTCTGTTTAATACACGTACATTTGTGCAAAAGAAAAACACATACACATCTCTAGTAGCCAGCAGCAGGAGCTGCCCTTTGGAGGCAGACCAGAGGATGGAACTGCAAAGAAGCTTTATGTTTACTATGTATTCTTTTTTGAAATGGTTTGAAAACTTTACTCTGTGCTTATACCAGCTATTTAATGAGTAAATAAATAACAGCAAGAAAAATTCAGGCATGGTGGCTCACGCCTGTAATCTCAGCACATTGAGAGGCCGAGAAGGGCGGATCACCTGAGGTCAGGAGTTCGAGACCAGCCTGGCCAACATGACGAAACCCCGTGTCTACTAAAAATAAAAAAATTAGCTGAGTGTGGTGGCCTGTGCCTATAATCCCAGCTACTCGGGAGGCTGAGGCAGGAGAATCGCTTGAACCCAGGAGGCAGAGGTTACAGTGAGCCGAGATCATGCCAATGTACTCCAGCCTGGGCCACCACAGAGCGAGACTCCGTCTCAGAAAAAAGACAAGCACAATTTCTGCATTGGTTTGACATTGTTGAAGCCAAATTTGATTAAGATTGATGATGATGATGATGTAGTACTATGAAATAGCCTTTATCACATTTTGTAGCTTACAAAATGTAAAACTTCCCTTAAGTCAATTAAATGGAAGTTTTGGGAGAAAGGTGAGGGACCAGAAGGTCCAAGCTGACCTTACGGATTGAATTGGGAAAGGACCCACCCCTAGGTTCTGCCCTGGGGTCCGGAATCCTTTTACCTTAGCTACACCTTCTCTAGCCCCAGGGTCTGGCCGTGATTCATGGGTCTGATGCATCTGAGGCACTTCTTAATCCTGAATCATCAGAAAAGGTTTAGAAATAGAGACCAGACGTTTCAGAGAGATTTTTAGGGCCTTGGATGGAAGTAAATTGTGGGGAGAGATGGGCGTCGGCAGGGGAAGTAAATTGGCGGGTAGGGGGTGAGAGAAGACTGTACAATCGTAGATATTTAAAAAAATTTCATCAGGCACAATCTTTACTTCCTAAAATTTCTTTATTCATGGAGACTCTGCTAAACTTCCTGAGTGCCTTTCCCCTCAAAGCTGTAGCTGTGCTATTTTTGACCAGTCTCTATTTCAGTCTGGCAAGAAGTTCTTTGCATCTCAGAGTGAGCTGGGCCTCTGCTGCCTTCTGAGGAGAGTATTCTTGTTTCAACAGGGGACAGAGTGAACAAAAAGGGAGCCAGCAGTGGTGGAGCTAACAGACTTACTCTGAATAGCGGTTCTTTTTTCAGTAGAAATGATCTGGAAGTAAGCTCACTGTGCAGGGCCTCTCCTGGGGGCTTTGAGTGTCCTCCCTGTAAGTCAGGCAGCCCTGTTGCCACCAGAGCCCACTGTTTCTGACTGAGCCCTTGACTCGGGCCTGCTCATCTAGACATAGAAGGCCCAGTTAAGCTCCAGCACTGGTCCACCACCCCTCTATGCTCCACTTCCAGCAGTTCTGTCACAATTTGAAATATCATGATGCCCGCTTCCCTTGTTCATTTATTTCTGTGAAATTGGGTGGAGCAGTTTGTCACAGATACAGTAGGCCTGGCCTGAGACCAGGCTCATCAGGCGTAGCCCCCTGCAGAGAAGTCCATACGCTTTGTTTCAGGTTTAAAATCAAGTGAGATCCTAAGCTGGCTGAAAAACAACTGTGCTGTTACCTAAGGGATTATGAGCTTTCCAGCTGGCCTTTGAGCCCGCTGCTCTCCTCTGGTTTGTAGTCATACTTTTTTCAGGTCTTGGCCATGTCCTCTCTAGTAGCATGACCCTAGATGAGTGACTTAAACTGGCCTAGAGAACTTACCGGTAATGTAGAGAATGGTAGTAGTTAACCTGGTACCTGATTCAAAGTTGTTGTGATGGTGAAAGTGCACGAGGCATGTCGAGTTTTTGCTGAAATAAAGAAATAGAAGGTAATGAGGAAAAACCTAGACTTTGGGGCTAGGCACCCTGGGCCACTGCAACTTATTGCTGGTGACCTTGGTCAAATTACTTAACATCTGTGTTTCAGTTTCCTCATTGGTGCAGTGGAAATGTTCCTGAGACCTACTTCTGAGGGCTGTAGAGATGCATTAATATACTGAAAAGCTCTTAGAGCTGTGCCTGGCACATAGTCAGCCTTCATTAATTTACCTGCTTTTGTTTTTGTTACTAACATTCTCTGTGTTTGAGAAGAAATCGCAAGCAATGAAAGAGTTCTTAGGCAAGCTGCCTGATTGACAGCAGGTCCCCGACCTTAGTTTTTCTTGCTCTGATAAAACCTGGGGGTCTCTTGTAATAATAGGTACGTTGATGGGTACTATGAAAAATTTATTAGCTGAGATTAAGACTAATGGGGAGTTTTCAGTGTCCCTGAGTGAGGATGGGAAATGGATCACAGCAGGGTTGGAGGAGATAAAAGGTGAAGCAGAAACAATCTGATTTAGGGGGCAGTCAGATAAGAGACTGTTAAAGTAATTAATTGTCTATTTCAACACACAAACAAGGGCCCTTTAAGTGGAGAAAAGATTTGCCACATGATACGGATCTGCCTTCTCTCTGCCAGATGCTTCAGCCATGAAGCTATTGAAACAGGCATTCTATGTCCCACAGCCCAGTAATTGCCAAGCTTCATCCCTAACTGGCTTTGGCACTGAAGAAAGCAAATGGGATAATTCAAGGCCTTTCCTTTTTTTTTTCCTTCTCCTATTCACTTCTATAAAAGATGGCAGACAACCAGATTATTCTCTTCAAGCACATGCTAGCTGTATACTTGTATGAGTACAGCTGTGATTTCAGTTGCTTTGTCTTCAAACAGAAACAGGATGCTCTGTGTTAGACGTACCTCCCTTAAAAAACTGAGAATAAGAACCCAGTTTTATCCCCTTGACTTTGCATCGCAAGTACAATTTCTTTCTAGCCCATCACCTGGCAGAAAGCCTGAACACTTTGCTTTGGTTTTCTTAAGGATTGTTGGGCTCACTTTGCAAGTCTGATTTTGGATTCTCTTCCCAGATTTGGAAATACATGTCCATGTAAGGAGGCCAGATTGCACAGCCTCTGGGGGCAGACCAGGCGAGCCGTGCTTTGGTTCGTGGGTTTCCCCTTCCGTTAAGAGATATTAACTATGGAAATACATATTTGGACTATTTTAGCAGGAAGGGAGCTTGGAGAGCAACTCTCGTCTGTGGAGAATTTTCAAAGTGTCTATGCGCAAAAGTGTGTGTATATATGTTCATTTTCCTGGGGGATGCATCCAGAGGCTTCATCAGAGTCCAGCTGGAACCTCAAATGGAAGAGAGTCTCTGAGTCCAGTTCCCTTGTTATTTCACAGATGAGGCACTGAAATAATTGGCCCCATGTGTCCCAAGCCCCTCAGAACTCCATGTGAGCCAGGGCGTGAGTCTCTGGCTCTTGTTCCACACATGTTGCCCTTTGACAGGGGCAAATTTCGGCCCACGGGGAGTGTTCTCACCGATGGTCTTAGGGGCGCTTTTGTCCCGAACCTGCCTCTTGGCTTGTTCTCACTGTTCCTTGTCTTGATTTCTGAGTTTGATGGGAAGCTGATGGGAGACAGGAGATGCTTCCCCTTAGTGTTTGTTTCTAGCCATGGGTGTGATCAGTGGCTAGTTTTTGTGATCTCATGTGACTTCTTTCCCTTTAAAAACTCACTGCTAAATTCTTTCTCTTTTCTCCAACATTAGAATATAGGTTTACTGTGGCAGACTTAGCAGCGTTTGTTTATTTCTGTTGTATGTGTATGATTTCAGACTAATTCAAATGCCTTACATGATTAATTTCTTGTTGTTGTTACAGGTACCTCAATAATAATGAGTTGACAGCGGTACCATCCCTGGGCGCTGCTTCATCACATGTCGTCTCTCTCTTTCTGTAAGTGGTGCCGTTTGGGGGACTCTGGGCTGTGTGGTGGGGCCATGGTGTTTGTTGCCTTGCTGATACCTGGTGGCAGGATAACTTGAGTTCATGTGCTCGCTGGTGAAGAAAGACCTTTCTTCATGTGGCCCTCATGATCATGACAAACGCTTTGCTTGCTGTTTTGGGATTTGCAGAATTAAACGCTGGAAGTTTTACCTCATCTTTAATTTGCAAGAAAGTAGGTCTTTTGTCTTTTTTTTTTTTAATGCGCAGAGGTATATGGAACTAGATTTCTTGCTTCTGTGGTTGGTTAAGCTGCAACTTTGAGTAAAACTGGAGTTAAAGGAAGCTGTGTCAGTTATAAGACAGCAAGCTAATCTTTGTGCCAGTGAATTGGGTAATGTGACTCAGTTTACTTTTGTGGCTTTAAGAAAAAGAAAGTGCCCCCAGGCCTCTGGAATCAACGTAAAACTATGTTGTCATGGTCAAGTGTTAGATAAGATGCGATCTATTTGTTCTAGACAGCACACTGGAAATGAAAAAGCAGATGAAGGGCCTTAGCTAAAAAGACATGAAGGCACCCATTGGGAATATTATCATTTGTGCTGTTACAAACCTTTGCTAGAGAACTGAGCACTGATCCTACCCCTATTTCTTCAGCAGTCAGGTGGAGGAGCTTGCTTGTTTTAAACTCACCCAGAAGACTTTCCAGATAAACCAGCCATGAGTCCAACAGTTTTCTCTGCCAGATTTTATTGGCAGCTTCCCCAGCAGAGCACCTCCCTCTTCACACTGAATTTCCTGTTTCCACTCCAGGCTTTCATAGTTTAATTTTATTTTGATTTTGCTGGTTTTATAATTAGTTTGCTCACCTATATGAATCTTTTCTCAATACTGAGGCTCGGCAGGCTGAGCAGAGAAACTTTGCAAGAAGGTGCTATTAATAAGAGTGCTGGCATAGCTTACAGATCTCGGATCTTTGGCTGGCAGCATGCCCTGTGTTCAGGAGGTGCTGTGTCCCTGTGAAACATGGTCTTGGGTTTAACCCTTTTCATGGCATTGTGGGATTGCAGGAGAGCGTGGGGGGTTAGAATTGCACTTCACTCTGTGCCCTGGACAGATGACCTAGTCTCTCTGAACCTCGTTTCCCTCATTTACATAATGCATTTTTGACCCATTTTATACATGAGGAAAGTGAGGCCCGGGGGAGTGGAATGTATATGAAGCTCCCAGCATTCTGTGGGAGTGTTTGACAAATGGTGGTTACTGTCATTGGCTGGTGGCTAGTTGTCACGTAGCTCCTTGGATCTTGGCAGGATCTCACCTTTAAGGCCGCAGGATTTAAGAGTCAGTCTCTGTTTCTGTGAAGTGCTGGAAGGAAGGTTTGTGGCCCTTTGTTCCCTTGATGGGTAAAGGTCTGACTTTATTTTGTACCCACTTGGTTTGTGGGCCCAGCATCTGGAAGGTGTTTAATTTTTGGCTTAATCAATGAGTTCGTCTTATGTGAGGCTGATAGGGATGTGATAACCTGTTGTGTGTCCATAAAGCAAAGCACTTGAAGATGCTAGGAGCTCCTTGCTGCTTAAAGCACAGGTCATGGACCATCAGTATTGAGTTAGCTTCGAGCTTGTTAGAAATGCAGAACCTCAGGCTTAATGCCAACACTACTGGATCAGAAGCTCCATTTAACAAGGGCCCTGGCCGTTTGTCCACGAGTTCAAGTTTGAGAAATGCTGATGTAACTGCTCTTGTTCCTCACATAGTGAGGAAGCTAGGGCCACAGAGAATATCTCTGTGTTGTCAGAGAGGAAACTGAGCCTCCCTGGAGGTCTTATAAGTTGTAAAAGTGAGAGGTGGAACTGAGACCAGACACAAACGCCTTTGCATCACTCCTTTAACCCCATGCACTCGGGGCAGGAGCGTGGCAGGTGACTCTGAACCACACTGTGCCAGAGGCAGGCAGGGCCCCCAGTTTGCCCCACGGGCCTGTGGCACTTAGAATTGCACCTTGCTCTGCTGACTAAAAATACATTTCTGTTCCTTGGCCCAAGTGCCAAGAGAAGTGGGGCTGTTTGGCCTTGTTCCTGCTATTCCATTAGACAGCATTGAAGTATGTAAAGCAGGAGAGAAAAAAAAGAGAGTTACTCCCTGTTTGGATTCAGTTTGGAAAATGCAGGTTAGCACTGGCAGCCAGCTCTTTGGCCTGAAGTTGGGCACCATCTGACTTGGTCAGTGATTTCTCTGAAATGACAGAAACCGAAGGGGCTTTATCTTGGTTTTCTCTGAGGTGCCTGTGTTCCCCATTCTTAGATTGGATGCCTGGATTCAGTGCTGGCAAGTTAGGTTAGCAGCATGACATCTGGGCAGCTGGATTATTGATAATGCTTCATGCCTTTTCTGTATTTCCCAAGTGGACCGTGCAAAGGACAAGGGAGAAAACAACAGAGCAGGCAGTGGATGAGCATCATTTTACAGCCCAAAGAACCACCTTCCTCATCCTAATCAATGAAGGCAGAAGACTTAGCAGCCCCATCCACATGATGATTCCAGTCATCCAGGTTTTGAACAGCAGGTTTTGCTGATGTGTCTCTTACTTTTCGGAACTAGTGAACTGAAGGGTGTCACGTGTTCTGTAAATATTTAGTAGGCACTTTTTGTGTCCCTGCAGTTGTGGCCCAGAGGCTGTCCCAGGGAGAAGCAGAAGCCTCAACACATCGTCTGAAAATGTGGTAGTTAATAGTTAGATGCTTATAGTCCTTAATCCTCAAATTCTTATTCCGTTTTTGTGGGCAGACAGAGGATCAGAAAAAAATAATCAAAATATGCAGAGAGAATAGAGCAAATGTCTGCTGAGGCCATGTGAGTGACAGGAGCCCAGACAACTTTCTTGGGACAAGTTTATAGGTAGATGCATCACAGAAAAGTCAGGGCTAGGTGTGGGTCCTGCTGTCTCTAATGTAGTTGTGACCTGGGATACATACGTTACTTTTTTTCTCAGATGAGGAAGTTGAAGCAGATGGTAGAAGTACCCTCGAAGCTTGTGTATTCTCTTTGTGACCCGAAAGTTGAGAGTAGGGGCAATAATGTCACAAAAGACATAGTTACCCTCTGACCAATAACCACTGTTGTTGCTTTCTGTCTTTTCACAGAAGTAGTGGGTTTGTTAATTTTCAGCTTGGACACCTATAATTATGGACTTTTGCCTCTGGAAGTTGGCCCTTTCTCTCTGTGTTTCATTTTGCTTATGCAGAATTGAGCCGACTTCCAGACACCAGAGCCCTCCCAAGCTGGGTGGCACCATTGGGAGAGCCTCATGGGAAGAGGCATTGCTCTGCACCTGGCTTTTTCTGTCAGGTCTTCAAAAGAGACTTCCATAGTTTTGGGAACTGGAGTCATAGAGCAAAATTTCAGTTGGTTAATACTTTCTGATTAAAGGAATCTAATTCAGTTAACATATTTGTCAAAGAACAGATTTATTTGCATTGTGTTCTGAGGATAATGCCGGAGCCATTTGTCCTTAATAAACAGAAAGCATAGAACTCAAGGAAAGCTCTTAATAAGAATGGGTTCCGGTGAGGGAGCTAATTTCATAAAATAGTGCCGAGAAAAAGAAACAGACTTTTGTTAAATGGGGGCAGAAGCTGCCAGTGGATTTTCACGTTTGAGATTTCTTTCTTTTTTAATTTAAAATCCAGGACACTCAAGTTACGATTCCCACAGCAACAGTAATTTTGTCTGATGCATCAATGACATTTCTGTTGAGGAAAAATCTCTGTTTTTCCGGTGGTGTTGCTGCACTTGTACTGTCGAGAAGATTGGTGACAGTGGAAATCGTTGAATTTTTCAGTCCTGGGAGTAAAAATGTATGTGGTATAGTTGGTCTTAGCTTTTGTCTCCTGTGCATGGACTGTAGCATATTACCCATAGGGTTGGCCTTGTCTACCTAACAACTTCTCCAGCTGGTTTGTTCTAGACTTCATCCCTTTATGGTGCCTTGTCATTTGCTCTCCCACAGCCTGTGTCCTCAACCAGGAGGAAGACCTAGGCAAAACTTAGGGGCACACAATTAATTGTGACTTTGTAATATTGCTATTAAAATTCCTTAGGTTTAGGTTGCATTTGAAAACACATTGAAATGCCTTTTACTTCTAATCTTGAAAAAATGTTTTTGAAAACTATTTTTTTTAATGAGATAAGATAAATGTACCCAGGGACATGGGGAGGCAGTGTGGGGCTGGTCAATGGGTACAAAAAAATAGAATGAAGACCTGCTATTTGATAGCATAACAGGGTGACTATAGCCAATAATAACTTAATTGTACATTTAAAAATAATTAAGAGTGTAATTGGATTGTTTGTAATACAAAGGATAAATGCTTGAGGGCATGGATGCCCCATTCTCCATGATGTGATTTTTATACACTGCATGCCTGTTTCAAAACAGCTCTTGTACACCATAAATATATACACCTACTATGTACTCACAAAAAAATCAGAAAATTTAAAAAAATGAACTTACCATTAACTCACCATTTAAAAGCCACTTGTAGTACGTTCTCAGTGTTGTGCAACCATCACCACTACAGAATGCTAAAACATTTTCATCACCCCCCAACCCACCCCGCCCCCCAAAAAACCCCATACTCCTTCAACAGTCACTTCTCATATCCCTCACCCTAGCCCCTGGTAACCACTTATTTGAAAACTAATTTTTTTTTTTTTGAGGAAAGCATTTTTCTCTCATGTTAACAAATGAACCTGGAAGACTTCATTTATAAATAACTTAATAAAATATCTGAGGTGGCTTTAACTATATTTTGCTGTGACCTCTTAGCTGAAGAGAAGTGATTAAATGAAAGGGATAGGAAGGCCGGGCATGGTGGCTCACACCTGTAATCCCAGCAGTTTGGGAGGCTGAGGCAGGTGGATCACCTGAGGTCAGGAGTTCGAGACCAGCCTGGCCAAAATGGCGAAACTCCATCTCTACTAAAAATACAAAAATCAGCCAGGAGTGGTGGGAGGTGCAGGTAATCCCAGCTACTCAGGAGGCTGCAGCAGGAGAATCACATGAACCTGGGAGGCGGAGGTTGCAGTGAGCTAAGATCGCACCATTGCACTCTAGCCTGGGAGAGAAGAACAAACTCTTTCTCAAAAAAAAAAAAAAAAAAAAGGCGGGTGGGCGGGAGAGGATAGGATACTTAACAGCCCTCTGTTGTAATTTCTGGAGAATAAAACTTGGAAGGAAAGAAACGCGGTGTCCTACCTGTGACCAAGCGGGGAGGTGGTCACCTTCCCCCTTCCCCGGGGGTGAGTGAAGAGTGGACGAAGCCCTGGGTGGGGTTGGAGGGATCTGAGGCAGCAAAGGCCTGAGCCCTCTTCTTGGCTGGATCTGTTGGTGAAGTAAAGTCAATAGGAATACTTAACTCTCTGAGTACCTAGCAAACCCTCTGGAAAAAAAGAGGGGCGAAATCAATCTTCTTTACAGGCTCGTTAATGCAAAGATCAGTTCGCATTAAAGTGTAATTAAAGAGTGAGCCTTAGAGAGAGGCAGCTGTGATCTGCTGCAGCTCAGGGCTGGGGGGAATAATGAGAGTCCCTTAGAAGGCCCAAGCTGGAAGTGACCTGGAGTGCAACGTCGGAAAATTAGGCTCGGCCTCATGATCTGAGCTAAGGTTGTTAATAATCAGGCTTGAAGCACAGGTGAGATTATACTGAGGAACAGGCAGCGGCTGGCATTCCCACTGCATGTGTGTGTGGGGATGGGCAGACTTATTCTCCATCTAAGGAGCTGGGTTGAGACGTCTTGTCCTTCTCTTCACTGCCTGCCTTTAAAACTTTCTCCATGTTGCATCTCCTGAAGAAAGGCATCCTTCACTGGCATAATAAAGAATTGATGTGAAACATTTTTCCATGTGATGTTTATCTTTGGAGGGATGAAATAAGAATTTGTCTTTAAAAGTTGAGTGGTAATCTCAGATGGTGGAGCTCTTTGTGCATTTATTCCTAGCTGGACCTGTGGGCACCATAGGTGTGTGTACAGTCGAGGTGGGCGTAGAGATTCTCCCCAAGACCAAGGGTTGCCCCATCCTTCCTTCGGAGGAATTATCTGCTGGTCCCTCCACCAGTCACCAGATTAAGAGTGGACCTAATCAAGGGTGTTAGAAAATATGAAAACAAGTATATAGGTCCCCATGCTACTTTGGACAGGCTTCCCCCGCGTAGCAACCTGATTTAGCTTTACTATTGAAGGATGGCCAGTCCGTTTGGGTAAAAGTAAACCTTACTTTAAAAAAAAAAAACCTTACTTTTACCATTTGGGTAAAAGTAAACCGTCAGTGTAAAAGTAAACCTTACCTGGGCTACAGGCATTTTATTGCTCTGGCAATAAAATGAATTCTCATTAAGAGTGTGGAGTTAAGAGTGAATGACTCCAGCTACTTTAGGAAGAAAATGTGAGCAAAGCTGTTTTAAAAGGCCCAGGCTGAGTTCAAGTGAATGCCTTTTGTTCCTTGGGTAGTCCGAAGCTGTTTTGGTTCCCAGATGCTAAAGGGGGAAGATACAGGCCTAGTCAAAAAAAACCAGCACAACAGGGAGGAATTATATATATACACATACATATACACACGTATATATATGTGTATATATGTATATATATGTATATAGATAGATACAGATATGTGTGTGTGTATATATATATATATATAATTATCTAAAGTTCTGGTCCTCTTCTGAGTTTTCAAAGATGTGTTCACTTCCTTCCCTGTTTGCACAGATTTTTGTTGATGTGAACTGATTGTTTCTTCTGGATAAAACCTCATGCCCTTTCCCTTGGGAGATGCCAGCCTCTGCTCACTGGTAGACCACCTGTAGGGCTTGCTGAGACACAAGTCACTGGGTCTTACCCTCGTTTCTGGCTTGGTTCAACGGGTCTGGGATGGGACAAGAGAATTTGCTTTGCTCATGAGTTCCCAGGTGATGATGCCACTGCTGCTGGCCAGGTGGCTTTGAGAACCACTCCTGGGGCTCATATGGGGCTGGGGGGAGCCCCAAGGCTCATGTGTCGGTTCTGACCAAGCTGTTTAGGCCTTGGGGGACAGTAAATTTCCACTCCTAATGTCACCAGTGTGGTGGCAGGCATTTGTTTGGGACAGTGGGGCTCTATGGCCCTGGTAATGGCTTCTGAGAAAGGCTCTGGGGCAGTGGGCAGAGTGAGCTCCAGTACCACGGACAGAACAGACCTGGGTGGCTCAGGGTTGGAGGCCCATGACTGTTACATATTTGCTTGTGCTTAATTTGCTGTTTGTTGGTGACCACTCAAGTCTGCCCAGCAGACCTTCACCGGCTGCTGTAGAGGTGGAGAGCGCTTCGTGAGCAGCCCAACGTGGCAGGAGCCCTGTTACTCTCTCAGCCGGTGGGTGCTGGCAGCTCTGCTTACAGGTGAGCATCCCCTCTCCCCCGGCAGGAGTCAGTTTTAGCACACTTACCTTTCTTTTGATTATCAGTCACTCGTATCTGATCAGTCTTTATCCTCAGCTAAGACTTGAATGCCACCTCTTTTTCCAGATGGAAGTTAACAGGCGTGTCTGAAAGGTGGGCATTTTTTCCCCCACCCTACTGGGGTCCCCACCTGCCCCATTGCCCTTTCCTAGCACTGCATTGTTTATGACCAGATTACTCTCCTCCCATTTTCCCAGCCTGGGAACTGTGGTCAGGTCAACAGTGGGCAAAAGAGATGAAAATGTGGAGGAAGTCTCAGCTGGTTCATGGTGGAGACCGTGGGTTCCTCTGCACGGCTGCTGTGAAGTTGGCCAGCACATGCCCCACTCAAGGCCTTTCGTGAGCAAACAGATCGGGTCCTATGGGCCTGGAGTTACTGCCCTCAAGGAACTGGCAGTCTAGCTGCAGAGGAAGATGGGTGAACAGACAGTTGTCATACAGGGGCTGGGGAATGTCTAAGGGGCACCTCACTGCCCGTCACTGATGGGTCACATGACAGAGAAGTTTCCCAGATGAAGTGACATTTTAGCTGAGGCTCCCTGTTCTGCAAACCTCCTTTCTCTTCCCCTACACAGAGGTGTAAGTTACAGGTGTAAGTAACACCCTAAATGTTCAGCCAACACAGTGGGTACTTGGAGGAGCATTCAGAGGAATACCAAAAGGACATGGCTAATTCCATCTTTAGGCCAATTTGTGCACACACACACCCCCTCACTCATCCCCCGCCCCCTCACTCATCCCCCGCCCCTCACTCATCCCCTGCCCCCAACACATACCCTCCCTTCCCTGCCTTTTTTCTTTTTCAACAGGCGGGCTTTTATGAAGAGCCAGCAGGCCGCTGTTGCAGTTCTTAGAACTGCAGCCTCATCAGATGCTGGATACCACCAAGGAGCCTCAAAATAGAAAATTAAACACCCAATTTACAAAGAAAGCAGCTCTCTGTCCCGGAAACTTCCCAGGGATTCCGTAGTGCAGACTGCCACTTGCCCCCAGTCTAAGCAAGCCTTTCGCTGGGAAAAGAGCTGCTGTGGCCTCCGCAGCCAGCCTGCCAAATTACACAGTCATGACTTGTCATTTTCCTTCTCTCTTTTCTTTCCTTTTTTCTCCTTTCTTTGAGAGTGGGGGTGGTGAGCCAGCCAGATGAGAGGTACATCTGCAAGTCATTTGCTGAGAAAGTGAAGGGAACACCAGCTGTGGGGTTGGGGGAGCCGAGGAAGGGGAGATCCCATGGAATAGGAGCTTGGTCACAGAGATCACTGCCTCTTTTGGAAACTCGGTAGCTTTTGTTGAGCGTAGGGCTTTTTTCCTTTCCACCACCCCGCCCGCCTCTTTCTCTCTTTCTTTCCCTTTTCCTGATGACCATGCAAGCTTTAAATATAGCCCAAGATCCACTGGGGACCCGGGTTGCTCCCCAATGTTGGAGAAGCAGTGGATGGTCTCGGAGGGGAAGTGCTGCTTCTTCCAGCAGTGAGTGCTGAAAACCCTCCAGGGCTGCTTGAAATGGAGCCGGGAAGCGGAGCTGCTCTGTCATTGCACAATCTCCCGTGTGAAAGGGGTTGGCTCCAGCCCATATCAACAGTCTCATTCCAACTGGGACCATTTCCTCCTCCTCCTCCTCCTCCTCCTCCCCCTCCTCACTTCCTGCAGGTGGCTTCTGTAATCCAGTTACCACTGGGAAGCCTCATGTGCATATGCACCTAATCTGAAAATGGCTGGCTTGACTTTGACCTGTGTGGTG
Source organism: Homo sapiens (assembly GCF_000001405.40). Taxonomy (NCBI): domain Eukaryota; kingdom Metazoa; phylum Chordata; class Mammalia; order Primates; family Hominidae; genus Homo; species Homo sapiens. The sequence goes on along the minus strand of NC_000003.12, from coordinate 66,442,338 downwards.
ACCTTGCAGAGAAGGCAGGGCCTATTGTGTCTGCTCACACCTGGGAGCCATTTTCAGCTTTTATAGCCCAAGTGGAAGAAATGTGTTTGTGTTTATGCCGGGCCTTTCCTTCATAAGGCCTGTCATTGTTGGGCCATACATAGGGAATATTGGATTCCCCCTGCTTGTTTAAAGGCAAGAGTTTTTAAAGATAGAATAGTTGACTCAGTATATTGAGTCCCATGAAATCACTGTTTGTGTTTTGTTCAGTAGTGGTCAGACATCAGCAATCTTGTATTGTTCAGCCTTTTGAGAAGAAAAAATAGTGACCGTCAGCATATATGGTACACTGATATTGGCAGGCGTTGCTCTATGGACTTCCCGGGACCTGTCTTACTGTGTCACCTCTGCAGTCCTATGAGACACAGGATCTGTTAAGCACAATTTACAGATGAGGCACCTAAAGCACAGAGACGGCAAGTAACGTGCTCAACGTCACAGAGCAAGGAAGCATCAAAGTTGGATCCTGTTATTTCTCTCCATCTCTGGGGCTTATGCTCACTGTACACTTGGAAGTATGTGGTCTGGGTGCCTAGAAGGGTCTTGTCATTTTAAGTGCTGACATTTCAAACTGTACTAGGTGTGGGAAGCCTTGGTATTGTGGCCCAGAGGCTTCGATGATACTCTGGAGTGTGGAGTCAGAGGCTCCTACCCTGCAAATGCAGCATGCATCTCCCAAAGTGGTGCTGCGTGCCTCTGTAATGCCCTTGCTTTAAAAGCCTCTTTCTGACCCGAGGTGAACTTGCTTTGGGTAGCTCTTGGTATGATTTTCTTTCACTGATGCGAAGTAACAGAAGGTCCTTCCCCCTACTATCTTTCCCTGTCTCTCTCTCTCATGTCAATTCAGAGCTGATTATGCCGGCCATCTGTGAAAGGTACAGTGAGGAAAAACACTCTTGTCGTCAGGTCTCGGCAGAGCCCAAACGTGTTCGATTGTGCCAGTAGATTCTCGGATAGTGGCTATCTGCCCCCGAAGACATCACTTCAAGGCAAATTCCTCTGCAGTTTCCTCACTTCCTGGATGCCTTTCAAACCCAAACAGCTGAAATAAAGGTGCCAGTTTGTGGTTTTTTTTCTTCCCAACTTCATCAACCAGGAGGTGAAATGTGTGCTGTGAAGTGTGCAGCCCCAGAGGTACTCATGGGCTGCCCTCTCAGGGGCCACTGGCTTCTGCCCAACTAGCTGTCCTATTGTAGAGTCTCTTTGGGGGCTCTGATACTTTTTTTCCTCGGGGACAGCTGCTGTGACGTTAGTTTGTAAATAGCAGGGCTCCTTTTCCACGTAGCGGTAGGACAAAGGTAGGTACAAATGGATCTCTTCACCTTACGCTGATTCAGGCATCATGTGGGCTTTATAGAGAGGGGGCATTTTTGCACAGTGGTTAAGAGAAGGCTCTGTATCCATCAGATCTGGGTTTGAGTCCTGCCTGCATCACCTTTGCTATGTCACCTGGGCAGGTTCTCTCAGGCCTCAGTTTTCTCACTCATAAAATGATATTTGCTGATAAGGTGGTGGTTAGGATTAACTAAACAGTATGTGTCCTCAGTATAGTGTCTGGTATATACTGAACGTGCACTGAGTGTTAGACACTCTTGCTATCTCTGACAGCTTTGTACTGAGCACCTTTGGGGTTGTGGGCAAGGCAAGCCTGCTTTTGCTGCTGTGCTCTGAGGGGCATTGCTGCTGTCTACACTGAACCCTGGAGGCCGCCTGGTATTGGAGACTGGAGAGGGGTCTATTTACATCCCATAAAAATGGATCTTACTTGCAGATATCCATCATGGCTCACCCTCCTATAAACCAGTTGAAGCTTACAGAAAACCCTCGTATATGTATCTGTTCATTCCTCTTACGGGAGCTGTTGAGGACAGCAGCAGAGTTTATTTTCTCTCCTCTCTTGTCATCTTCTGTTTCTCTACCTGGGGTAGGTGCAGCAAGCAGCAAAGTGCTAGGCAAATGTTTAAGCGGTGGCTCTCACTCATAGTAGAATGACCTAGGGAGCTTAAAAAAATCTAGATGTCTACGTCTCAGGGCAGTTAAATCAAAACCTCGAGTTAGTGGGCTGGGGAGCAGAGGGGGTGAGTGTTGGGCCCAGGCGTTGTGGTGGTTTTTTAAAAAAGCTCTCCAGGTCATTTCAGTGTGCAGCCAAAAGCTTTAATAAGCCACAGCTGGATAATTGCAACTGAAAGGCATTGTTCCTCCTCTTGTCTCCTCCCCTCTCATAACTATCATTTAAAATACCCAGGCTCCCCCACCTCCCTCCACTCCTTTTTTTCCCCCTCTTTCTTTCTCACCAGGTGGAGGGGAAATAAATATTGAGGCTGGCCTTCATTTTAGTACTTAGGACTCTGGGGATCCCTAGTAGAGGTTTTAGTTTACCTCTTTTCACTGTTGATTTAATTTGAAGATACTGTGCAGTTAGCCACAGCGTGATGAGGAAGTTGCTTTGGTGGTGCGCGGGTGAGGGTGTTTGGTCTGATTAGACCTGCCCACCTTATTTGGAGATCACAGAATTCAACTGTGGATTTGCCCCTTATCTGGGTCATTCTTTCTTCTGATAGCCCACCCAACTGTCATTTGCATTCTACCTATATGTCAGAAATGTCCCACCATGATGGTGGAAAAAACTCTCTTTATAGTAAAACAATAGGCAAAACTGACTTATTCTAAGCTCCTTAAACACCTTTTTCTTTATAACTTCAAAAGTAAGACTTGGCTCTTTTTAAAAAAAAAAAAAAGTAAATAGATGATATAGAAACTGAAGGATCTCACCCAAAAGCTTTATTGTAATATAGCAAAGTTCTGGTGCTAAAATTGAGTTGGATAATTGTATAATGGGATTTTGTGAAGGTTGTGTTTGGAATTGGATGCTAGGTTAAGTTGCAAAGAGTAGAACTTTGGAAATGAGAAAAAAAATTCCCCTTGGACTTTTTAGAATGTGACTTTTCTGCAAATCAAATGTACTTTTTATAAGGGGAAAAACAGTGGTTATCAGCATGCATAGTGAAGTTTTTCTGCCTCGTAATTGTTGGGTTCTTCTCAATCGGAATGAGAGCTGGCGTGTTGAGAAAGCCAGCATGGGCTTCGTGGGCTGGGCCCGGGGAGGCCTTGGCGCAGTTCTTCCAGGGGCTCCCCTTCCCCATGGCCTTGCAGACAGCTGTGATAAACCCTTTCACCACCTGGCTTTCCTCACGGGCTAGGCTGGCCCCTGCTCTGTCTTCCTCTCCTCTAGTGTGTGTTAACGAGAACCCTGATTTGGTGATGCTATAGCAACTATTTGGTTCCAAGTAAGAGCCCAGTGCCTGTCTTCACTTTCCCCCATTCCCTGGAAAAGAGCTGTAGTCCCTGAGAGATTCAATACGTCATCAAAGGAAATGGTGATATGGCAGAGATGTGCATTCCCTGCCTTGGTGGCCTCATGGGTCACCTCTAGGAAGAGAAAGCCAAAAGGCGTGAGTTGTTGGCATAGTGGTGAGGACCAGGTGGCCTCTCACAGCGCCATCCCTTTGTGGGCATTTCAGTAGAGGGCATTGGTCCATTTTTGCTCACCTCCAGTTGGGTGCTGGAATTTCTGCAGTGGTATCTCTGCTGCAGGGGAAGCCCTCTCACCGTCCTCTTGTCGGGACGTAACCCAAGGCTCATTCCAACTCTTGGGAACTGGGAGGAAACATCCCTTCCTGGAGTGTACAGGGCCTTTTCCCCCTTGTTAGCACCAGTAGTGTTCAGAGGAACGAGTGTCAGGGCACTTGGCTTGTGGTCCCTACTCTGACATTATGGATCCATTATAGGACGTTTCACAAAACACTTCTCTTTGTGACTTCTGTTCCCTCACCTGTAAGGAGAGGGGCTGGTTCAGTATCAACCATACTCAACCAGGGTTAAAAACACACATGGCTGCTTCCCTACTGGAGGCCTGGGCTGTATGTTCTTTGGAACAGACTCACATCCCTAGTTGAGAACTGCTGTTGTGGGTGACCCTGTAGTTCTGGGGCCCCAGGTTCCTGGCAGGCTCACATGTTTATGAATTCTGTGGAGAAGGCCGGCTGAGCTGTGTGCTCTATGTTGCAGAGTCTGCGTGGAGTGGGACAGGGGGTAGCACCCTAGCAGGCCCTTCGGGTCCGGTGCCAAATCTGGGCCCTGCATCTCATCTCTACAGGGGTTCCCCAAGGCCTTGGCTCCCAAGCATCCAGATGTGGCTCTGAGGCAGCCCTCATCCCTCCCCACTCCACACCAGCCACCCAATGAAGTACCTTCATCAATATTTGACGAAGACATGAATGAAGGGTCCCTTCGTGGCTTCCCATCCTCTATGGGACAAAGTCCCAGCTCTTTCAGAGTTGGCCCTGGCTCCATTTCTTCCTGTTCTCCCACCTCTAAATTGTGCGTAAGGAAAGCCCACACTGGGTGTGTCTCTGGATCCTGTACCTGCTTCATTTTGCTACCTTGATCTGGAATAGCCGCCCCTCTTCTGACCTCCTCCCCCCATGATGTTGTGTTCCCCTCTGCCACTGCACCTATGACATCCCTCTGTCTCCTCTGGGGCTGGGGTGAGGGGCTGATGGCACAGTAGCCACGTCCGTCTTTCCTTGCAGCAGCTGCATGTAGCAGGCATCCCATCCATGTATGGATGAATGACTCTGAGGGACCAAGTGGAAGGGTCATCTTAAGGATAAGTGATTGTGGGGTATGGGGCAGACACTAGGTTGTTTTAGATACTTATTCAAGGTGGAGAGACAGGCTTGGGCACGTTATAGTAGAAGTGGCCTGCTGAGGGGTGCTGGAGGGCGTGGCTCTCCAGCCAGGGGATAAGTCTTGCTTGCCTGGATTTACTGAAGAGGCAGGCAGGGTGTCAAGGGAGAAAAAGTATTAGTGGAAACTGCCATGTGAGAGGCCGCCTGGCCCAGAGGTGGACAGGGCTTGCCCCCAGGGCTCATTATTGGGGTTTGAGTCCTGGTTCTGCCATGTTCTAGCAGCAGCTTTTCAAGCCTCTGTTTGCTTAGATGAGAAATTGCTCTTACCTTACCACAGATGTGTCAAAAAAGGGCTCTCCCAGTCTCTGCTCGCTTGTTTGAGGGGCCAGCAGGTGGTTTGGGAAAGGCTTTCTGTGAAGCGAAGGTGGAGAGTCACTGCAGATCCCTGCAGGCGTCCAGCCCATGCTGGGAGATGCCACCCGTTCCCCACTGCAGAGACGGAAGGAAAATGAGGGAGGTGCAGCAGGCTGCGTAAAAGATGACATTAAGGAGTGCCTGGATTCTAGAGGTGCCAGTAGATGGCATTGAGGGGGAAAAGAGTGCTCTGTGTTCAGAAAGTTCAGAAAACCCAGAGTTGAAGGTGAGCACCTTTCTTTCCTGCAGAACATTTCAGAGCCTTTAGTGCTTGATGTTCCCTTTGAGTCTCCAAGGACAAGCAGAGATCTTCCTAAGATCATTTCATCATAGCTCTATTATGTTTTCATTTTCTTTCAGAGGTAGGAAGGGAGATTTTGGGAGCATGAGAGGTGCTGACCTAGAGAATGATAAAATCCACTCCTCACGTTCCCCTGGCAGTAGAGAGTGCTGCTTCCCTGTCTCTAAATGCACATCCATGAAGTTTAGACTTCGCTACCACAGGCATATATTCCCCCCTCCTCTTCAGTTCTTCCTGTGCAGGCTTGTCACAGTTTGGCTTCATTTGGAGGCTGGCACCAGACCCCCGGGCTCTGCGTTGTATGTCTTTTGACCTCAAATGAGGGGGAGAGACGTGGTGTTTCCCACAGATAGTGAGTAGTGAGCCACCTGGAATACTTGTTCTGTGGGATGTTAATGGTCGTTTCATGAAAAGGATTTTGTGGTCATGTAAGTTTAGCAAATGCCAAAGCAAGCCGAGTGAAAGGTGTTGTTATCATCTCTCCTAAGCCGCTTTTCTTTGCTGACCTGCTGAGGGAGTCTGCAAGAGGCGGGGGAGGAAATGCCCCTTCCTGAGCTTGCCTGCACCCAGCACCCTTTCCATGGAACACCTCCCAAGGCCAGTATACGAAGGATGATGCTTTGGGAGTGTGGTGTCTGGCAACCTGCGTCTGCCACTTTCTGGGCATGCACGTCTGGCACGTCTTCCTTGGCCAAGTAGTGCTGGAAGAAGACACAGGGCTGGATGACAACCCCTGATGCCAGGCAAGGGCCACGCTAGCTGTCCTCAGCTTTATCAGCAACACCCTTGTCTCTAGGAGTCCCAGCCCTCAGCCCTTTCCTAAATGATGGGAAGTAATTAAACAGTTCATGCATATCCCTACATTTCAGAAATCACACAGAGCCCAGTGGTAGTTGGTGCTTGGCTCTGAGACCTCAGTCATACTGTGTAAGTTTCTGCTGGTTTGAAGGATGGCTGGAGACTAGTAAAGTAGCAGGAAGGCTGATTCCACTGGGAACTCCCCCAGACTTTCCATCTGATTCCACCGTGAATGCCATGACACTTTTGTATTGTTGTTTTAATGATACTTAGGGATAATTGTTGATTCACATGCAGTTGTAAAAAAAAAAAAAGTAATATGGGGAGATCCCTCACGTACCCTTAAACCCAGTTTCTCCCAATGGTGACATCTTGTACAGCTTTTCATAACCAGGATATTGACATCGATGCAGTCAGAATGCAGAATATTTGTATCATTGCAAGGATCTCTCCCCTTTATGGCCACAGTCATTTACTTCTTGCCCTCACACCCTTGGTTGTCTTTTGTTTTCTTTTTGAGACAGAGTCTTGCTCTGCCATCCAGGCTAGAGTGCAGTGGTGTGACCTTGGCTCACTGCAACCTCAGTCTTCCAGGTTTACGTGATTCTTCTGCCTCAGCCTCCCAAATACCTGGGATTACAGGTATGCACCACCACACCTGGCTAATTCTTGTATTTTTGTTTTTTGTTTTTTGTTTTTAGTAGAGATGGGGTTTCACCCTGTTGGGAAGGCTGGTCTCAAACTCCTGACCTCAAGTGATCTGCCTGCCTCGGCCTCCCAAAGTGCTGGGATTACAGGCTTGACCCACCATGCCTAGCCCCCCCTGGTTGACTTCTAATGTGTTCTCCAAATTTGTAGTTTTTTCATTTAGAGTTTTATATAATGGAATAATAAAGTATGGATAACCTTTTGGGATTGGCTTTTTTCACTCAGCGTAATTCCCTGGAGGTTCATCTAGGTTATTGTATGTGTCGTTCCATTCCTTTTTAATCACAGAGTTGTATTCCATAATATGGATGTGCCGTACTTTAACCATTCACCCGATGAAGGACATCTAGAATGTTTCCAGTTTGGGGCTGCTTTTAAAAAATACTGCTATGAACATTTGTGTTTGGGTTTCTTTTGTGTGTGTGAACATAAATTTTCACTTCTCTGGGATAAATGCCCAGGAGTGCAATTGACAGGTCATATGGGAGTTGCATGTTTAGTTTTTTTAAGAAACCGTCAGACTCTTCCAGAATGGCCATACCATTTGACATTTCTACCGGCAGTGTATAGGCAATTCCGTTTCTCCACATTATGGCCAGCATTTGGTGGTGTGTTTTTTTTTTTTTTTTTTTAATTTTTTTGAGACAGAGTCTCGCTCTGTTGCTCAGGCTGGAGTGCAGTGGCATGATTTCTGCTCACTGCAACCTCTGCCTCCTGGGTTCAAGTGATTCTTATGCCTCAGCCTCCCCAGAAGCTGGGATTGCAGGCTTACGCCACCAGGCCTGGCTAATTTTTGTATTTTTAGTAGAGACAGGGTTTCGCCATGTTGGTCAGGCTGGTCTTGAACTCCTGACCTCAAATGATCCACCCGCCTCAGCCTCCCAAAGTACTGGGATTACAGGTGTGAGCTACCGCGCCTGACCGTGGTGTTGTATTTTTTTAATTTCAGCCATTCTGATAGGTGTGCAGTGATAGCTCATTATGGTTTTCATTTTTATTTGCATGATGACCAATGATGTTAAGCATCTTTTCATTTGCTTGTTTGCCACCTGTAGATTCTTTTTGGTAAAATGTCCATTCATGCCTTTTGCCCATTTTCTAATTGGATTTTTTGGTTGTTTTTTGTTGTTGTTTTGCTCTTGAGTTTTGTGAGATGTTTGTATAGTCTGGATATATATTCTGGATACCAGTTCTTTGTTAGATATGTGATTTGTAAATACTTTCTCTCAATCTGTAGCTTGTCTTTTCATCTTAGCAGAGTCTTTCACTGAACAAACATTTTTAATTGTGATAAAGCCTAATAAGTGTTAAGTTTTCCTTTTATGGATTGTGCTTTTAGCGTCAGGTCTAAGAATTTTACCTGTAGATCCCAAAGATTTTCTCTTGTGTTTTCTCTTAAAAGATCTGTAGTTTTATGTTTTGCATGTAAGTTCATGATGACATGTTTTTAAAAGCCTGAAATAGGGAAGAAACTTGAAGCTTGTGGTTCCACAAAAGAAACAGCAAGAATTGCTTCTCATAGGACCCCAGCATGGACAAGGCACGGGTTGAGATGGTTCTGGGGTACAGAGAAGGGGTGCTGCAGACAGTGCCACTTTGGTGTTGTAACAAATCATTTTTGGGGTGGGTGAGGAAGGGCTGCGTTAAAGGGCCAACTCCTCAATCCCACCCATACCCATCCTTAACCCTCCCGGAGCACTGTCAGGTCATATGCTGAAGGCTTGAGAAATTGCGTGGTAAGAGATATTGTAAATCGTATGATTGGGAGATCAAAGTCTTTCAGTTGGGGCAGGAAGCAGGCCTGGTTTTATTTTTAAAGGCACATCAGTGGTATCCCTCCCCAGAGGAGGAGAGGATCTTGTCTTAGAGGCTGCAGCCAAGTGCTGAAACAGCTTCCTCCTTTGCCTGGAACTGCAGAGCTGTCAGGAAGCTGGCATGTGAATCTCAGGGAATGTGCCAGTGGCCAGTAGAGGTGAGGGGCCCATGTGTAACCTCAGAGGGAGCTTTAGCGCTGCAGCACCCACAGTCCCCTCTCTGTCTTCATAGCCGCAGGCTGTCTGGTCTGGCTTACTGTGCCACTGTCACTCCAGAGAGCGGCACAGCCTGGAGTCAGAGGATACCTATGCTTGCATCTTGGTTAGCTGGGTGACTTCATACCAGGGTCTTAACCTCTCTGATTCTGGAGTAGGTGGTGGCTTCTCTGGCGTGGTGGTAAGCAATGAGCGAACAAGTTTCTTTTGTTCCCTGGAGAGTGCTCAGTTCTGTGCCTTTATACTTACTGCCTGAGGAAATAAGAGCCACTCTCACCCACCTGTTTAGGATGGGGACATGGCCGCTGACCACTCCAGTCATCCTAAATATAAATAGAGGTGGTCTGGCTGGGCCCTCTGGCAATGCTGTGTTGACATGCTGTGGGCTGAGGGCCTGGAAGCCTACGTGTGGGTGTGGGCCCCTGGCAGGACTGGGGATGAACAGTGGCTTGCGACAGGACATTCCCCTTCTTGTTCCCTCTGTATCTGCAGAGTCAGGTCCTGCCTCTGCTCCAGTCACATGGTGTGGCCCCAGTGTAGGGTTATCCCTGTCCCTGGTGGATGCCGAGAAGAGGTGGGAGGTATGGGGTGCTATCAAGAGAAGCTGTCTTCCTCAGGTTTCTTCTGCCCGCTTCCCTGGTGAGGCAGTTCCACATCCTGACTAGGAGTGTGGGATATGGATTCCTGTTCCGGGCTCCAGTCCCAACTGCACTGCTTACTGCTGTGTAACCTTCAGCAAGTGAGTTGACCTTTCCGTGCCTTAGCATCCCCATCTGTAAAATGGGGACGGTAATAGTGGCCGCCTCTGGGGTTGTCATGAAGATTAAATGAGGGAAGATGTTAAGAGCGAAGCCAGCGCCTAGCTACTGGTAAGCACTAACAAAATGTTAGATTTGTTCCCACTGTTCCTGCCATTATGGCTACTCCTGCCACCCCTTCTACTGGAAAGAAAATGCAGTGTGACTCCTCCATAGCTAAGCATCAAGGGCAAGCTCCCTGGACATCCATGGCCCTGTGCAGCATTGGAACCACTTCCTGGAGGCCGCAGAAGCACCAGGGCTCCATTCCAGACTCCGGCTACAAAGGCCCTTTGAAGTTTGCACCACCTGGAGCAGGCTTTTGTGCCATGAGAGTGTCGGGGGCAGGGGGTTCAGGAGGAGGTTCTGTGTGGAAAACCCTCCTTTGTGCCTGGTGGACTGGTGGTGGAATGCTCAGGCCACCCTGGGCTGTACCAACCCTACACAGCTCTCCACCACACTTCTTAGTCTGCTCTGCACTTAAGGATTAGGTCCCAAAGTTCATTGTCTACGTTTTCATTAACTGCTTTGTAAATATAAATTTAATGTCACATAATTGACAGGCAGTATGCAAAATGGGGTGGGGATTCCATTATCATCGTACTGTGAGAACAACATCCTGTATTCCCTATCTTTTTTTCTACGTGTATCTTCTAGAGAGGGACAGTCATGTGAATTGGTGGGCTGTGTGCCCTGCTTTTGGTTTAGCATGGTGGCATGGACAGTCTCCAGGTGTGTGAGTGCTGCAGACCGCTTTGCCCAAGGCTGAGATGGAAGGGTGGCTGTGAGAAGGAGGTTCATTCTGCTCCCTTTGGGAATTTGGCGTGAGGTCAGCATGTTTCTCAACAGTGGTTCCATTTTTTCAGGTCCTAGTTGGTGAGGTCAGAGGAACAGAAACCACAATAGCTCATGTCAGAGCTCATTGGTCTTGGACTCCTGGGTGACCCCCTCCCCCAGTTGCTGACCAGTCCCTGTGGAACTTGGGCAGAGGAGGTCCTTGCTGTGTGAAGTGCAGTATCTCCATCATTTCACACCCCTGGGCTCGGGACTTCCCACCTCACCCTAGTTGGCGGAGCCTTCTTTGGAAGAAAACCATGCATGGCAGCCTCCTGATACCCTCCAACGTGGGTAGTGCGGACGCTTCTTGGTTAAAATTTCTGGGGTTAGTCCCTGGCCTTAAGGGACACTCTCATCACCTCATTCTTGATCGTTGCCATCTCACCTTTTCTGCTTTTCTTGTCCAGAAACAGTTGCTCAGCCCCTGGAGTCTGGTTGAATCCATGTCTCTCATTCTGTGTCCTGGTTTTCTTACCTCCTTCCCTCAAGGGGCAGAGCTGAACAGGCAGGGACACATGTGCCCTGACAATTGTAATGAAGTATGTTTAGCCTTCTTCTCAAAGGGAAATCAGAGGGGTTCAGTTCAGCTGTGCCGTACCCGGGATCCACGGTTGTGCCGGGCTTGCTGGCTCCACATGACACAGCTTGATAGCCCGGTGCTCTGCCAACTTTCAGGGTGGGGCCTGTGCTCTACGAGGGCTGAGAGCTTGTGGCGGGGTCTCGGTGTGGTGGAGGGAACACCATCAGTGTGCTGGGGTGTGGGGTAGCAGGTCACCAGGGAAAGGAAAACAAAGGGGGAAGAAAATAGGGATGTATTGATACATTTGGGGGAAAACACAGCCCTGAGAGAGAAGCAAGTGTCTATGTTGGCCCTGAGCAAAAGCGATAAATACGTTTGGCTCTTCTGACCCAGAGGTGGGCATATGTGGCTGGGAATTCTGGTGGAAGTGGCTCATTGTCCATCTCTGGCCCAACTTGAGCCTGGTTTTTCATCTCTTAGCCCAACCTGGTACTGCTTTGCCATGCCCAGATGCCAAGACAGCTGACCTCCGTGTGGACATGGAACTAACTCCTCAAGCCCCTTAGAAGTCACTGCCCATGTTAGGATGGCATAGCCTTTCTCCCTGGGAATGTGATCCATATGTGGCTTGTACAGCTTCCTCGGGTCAGCAGTGTCCACGTGGAACTCCCAGGGGAGGCGTGTGGATGGGGACCTCAGGCAGGGCCGAGCTGTGGCTAGAAGTGAGTGAGGGAGAGATTGTTGGCCAGCCTTGGATAAGCATAATTGTCTCAACATTGCAAGCCAGTGAGGGCCAGTGTTTGGGGTTCAATTGAATGTGGGAAATGCGTAAGTAACCCCCACCCCGTGCTATTTGAAAATCGAAAATCCATCGTATTCGACATTTGCTTTTAAATAGGTCTGTCAGCTTCCCTACCTTTTTTAAAAAAGTTAACTCCACGTTGTGTCTTAAATTTTTTTCTTTTTAAAAGTTTTTAATTGGATGGTTGGTCCTGCCTCAGTGTTTTTTTTTTGTTGTTGTTGTTGTTGTTTTGTTTTGTTTTTCCTGAGTAATGTTCCTTGGTTCAGGTTTGTTGTGGTGAATGTAAGACATTGAACTAAAGTTGTAATTTGTTTGTTTATTCAACAAATATTGATTGAGTACCTTTTAAGTTCTAAGCGTTATTCTGGGGGCTAAGGCTATAGCAGTCAATACGATAGACTAAAAATTCCTAGCCGGTGTGCGGTTTATATTCTACCCAGTCGAGACTGCAGGACTACTTAATACTTTAGGAGGTTTTGTTTTGTTTTGTTTTTAATTAATGGACTTTTATAGCAGTTGTAAGTTTACAGAAATGGAGTGGAAAGTACGGAGAGTTCCCATATGCCCCCGCCATCTCTTCTCTCTCCCCCTCACACACACACACACACACACACCCACCCTGTTTCCCCTATTGTTAACATCTTGCATTAGTGTGGTACATTTGTTACAACTGATGAGTCAATATCGATCCATTATTACTAAAGTTTATAGTTTACATTAGAGTTCAGTCTTGGTTCTGACAAATGTATAATCACATGTGCCCACCATTACAGTGTCATACAGAATAGCTTCACTGACCTAAAAATCTCCTGTGCTGAACCTGCTCATCTCTCTCTACCCAGCCTCTGGCAGTTAAATATTGTTACTGTCTCCATAGTTTTGCCTTTCTCAGAATGTCATACATTTGGAATCATACAATTGGTAGTCTTTTCAGATGGGCATCTTTTACTCAACAATGTGTATTTCCTTAGGAGTTTTGCTGCTGCTCTTGTTTATTTGTGCATCTTAAATGCAGAACATTCTGATAGTTTGGATTGGGTCCTGGGTCATTCATGAGTTGGGTCACTCTAGACTTCACAGAACAGTGGTGGCCAGCTGTTGATCGTACCTAGATTTTTTCGTTTCAGGGATCCGGGGCTTTCAGTTCAATGGGTGTAAGTTGATGGGTGGGAGAACCAAATGGGATCTGCTGTAGCAAGGTCCCTGGGGTTAGGTAGTCTCATGGGGATGGGACATTGGGTCGTCTTTGCAAGGAGTTAATGGAAGCTGTTTGTTGAAGACCCAAAGGGGAGGGTGACCCTAAAGGAAGTGAACGGGTTGGGAGGTTGGTTGACACAGCCCAGTCCTGCCTTTGGAGAGGTTGACCCTGCCTGGCGGAGGCTGTTTATCCCGCCACTGGGCTGCTCTTGTTTTTTATCCAGTCTCCACCTGAATAAACAGATCTGGAACGTCATCTGCAGCCAGGCTGAGAATCTGCCAAAATTCCCCAGGGAACTGGTGATTCACCAGCAGCAGGGGAAGAGAGAGGGAACAAGCAAGAGAGAGAGACCTGCTTATTCTGATTCTCATTTCCTGTCCAGCAAATAACCCAGGCTGGGCTGTTTCTTACGAGACAGCAGTTCTTTGAGTAAATGATCAATTTCTGCAATAGAACAAATGATTTTGATTTTAATTTTTAAGAAGATGGATGTAAAGCAGGCTAGAGGGAAATGGTTTCAACTGTCATTCTGAGAAGGGAGACTTTTATTCAAGTTGGATTAGGAAAGCTCTTCCGCATTCACTTGTTCTTGAAAAATGTCTCATCTTAATTTTCAAGTTCTGTATGGGCATTGGTCCTGGCACAAGTGCATTATCGTAAGCTGTGGACTTTAGCATCAACATTATTTCTTGCCAATTTTGAGACTTAGAATTATTCTTTTTTTTTTGTGATCATTAGGCCCTCACTTATTTTAAAAAATTCTACTGGACACCTGAAGAAGATTAGATTGAGCTTGGCCATGTTCGGTGGCCCCAGGCTATATTCCTAATGTGTTTTTTGGGGAGGGGTCAGAAAGGGGACATATGAGGGCAGTGGCATCTGAGAATGTGGTCAAATGAAGCAGCATGAAACAGGGCACTTGGAGCTAATGGTTTTCAGATTCATTTCAACCCTGGGGGACTTGATTTAAAAGAAAACTACCAGTGTCTGCTAAGGCCAGACATATGCAAGCTCAATGACCTGAGTAGCAATTCCATGCCTGGACATTGCACGCCTGCCAAAAATGCATGCAGACATGCACCAGAAAGCAAGTGCAGAAGACAAGTCCGTGTTCATAGCTGTGATTTTTGCAATAGCCTGAATTGGAAATAACTCAATGTCCGTCAACAATAGAAAGAAAAAATAAATTGCTGTATGTTCTGTCAATAGAAATATCGTACAGTGATAGAAAAGAATTAACTACTGCTAATGCAGCAACCCAGATGGATCTCATAAACAATGTTGAGTGGAAGTAGCCAAATAAAAAAGGGTATGTACAGAACAGTTTTGTGTCTGTACAGCACAGAAATAGGCAGAATTAATTGTGGGTGGTAGAAATTAGAGGTTTCCTTTGGGAGGAATAACAACCAGGAGACAGGAGGAGGGAGGCTTCTGGGTGCGGAAATTTTTCTCTACATTTTGTAAAAATCCTTTATATTTCAATAAAAATGTTTACAAACAAAACAACTGCCAGCATTTGGCCATATGGCCTGTCTGATAGTGCTGCAATTTTAAAAAAAATTTTTTTAAGAGATGAGGGTCTCACTGTGTTGCCCAGGCTGGTCTCGAACTCCTGGCCGCAAGCAGTCCTTCTACTGTTGGCTCCCAAAGTGTTGGGATTACAGGCCAGAGTCACTGTGCCCAGCCTGTGTCTTCTGACAAGGAGAAATCATCACCTTCATGTGTGTTTTTGAAATGGTTAATGTTTTTTGGCATTTGCAGTCATAAAGTACACCTCCTTAGGTAGGCATCAGGGCTGGTGTGCCCTGTACTAAGTTTCATCTTCCGTCAGTAATATGAGGGTCTCAGATAGTCTCACATTGTGTGGATTCCAGGTGTGATATGTTGTTAAGATACACTGTAGCCTCAGAAGGCATATGTGAATGTGTGCACGCCTTCATTCATTTTGATTATTTTGAGTGCGTGCTGTATGTGGGTGGTGACAGTGAGTGTGTGATGCAGAGCCTTGGTAAGAATTCCAGTGCAGCACCATGATGGGCAGAGTGCTGCAGGGTGTGGAGTTTGATGAAACCTGTCTGCCAGGATCACTTTGTTGGGGTAATGGGGGCCGGGGGTGTTAGATTTTTTTTCCCCCCAGTCTAGGGCTAGATTATGTGAAACTTATTTTCTAACCGGAGGTTCAGGCGAAGCAAAGAGCTATTATGTGGATTTCGCTTATTCATTAAGTAAGACGTGTTAAGATTTGATCTTGAAGTAAAACTGTGGTAGATTTGCCATTTCGGTGAGAGTCCACACTCAGATAGTTGACTGTGGACTTTGTGAATCACTGTAATTGTCTGGAAGGGCGGAAGGGCACAGCTTCTTAGATCTTAGGGATGGAGAGCTGGCCAGCTTCAGTATGTTTCAGACTAATTGGCGGAACTGAAACGAGGAAGGATATAGGATATACAGTGTGGATTTCTGTCTTCTGTAAAGTAACCCTGTTTGCCCATCTATCTTCACTGGCTCCAGTAAGGAACCTGGTTGATCTCTTGAGGAACATAACAGTGGTAGAGAGACTTATGTTCCATTTCACTTTCTGAAGAGGTAGAAAAGACATTGGCAGAAAAGACTGTGATTAGTGATGTCTGACATGGGCACTGGAGGGACAATGGGAAAGTTTTCTCTCTGCAGTTAAGAGGTATTTCCTTATTTTGCAGGTGGTTAAACGAGGTAGAGAAAGAGTGATTTATACATGGTTCCAAAATTGCATGACAGCAAGAATTAGAGTCTGGGTCTCTGCACCCCAAGAAACACAAACTGGTTGCCATAGGGTTGACAGGGTCAGCACACCACAGACAGTGGTCCCAATCCTGGCCCACTGCTTGTTTTTGTAAATAAAGTTTTATTGGAACATAGCCACACTCATTCATTTACATATTGTCTGGCTGCTTTTACATTATAACAGCAGAACTGAGTGGTCATGACAGAGACAGTATGACCCACAAAGCCTAAAAATTTACCATCTGGCCCAATGTAGAATAAGTTTGCTGGCCCCTGGTGTAGAAAATAGGTGCATAATTTCAGGGGTCAGAAATTACCCACTTGACCCACCTTGTCCCAACTGCCTTTGATCTCCTTGCCCTTTCTTCCTGGCTGTTATCTGTGACATGAGATCTTTTCCACCACTAACGGGAATACCTTGTAAACCAGGCTTTCACAGAACTGTAGTGGAACAATCACTTATGAGAAAAAGTTTTAAATGTTGGTTTCAAATGCCTCCATCTGTTTCACTGTCTAATTTAACATCAGCTCTGAAAATGTAGCCAACTGGGGAGAGCTTATCTTGCCTGCTTTCCGCCTTTGAAGACTGATTTTATTTTTGAAGCCTTTAACAGGTGTTGGTTTAATAGACTTCTGCTGTATTAAGTTCTCCTCGCTCCAGAGGGCAGCCCAAGGGGTAAACTGACACTGTGGATGGAGGCGAATGCCACGTGACCTGGCCACCACACACTTCCCCCGGTCCCCATAAGTGCAGAATCACTGGTTTTGTCTGGTTGCAGAGAAAGGCTGCGCTGTTCCTTTGATGAGGCCAATAAGAACTGTTCCTAGCACAACACTGTCCTCTTGCCTTGCACCATCCTCACCCTTTTTTGTAAACTTAAGTGGATCCCTTTGCAGCTTACCTTCCCTAACAATAAAGATACTCCTTCCTCCCTCGATGGCAGATCTTTCAAGATCTCAAAGAAACTGCCCTTTTCTTTCCATCCAGAACATTCAAAGTAAAAACTTGAGCTTTATCTGCCTTATTTGCTGAGATTCTGTCACATGAAGTCCTGTGCACATTTGCTTCTCACACAGGACTCTGGGAAGCTTGTATGAGAGCTGGGCCACCTGGCCGAGGCCAAGCTACGTAGAACAGGCTGAGTTGACTGAGAAATGGCCAGCTAATGTTCAGATTTAGCCAAGCTTTGGAAGTTTATGGGTGGAATCTGGGCCAGTGCCCTTAAAGTTCTGCCAGGAGAGCCTCTCGGACGGGCTAGATAGGGTCATGCTTCCCTGGGCTTGCATCCCGGCTCCTCTTGCTTCCCAGCTGTGTGACCTTGGGCAAGCTCCAGCAGACTTCTGAGCCTCAATTTCTTCAATTGCCTAAGTATAGATGCTTCTCAACTGACAATGGAGTTATGTCCAGATAAACCCATCCTAAGTTGAAAATATCATTAAGCAAAAAATGCATTTAATACCTCTAACCTCCTGAATACCACAACCTAGCCTAGTCTACCTTAAATGTGCTCAGAACACTCATATTAGTCCACAGTTGGGCAGAATCATCTAACACAAAGCCCATTTTATAATAAAGTTTTGAATATCTCCTATAATTTATTGAACACTGAGTGGAAAACAGAATGGTTTTATGGGTACTTGAAGTACAATTTCTATTGAATGTGTATAGCTTTTGCACCATTGTGAAGTCCAGAAATCGTTAAGCTGAACCATCGTAAGTCAGGGGCTGCCTATAAAGATAATAGTACCTACCTTGTTAGATTGCTGTGTGATGGCATTGATGCTTTGCCCAGGATCTACTGTGTATATAATAGGTGTTCATTAATTGGTCAGCTGTTGAGAGGCAATAAAAAGAGGTATGGATCTTCTTGGGAACTGTGCAGTTAGTTATGTTAAAGGAGTGAAAATGATGACCACTTGGGTTTGCATGTGGAATTGAAAACATGGATAGTTTCCTGAAGGTGGAATGCCGGGTTGAGCGAGGGCAGCAGACACGTTTCCATGGCATCAACTCTCAGGCAGGAGGTGGGAAGGCTTCCCTGCAGGGGTTTGAATGCCAGCTGTTTACTCTAACCTTCATGGGGGGGAGACCTAGAGAGGGTATCTTAGACCAGCAGGCTACCTCTGGAATGGTGGGGTTGGTGGGGTTTGGTGGGCTTGGGTCAGGGACGTGGCCTCAGTTCCACTTGCTGTGGGAGTGGGGGTGGGGGGTGTCATCCAGATGCTGGGGAATCTGTCAGATGTCTAGCCACCCTGAATCCTGCAGAAGTTGCAGTCTGGGATTTGCTTTGAAACGTGGGGTCTTCCCAGTGGCTGGGTTTGACACTCTCCAGCTGGAGCAGGCTTCTTTTATGCTTGAAGTTAAGAGTGAGAGCTCTGAGTCAGCCCTTCGTTCCTGAGAGGGGAGCCAGAGCTGCTTGTTTGCACTGAAATATGTCAGAAGAGTAGACAAGAACCAGTCATTAATTTTATTCTTTTTTCCAGAGCACCTCCTACAGACTAGATCCTTAGCCTGGCTCTGATGACACAAGCATGACTACTAAAAACAAGAACTCATTTTATTGAGCAGTTGTTACGTGTCAGGTCATATCAGCCCATGGGGCATATGAACTTCACACATCACTTTACAGAGGGGCTCTTCTGAGGTTCACACCTGTGAGTGGGATAGCTGGGATTTGAACCTGGGCAGGAAGACACTCAAGGCATATTGTTCCACAGTGCTGTGCCATGTTCCACAGCAGGAAGAACTCCACATGTGCCTTGGAGACCATGGACAGGACTTACTTGGGAGACACAAGAATCATCATTTGAGATTTAGACAGAGGAGTGCTGTGAACTGAGTCACATTTTGTTTTAATTTGTTTCTTTTGAGATGGAGTTTTGCTCTTGTTGCCCAGGCTGGAGTGCGGTGGCGTGATCTTGGCTCACTACAACCTCTGCCTCCCAGGTTCAAGCAATTCTCCTGCCTCAGCCTCCCGAGTAGCTGGGATTACAGGCATGCGCCACCATGCCCGGCTAATTTTTTATTTTTAGTAGAGACAGGGTTGCTCCATGTTGGTCAGGCTGGTCTCAAAACTCCTGACCTAAGGTGATCCGCCCACCTCAGCCTCCTAAAGTGCTGGGATTACAGGCGTGAGCCACCGTGCCTGGCCTTGTTTTAATTTTAAATTGTGGTAAAGTACACATAACATAAAATTTACCATCTGAAGTATTTTTTAAAATGTGGAGTTCAATGGTGTTAAATGCATTTATGTTGTGCAACCAGTCTCCAGAACTTTTTTCCATCTTGCAAAACTAAAACTTCATACCTATTTGATATGGTTTGGCTGGGATGATGTCTACCCAGATCTCATCTTGAATTGTAACTCCTACAATTCCCATGTGTCATGGGAGGGACCCAGTGGCAGGTGATTGAATTATGAGGGTGGGTCCTTCCTGTGCTGTTCTCATAATAGTGAATGAGTCTCACAAGATCTGATGGTTTTAAAAACTGGAGTTTCCCTGCACAAACTCTCTTTTTGCCTGCTGCCATCCATGTAAGATGTGATTTGTTCCTCCTCGCCTTCTGCCATGATTGTGAGGCCTCTCCAGCCAGGTGGAACTGTGTGTCCAATTAAATCTCTTTCTTTTGTAAATTGCCCAGTCTTTGTGTCTTTATCAGCAGCGTGAAAAATAACTAAGACAGTAAATTGGTACCAGTAGAGTGGGACATTGCTGAAAACATACCTGAAAATGTGGAAGTGACTTTGGAACTGGATAACAGGCAGAGGTTGGAGCACTTTGGAGGGCTCAGAAGGCAGGAAGATGTGGGAAAGTTTGGAACTTCCTAGAGACTTGTTGAATGGCTTTGACAAGAATGCTGATAGTGACATGAACAATAATGTCCAGGCTGAGGTGGTCTCAGATGGAAATGAGGAATTGTTGGGAACTAGAGCAAAGGTGACTCTTGTTATGCTTTAGCAAAGAGACTGGCAGCATTTTGCCCCTGCCCTAGAGATTTGTGGAACTTTGAACTTGAGAGAGATGATTTAGGGTATCTGATGGAATAAATTTCTAAGCAGTAAAGCATTAAAGATGTGACTTGGGTGCTGTTAAAGGCATTCAGTTTCAAAAGGGAAACAGAACATAAAAGTTTGGAAAATTTGCAGCCTGACAATGCAATAGAAAAGAAAATCCCATTTTCTGAGGAGAAATTCAAGCTGGCTGCAGGAATTTGCATAAGTAATGAGGAGCTGAATGTTAATCACCAAGACAATGGGGAATATGTCTCCAGGGCATGTCAGAGATGTTTGCGGCAGCCCCTCCCATCACAGGCCTGGAGGCCTAGGAGGAAAAAGTGGTTTCGTGGGGCAGGCTCAGGGTCCCTGTGCTGTGTGCAGCCTAGAGACATGGTGTCCTGTGTTCCAGCTGCTCCAGCTGTAGCTGAAAGGGGCAACATAGAGCACGGACCATGGCTTCAAAGGGTGGAAGCCCCAAGTCTTGGCAGCTTCCATGTGGTGCTGAGCCTGCAGGTATGCAGAAGTCAACAGTTGAGGTTTGGGAACCTCTGCCTAGATTTCAGAGCATGTATGGAAATGCCTGGATGCCCAGGTAGAAGTTTGCTGCAGGGGCGGGGCCCTCATGAAGAACCTCTGCTAGGGCAGTGTGGAAGGGAAATATGGTGTGGCCCTCATGAAGAATGTCTGCTAGGGCAGTGTGGGATCCCCCACACAGAGTCCCTACTGCGGCACTGCCTAGGGAAGCTGTGAGAAGAGGGCCACTGTCCTCTAGACCCCAGAATGGTAGATCCACTGACAGCTTGCACCGGGCACCTGGAAAAGCCGCAGACACTCAACGCCAGCCTGTGAAAGCAGCTGGGAGGGAGGCTATACCCTGCAAAGCCATAGGGGTGGAGCTTTCCCAAGACCATGGGAACCCACGTCTTGCATCAGCGTGATCTGGATGTGAGACATGACTGCCCCGCTGGATTTTGGACTTGCATGGAGCCTGTAGCCCCTTTGTTTTGGTCAATTTCTCCCAGTTGGAATGGCTATATTTACCCAATACTGATACCCCTATTGTATCTATGAAGTAACTAGCTTGCTTTTGATTTTACAGGTTCATAGGCAGAGGGACTTGCATTGTCTCAGAAGAGACTTTGGACTGTGGACTTTTGAGTTAATGCTGAAATGAGTTAAGACTTTGGGGGACTGTTGGGAAGGCATGATTGGTTTTGAAATGTGAGGATGTGAGATTTGGGAGGGGCCAGGGGCAGAATGATATGGTTTGGCTGTGTCCCCACCCAAATCTCATCTTGAATTGACTCCCACAATTCCTATGTGTCATAGGAGGGTCCCAGTGGGAGGTGATTGAGTTATGGGGGCAGGTTTTTCCTATGCTGTTCTCATGATAGTGAATGAGTCTCATAAGACCTGATGGTTTTAAAAACAGGAGTTTCCCTGCACAAGCCCTTTTTTTTGCCTGCTGCCATCCATGTAAGACATACTTGCTCTTCTTTGCCTTCTGCCATGATTGTGAGGCCTCCCCAGCCACGTGGAACTGTGAGTCCAATTAAACCTCTTTCTTTCATAAATTGCCCAGTCTCAGGTATGTCTTTATCAGCAGCATGAAAATGGACTAATACACCGTTAAACAACAGATCTTCCTTCTGCGGTCTCCCCGGTCCCTGGACACCACCATTCTACTTTCTGTTTCAGTGGATCTGACTACTCTAGCTACCTCACATAAGTGGACCATACAGCATTTGTCTTTTTGTGACAGGCATCTTTCACTTGGCATCATGTCCGCAATGCTCATCCATTCAGTAGCACGTGTTAGAATTTCTTTTCTTTTTAAGGCTGAGTAATATCTCATTGCATGTATATACAACATTGATGGACATTTGGGCTGTTCCACCTTTGGCTGTGGTGAGTGATGCTTCTATGAATGTGAGGATACACATGTCTCTTTGAGGTCTGCTTTCAGTTATTTAGATATGCAGAAGTGGAATTGTGGGATCATATGGTGTGCCTCTGTTTAATTTTTTGAGGAATCTCCATAATGTCTTCTTCTGCAGGTGCACCACCGTTTTACATTTCTACCACTGGCATACAGGGTTTCACTCTCTCCACATCCTCACCCACACTTGTTATTTTCTGTTTGTTTTTTTGTTTTGTTTTGTTTTAATAGTGGCCATCCTAGTGGGTGTGAGGTGACTTCTCATTGTGGTTGTGGTTTACATTTCCCTAATGAATGGTGATGTTGATCATCTTCTCATGTGCTTCTTGGCCATTTGTGTGTTTTCTTTGGAACAATGTTCAATTCTTGGCTCATTTTAAAAATCAGGTTGGTTGTTTTTTGTTGTTGTTGTAGAGGTTCTTTATATCTGGATATTAGCCCCTTATCAGAAATGTGATTTGCATATATTTTCTCTTATTCCGTGGGATGCCTGAAGTGACTTATTTTTAGCGGGTCTCTCTGGCTGCTGGGTTGGGAATAGACTGTAAGTGGGCAAGGATGGAAGGGAAGGTCTAGTCAGTAGCCCATGGGCATGGTTATCTTCCATTTCCAAGCTAGAACATTTTGAATCATTATTGATGCCCCTAGTTGTCATCTCCAGCCCCCACCAGGGCAGGGTGTTTCAAGGTAGGATGCTGAAGTTGGGAGGAGACAGGTGGGGAGAGGCCAGCAGCTTTGATCAGAGGGTGGAGCTGGTAGGGTGGGTAGGACCTAATCAGAGGGTCTCTTGTGCCTGTCTCTGTATTGCCGCCATCTCTCTCCTGGCCCACTGTGGCATCCATTCCCAACTTGTTAGCTTGGGCTGCGAGGCATTTGCTGTTGTGGTCCTGCCCACCCTACTAGCTCTGCAATCTGATCCAAGCTCCTGGCTTCTGCCTACCTGTCTCCTCCTGGCCTCAGCATCCTACCCTCAGACATTCGCCCTGGCACCTTGTGCACTCCCTTGCTCCTCTCACAGACCCTGCCACTGTGGCCCTCACTCCCACACACCCTTGTCTCCCATCTCCACGGCTGCCTCTTCTGCCAAATGGGGAACTTTCCCAGCGGGTGAAAGAGACTTGTCTTCTGCACAGGGTCCTTTATGCAGAGTGGGGCCCGGATTGTGTTTGATTCAGCGAATGAAAAGACTGACAAGGAGCAAAAGGTACCGGACCACAGACAAAGACTGAGGAGACAGAGGAGGAGGTGGGGAGAGGACAGAACTGGCGTGGGAGAGATGTTGGGCCTGCAGCTGTCCCACGGCTTCGCAATGTAAGGCCTCACCCCCTCTTTGTGCCTTTCTGGGCCGGTGGCGCCCGGCCCTTCTGTCCAGCACAGACCCTTTTCCTGGCGCCCTGATACCACATTCACAGTTCCCGGATAAGACTCAGCTCTGTCGCCTTTATTTCTTGTTTCTTTTCTTCCCATACTTTACATAATAAAGGTTTTCTTTTCTTTTTTCCTTTGGAGCCAGAAAACTGAGGAGACTATCTTTATTAAAGAACTTAATAAAGAACTCAAAGGAAGTGGCTTTGGGGGCTGGGGAGGAGAGGAAGGGAAAGGGTCCTTTCATGCCGGGGAGGTTCTGTGTGCAGAGTTGCACCCTTGGAAATGGACTTTCGAGTTCAGGGCCTGGGAGACGCATGAAAAAAACAAAGGAGTCCACGAGAAGCCCCAGAGCTTCTGGGAAAGAGGTCCTTGTTTATGCCTGTTGGAACTGATTCGGTCAAGTGTTTGTTTAAAGGAGATGCCACTTGGTAAGCGACGCCTGGCTTACTTGTGTTGTGTTCAAGAATGCTTTGATTGGCCAGAGATGCTGACACTGTTTATTCAGAACTGGCTCGAGTGCCAGTGCCTGCAACCTAGAGGCCCAGCGCCACCACCCAGCAGATTCCTAAGTGTCTAATATTGGAGTGAGGGCTGCAGTGGTTTGACTCTGCCAGGCGGCGCCAAACCCACAACAGGGCGGTTAGCTACCTCTAGCCTTGGCTAGCATTCGTCTTTCTCTTGACTTATAACTGTTGCTTGTTTATATAGTGGGTTTGACAGAAAGTAGATTAAAGGTGCGCACAGGCCAGCTGTGGTGGCTCACGCCTGTAATCCCAACATTTTGGGAGGCCAAGGCGGGTGGATCATGAGGTCAGGAGATCGAGACCATCCTGGCCAACACGGTGAAACCTTGTCTCTACTAAAAAAAATTAAAAAATTAGCTGGGTGTGGTGGCACGTGCCTGTAATCCCAGCGATCTGGGAGGCTGAGGCAGAAGAATCGCTTGAACCCAGGAGGCGGAGGTTGCAGTGAGCCAAGATGGCGCCACTGCACTCCAGCCTGGCGACAGAGCGAGACTCTGTCTCAAAAACAAAAACAAAAACAAAACAAAAAAAAAACACAAGTTACAGTGGAACATTCCTGTCTTGGGAGGTGGTGACCACTAAACATTTACCTTCAGATTTGCCACATGCTTTATGTGGTTTTAGGCTGGATCGTCCCTATCCCTGAAGTGATGGGTTGTGGCCCCATCTTCCAAATGAGAAAACCGAGGCACAATGCTTAATATTAATGGTAGAGTCGGGAGGTTCAGGGAACTCAATTTCAGTTAGACTCAGCAGTGAGCTCCTCTTTCCCATTTTACATTGTCAGGATTTTGTCGTAATCTTTTTTTTTTTTTCTTTTTCTTTTTGTTTAAATCCTCTGTGTCTGGTATATGGTAGGTGTTGGTAAAATGTGAGGTGTGTAATGATGTGTTAAACTGGATTAAAGTGAACTCTGGGCTGTGGTGCCTATGGCTCTTGTAAGTTATGAGGCTGGACTAGGTCTGAGGATGATGGGTGAGAGTTGGACTGGAGCTGTCTGGCTGCACAGGACAGGGCACATCCTTTATGGTGAGTGCATCCGTGGATTCTGGTCAGGTCATGCTGGTCTCACATGGTCTTCAGTGTCACTGCTGTGTTGTTGCCCTTGGAGAGGGAAGCCTAGGGATAGAACTTTGATAAACTTGTCCCAGATTGAAAATCCAATATTCTCCTAGCATCTGGCCAGCAGGTAATAACTTGATGGGAAAAGAAACAGGAGATCTCATTTTTAAGAGCGTCACTGCATTGTAGTTATATTGGTGGGGGGTGGGGTGCAGGAATACTAGTTTCTTGTAGTTACTTTGCAAAAAGAGATGCTCAAGTCACCTCCCTTGTTGTGTTTCAGGCAGCACAACAAGATTCGCAGCGTGGAGGGGAGCCAGCTGAAGGCCTACCTTTCCTTAGAAGTGTTAGATCTGAGTTTGAACAACATCACGGAAGTGCGGAACACCTGCTTTCCACACGGACCGCCTATAAAGGAGCTGTAAGTGCCTCTGTTCTGCCACCTGTGGCTGGCCCGCTGTGTCCAGCCAGCTAACAGCTTCACCGGCACCCAGTTCTGGATGCAGGAGGGATGCTTCCTTCCCTTCTCAACCACGGCTGGGCCGAGTCAGTGGGGATGGTTCAGACCTTCCCTGAGCAGGGCAGGGGCGAGCCCCATGCATAGAGCACGTCCAGATCCTGCAGCATTATCCTGACATTACAGACAGACAAGGGACAGAGGCAGGAAGGACTCAGCACTCCAAGACGAGAGTCTAGGACTCAAGAACAGATCGATCTTGACCACAAAGCCTGCTTTTTTTCCCATTTCCTTGGCTGCCTCTCAGAAATGCTTCCAGAGGAGATTCAGGGAGGATGGTTAGAGGATTCACATTGGAAGCCTGTCTAACAGGGCTTAGCTTATCAGTGCTTATCTTTCTAGTGTCATGCACTGTAAAACAAGTCATTGGGTTTGTTTGGGGGAGGGCAGTTACTCTATTATGTGGGTTTTCAGCACCTTTTAGATTTGTCTGTTTCTCTTACCCATATTAATGTCCCATCTCACACACAATGGATGGTAGACAGGAAGGAAAAAAAGTTAAAACCTACTTAATCAACTACTTGTTGGTAGGAAAAGTGTTACTCTGGGAAAGAAACTGCAACCCCAGGCTAAAGAGACGTTTTCCAATTCCAGGTGAGTTTTCATTCCGTGTGTCATTACTGTTCCAGAGTTAACTTTGGAACGCATTCGCAAGGCTGGTTTAGGGGTCATTGTGACCCATCTTTTCAGGGAGGGTGAGGTTTGGCACATGGATTTTCCAAGTAAATACTGCAAGAAGAAGAGTGATTTCTTTCTTAGCCTGCATTAGGGCGCCAGAGTTGGGAACAGGAGGCCTTGGCTTTTGTGAAGCCTCCAGTGTGGGCCCTCAAAAGGTGTCCACGTGACACCACTTTGCTTGGGACAGAGAAACCATAACTGCTACACTAAGTTGCTCTGACCTCTCCCTGCACAAAAGTGGGAGGGACTTTCTATTTTGGCAGCTATTGGGTGATATATCTTCATCACACAGGCTGTTCTTTAATCTGAGGTGTTGAGAACAAACAGTCCAGCCCCATTTGCAAAGAATCCTTATGTGCCTTGTCCTAGGCCACTATCTGCTGGAGAGACAAAAAGTGCCTTGCTCCCTTCCACCCTCTGTGGCAGAAAATCCTCTCTGGTCTTTCTCCTTTTCACTTAGGCCAGAAAAAGCAGCATTTGTTTGGGGAAGGCAGAGGAGAGGTGTTGGAAACCACTTCTCACAGGAATGCCATATTGTTCTTCCTTGTACTTTCTTTTCTTTTTTATTACTTGATATAATTTGCATACAGCAAGATGCACAGATCTGAGCTGCAGACTTCTGTGCCTTTTGAGAAGCGGTGTCTGCCTTTTTGTATTGTCACGGGAGATGCCCCGACTTAATCACGCTGTAAGTGTAGGTACCATGACATATTGCTTGTTTTACGAAGGGATTCTGCACAGGTCTCTTCAGCTAGAGTGTTTCTTTGAGGCATTTACAATTACAGAAATGAATTGGTTTATACATATGTGTTATGTAGTTCATATAGCAAGACCCACCTCAAAACTAAAGGCTATTTCTCTAAATTATTAAATTAACACTGACCTTGCCTTTCAGTTGATTTTCTGCTTTCTAGGAGTTTTCACGTCAACCTTGGGCACTGGGTGGTGAGAAGAGTCCTGCAGGTGGCTCCTGACGCAGGGCTGGTGTGTCAGTGGGCATGGGGGTGTTTGACTTTCACTCCCACCCTCTTGGGGTGGCCCAGCAGCTTCAAGGACAGTATGCTTTCGACTAAATCGGCCTTGCCCTCAGGGCTTAGGTGCACAGTCCTAACACCTGCATCTCTCTAGCTCCCCATCCAAAGCCTGTGGCTGATAAACATCTCACTGGAAACCTGTCCCTCTGGTGTCTTAACTCATCTTCCCAACTCAGACCCAGAGAGGTCTGGTGTCTATAATGAAATGAGGAAGGCCTTTGACCAACCACCACATTTTCTTTTCTGAATCATTCCAGCAACCTGGCAGGCAATCGGATTGGCACCCTGGAGTTGGGAGCATTTGATGGTCTGTCACGGTCGCTGCTAACTCTTCGCCTGAGCAAAAACAGGATCACCCAGCTTCCTGTAAGAGCATTCAAGCTACCCAGGCTGACACAACTGTGAGTACAGAAACCTACACTTTAATTAAGGCTAGCCAAACTTTATGGAGGCCAGATTTCCCCAAGGACCTCGTACCAAACGCCACCCTTTCCTTGCTCCATTTGGTAAAGCTCTCCATAAATTACCATTAATGGCAGCACCTCATAAAAGCAAATTCGGAGCTGGGTCTGGTGCTGTGGCTGCTTCAGGTTGCTGAGAAAGACATCCACTGAGGTCGCTTTTCTTCCCTGATGTTTTCCAAAATGGAATCAGGAGTCCTGCTGCTTAGCTGATGCTGGCTAATGCTGAGGCTGCATGGGTTTGGGTTCTTATTTATCTTAGATGTTTTTCTGTATTTTTTTAAGATACCCGTAAAATCTGTACCTTGGACATGGTGGTGTCCGACACTTCTTGAACAGTTTGAGAGGAAGTTAGTGTAGCTGGAGTTAGTAAGCAAAAGACAAGCCTTTGTCTTCATATCTTTAATCTTACAAGGTAGTTGATTTATTATTATTATTATTTATTTATTTATTATTATTTTTTTTTGCGACAGTCTCGCTCTGTCCCCCAGGTGGGGTGCAGTGGTGTGATCTCAGCTCACTGCAAGCTCCGCCCCCGGGGTTCACACCATTCTCCTGCCTCAGCCTCCAGAGCAGCTGGGACTACAGGCACCCACCACCATGCCTGGCTAATTTTTTGTATTTTTAGTAGAGATGGGGTTTCACCTTGTTACCCAGGATGGTCTCGATCTCCTGACCTCGTGATCCGCCTGCCTTGGCCTCCCAAAGTGCTGGGATTACAGGCATGAGCCACCGCACCCGGCCGATTTATTATTTTTGTAAACAATTTAATTGTTTAGTTTACTGATGGAAGGCTGAGTACCCTTCTAGAAGGCAGAGTTTTAGATTCAAGTAAAGCTCTGTTAACCAGAGCCTGACGAAGGACTTTTTTTCCCTGATTTTTTTTTTTCCTGTGCCCTCTTTTTAGCAGAAGAATGTATTTCAGGAAAATAAGACAGTATTGGAAATTTTGTTTCAACAAAACAAAATAATTGTCGAGGGCCAGGTTGGCGGCACGACGGGGTGTGCCTGGCTCTCATCCTACCTGGGTTTCACCTCCCCTGGGTGGGGAGTCCTAGACTTTGCCATTTTCAGTCTGTGGAGAAGGTCTCAGTGATTCCTGAGAAGGTTTGTGTGGGGCAGCATCATGAGACACTGCAGAAATATTTGGGGAAAACCAAGGGCTTTCTGGCTGCTCTGCCTCCCCTTCCCGCAGGGGTGCTAATGGATCTGGCCCACCCAGATTCCTGACATCTTTTGGTGAACTGAGGCTTTGTCATACTGGGGCTAGAAGCCAAGTGTATATGACTTGTGGGGTGTCTCTACCCCATCTCCCCCTGCCCCCATGTGCAGTAACTTCTCTCCATAGTGGAGATGCTGTGAAATGCCCCCAGTGGAAAGTGTTATTGCCATTTGATACATAGTGGTTTGGTTTTTCCTGGGTTGAGGCATGTGGTGTGGATTTCTGTTGCTGAGCTCAGAGATACCTCACATAAGACATTCACCCCTTGAGTCATACCCACGTCCTCACTGCAGAGTCACAAATGGCACTGGTGCTACTGGGGGAGGAGACGTGAGCACACACGCGTTCTCTTCTGTGCAGCTGTGGGCCAGCCTCGGAGCTGGCTGTGGAGAGCTGGCCTCACTCACCCCTCTTGCCTGCACTAGGTGTGGTCAGGTGGCAGCATCAGTGCCTGCATGGCAGCCGAGACACATGGTGGGCTCCCCTACACATCCTGGCTTCCCAGGGATCCCTGCACTGGGATTTCTCCTCTGGCTTGGAAACTTAGCCAGGACTGCTTCAGAATGGTTGTGGGTGGGATATGCACATAAGACACTCTGACCCTGCTGGCTTCATCTCTTTAGGGACCTCAATCGGAACAGGATTCGGCTGATAGAGGGCCTCACCTTCCAGGGGCTCAACAGCTTGGAGGTGCTGAAGCTTCAGCGAAACAACATCAGCAAACTGACAGATGGGGCCTTCTGGGGACTGTCCAAGATGCATGTGCTGTAAGTGCGGACCAGGTTACTGGCATTGCTAAGGATTGCTGTGCGGTGTGGTGTGATGTGGCGTGTGTGTGTGTGCGCATGCATGTGCGCACCAACACCAACGTTGCTGTGTGTTGGGTGTGTGCGCCCACACCAGCATTGCTGTGTGGTGTGGGGTGTGTGTGCGTGCGCGTGTGCACGTGCGCGCCCACACCAGCATTCAGCTGTGCACTGGGCATGGAGTGGGGCACCAGTGCCCAGCCCCTCTCTCCTGAAGGATTCTTCAAGACTTCAGCCGGACCCAGCCCCCTTCCCTTTGCAGCTTCACCTGGGCCCAACTCATTGTCTTGGGGACCGGGCCAAACCTGAGGGTATTTTCCTAGCAGATTGGGACATCCACTGAAATCCACTTGGGGGAAGTTTCAGCGGATTGAGTCAGATAAGTTGGTTGATGGAGATGGAGTTTGGGGGCCATTCTGCCAGGACTGCTTTCCACAGCTTGCATCCACTGCCCCCGCCCCTGCTTCTTCGGTGAACGTGGGGCTGCGGAACAGACCCCTCCTCACATCCTCTCCACTCCTGACCACAGGAAGTTCCTTCTCTCCCCTTCTGGGTTTGACAGTCTTTCCTGAGGTGCAGGTGGGCCAAAAATGTAGAGCTCATCTTAGGAGGTTTATTTCTGTCTTGTGAGCTAATCAAGACACTGGGTGCAGATGTTTAAGTTTTATCAAGGGAGCAGTCTCTTCAGCCAGATGTGTACAGCAGCAGAAGGGGCTTGCCTGCACGGTAACGTGAAACAGCAGGGCAGCATACAGAAAAGGCTTTTTAAACGTTGAAAGCCTTTTTAAACGTTAATATTTATTTTTAATCAAAAGTAATTTGACTGTATAGTTAAATAAAATCAGATAGTAAAGAAAAGCCATCACTGCCCACCCCAGCCTCCCCCGCCACCACCCCCTCATTCTCTCTTCACCCCAGTTCTTCTCCCAAGAGGCAAGCACTTCTAAGCCTTTCTCTTTTTCGTTTTTCTGTTTTTAGCTTTGCTGGTTGTTCCTTCCAAGTTGATAGACTGACACCACTGTCTTTACTTATCCACTTGCGATTTCCTCCTTGAGAGTCAATGATTTAACTTGCTCATGTCCGCCCCTTCTTCTTCCAGTCTGGGCAAATTATATCATGACTCGAATGTCCTTTACTGGTTTTCTTGGCAGTGGAAACGAGCTAGGCCCAGGTCCATCCACATGTTGTGCTGTGTCACTCTGATAACCGTCTCTGCATGACCAGCCCTCCCTACTCTGTGAACAGTGAGGATGTTTCCTGCCGCTGGGCTTCTTGCTCTACCCATTCTCCACCCTTTGTTTTACATATTCAAAAACGTTTCACTTGACCTCCTTAGGCATGTCATTTTGGACTTGGAAGTCCAAGGTGGTCATGTGCTGGGTGGACTGAAGTTAAAAGAGAATTCTCAGAGGAAAATGGAGTTAGCACCTACCATTTGGTTTTTATGTTGAACAGATTTGTATAAATTGAGACTGATGAGCTGCCTTAGAGGTTATTTATACATTAAGTGCTTACCTTTTGAGCAGTAGCAGAAAGAAAGATGGAAAAAAGCAAAACTCAGTTACCCAAAGCCCTTGTAATACTGAACACGGAGCAAAATTCGGGTTACGGACTTTTGTTGAAGAGGCGGTTGCCTGGGCTGGCGCTGTCCTTCCTGGCACATGCTGTGTTGGGAAGCGGGGTGCTAGCACACTTACACGGTGGGCCTGAGAGCTCAGGCCTAGAGCTGCACTGAATCCTGATGTACCCTTGTTTCCTTCTTATAGTGACCCCATGGAGTCAGTGCTCTTGGATATCTCCATGTTAGTAGATGTGCAGGTTTATTCAGCCAGCAAGCTGCAAAATTAGGATTTAAATCCAGGTAGTCTGACGCCAGAGCTAAAGCGGGTCTCCTAGCACAGTGGCACAGAGTCCAGCCTTTGGTAGGCAGACCCAGGGTTGAATTAATTCTAGCCCCTTCCCTACTGGCTAAGCTGTGTAAAGTCTTAGACAGGTTACCTGGCTTCTCTCAGCAGCACATTCCTCATGTGTGAGATGCGGGTGATAATAAGAGCCGCCTCCTATTCGCTCTCCTTTCTATTCCTTTAATGGGCTTTGCCCTTGCCTGGAACTCCTGTGCCCGTTTGTTGGCCTGGGTCACTTTTTGTTTTGTTTTTGGTAGAGATGGGGTTTCGCTATATTGCCCTTGCTGGTCTCGAACTCCCGAGCTCAAGCGATCCTCCTTCTTCGGCCTCCCCAAGTACTGGATGGGCATAAGCCGCCACACCCAGCCCTGGTTCACTTTTACTCAGCCAAAAAAGTCACTTCTAGGAAGCTCCCTCTTGCCCTATGAACACTCGAGTCGGCCTTGGCATGTGCTGTCATCCATTTTGATTTGCCTGTCTTCTCCCAGCCCCTACTCACATGCACATGTGTGCGACTAGACTCCACAGTTCTGTCGTGCACTGTTCTAGCCTTGGTGTGACCGCAGTGTCAGGTACAGCGTGGCTGCTCATTTGCTGTCTGTCCAGTGAAGGGAGTGAAAGCTCCTCTTCATCCTGTGCATGGCTGTCATTGCAGGCACCTGGAGTACAACAGCCTGGTAGAAGTGAACAGCGGCTCGCTCTACGGCCTCACGGCCCTGCATCAGCTCCACCTCAGCAACAATTCCATCGCTCGCATTCACCGCAAGGGCTGGAGCTTCTGCCAGAAGCTGCATGAGTTGTAAGTGTCCTCGGCTCTGGGCTGTGGCAGTGTTTTTAGACACTGCTTGGAGGTGAAAGTGCTAGGCCTGGTTCGTTCCACCACACAGTGGCCTCGGGGAGGGCTCAGAGACAGGCCAGTAGCCCTGTTCCCAAACCAGCCAGGCCCAGGGTGGAACCCTCAGCGATTTGAGCCCCAGTCCCTTCCTCATCTCCCCTTCACTTCCTCTGCATTTGGATTAGCAGGGGCTCCAGGAGTAGCAGCTAGGTCCCTGCAGGGAGCCTTGGCCCCCAAGGTCCTGTTGGGTTTGGAGACAGTTCCAGGGGTAGAAAGTTCCTGGGGAAGGGCAGCTATGGCAGAGTGCTCACAGGAGCCATTTTGAGAGTGACTGTGTGTTAATGGCCACACCAAATAGCATGTGCTTCTTCAGTGAGGGGGTCATTTGGGCTCAAAC
The DNA here is from genome assembly GCF_000001405.40 of Homo sapiens. Taxonomy (NCBI): domain Eukaryota; kingdom Metazoa; phylum Chordata; class Mammalia; order Primates; family Hominidae; genus Homo; species Homo sapiens. The sequence continues at coordinate 66,409,695 of NC_000003.12, read as the reverse complement.
AGAGACAGTGAAACGCTGACTGTGGATGAATTTGTGTCCTCGGAGTCGCCACCTTCCTTCCTGTAGATGAGCTGCCCAGGTTCTTGGCCCCTTCCCTTTCTCTGTTTTGCACCGCAGTGGCCTGCTGGCAGAGGCTCCTGTGCAGTCGTGTGCGTGCTTAGTTCAGAGATGTGTGGTGTGGTCCTCTTGCTCCTTTTGGAGATTTCCAGACAGGGGTCCCAGGTTGAGACTGAGAACTGAGCTTGTCTTGCCCAAAGTTCTGAGATTAGTAGTGACAGACTGTCGCCTGGGTAGCGATGGGCAGTGGCCCTGGCCACCCCATCATGTCAGGGTGGGGTTACTGGACAGTGAACGCAGCATTCCTAAGGACTCAGAGAACATCTTTACAAGTCTATAGTTTGTGTTTTCACTGTTCTTTCCATTTGATATGCTCCAGTTTAGTCTACTGTGTTTCTTTATTTTTCACAAGAGTTGGGTGGGTTTTTTTGTTTTGTTTTGTTTTTTTCTTCCTTTTCTAGGCTTGGCTGTTGGAAAAAATTCACCCACTGAAGTGAATGATTGTTAAGAGTGCCAAGCCTCAGTCTGTCCTGTCTCTCTCTTGACCTCACCAGGCAAACTCAAGGGGATGCGTGAATCTAATGTGGATTCTTGCAGCTGGTGTTTGTGTCTGGTCTTCTGTGTTCTCCTCTCTCTCCCTGTCCTTCCTTCCCTCCTCCTCCCCCCCTCCCCCCACCACACACACACACACACACACACACACACACACACACACACACACACACTGACTTGGAGTTTATATTTTGGTGACTCCATCATTATCTAATGCAAAACACAGTGGTCCTGCCTCTTTCCTAACTTTTCTTGGATTCTGTGAGTGTTAACCCTTTGGTTTCAGCTTCCTACGCTTCAGGGCCTGCAGTTGTGCATTCCATGTGGTGCTGGATGGCTCCTTTCAGGCTCTGTAGTCAAGCTGTGACCCCACCAGGGGACTCCTGGTTTTGTTGGTCAGGGCCGGGAGGTGTGGGAAGCAAGAGAGGTCTTTTAAGTCCCCGAAGCCTGAGCCAGTCCAATTCTTAAAGTGAGGGGCCATCCTCTGACTCACCAGTGTATCGTGGCCCCAGGGATGGCATGCTGTCTTCTGCGGGGTCCGGGATCCCCTCTCTAGCTGGTGGAAGGCATGAAGCCCTCTTCCATGCCCTCTAGAAGGGGCAGCAAAGATCACAGAAGTGCGCTTGAGCAGTCCTAGCAGTTTGCACCATATCCAGGTAACCTCAGAGGCAGATTTGGGATTGCTTCCCAGCATGTGTTTCCCACCCCTCCTTTAAGCTAAATTCTTTAATTGCAGGTGAGGATATAATTTTGATCTCCTGCCAGGTCTGTTTAACTGACAGACACCCTGACTTATTTGTCCAGGAGGGAAAGAATGCTGCTCCTAGCTGCCTTTAAAAGCTCATTAATCTTCTCTGAGTTTATTTTCCATCTTCCTATCCCTGCCCCAGCCCCAATTTTTCAACGATAGATGACCAATATGTCACGTAAGCAACCCAGAGGTGCAGGAGTGCTGGGAGGAAGCTTTGATTCTGAGGTTCGGGCAAAGCATGTGCTTTTACCGCCTGCAGTAGGGGATCATGCTCTGAGGTCCACGTGGATGGGGGCAGGGAGGCCTGAGCAGGAGCCTCCTGCCCTGGGGGAGTTGCCCCACTAAGGCATGAGGCACAGGTGTGGTTGTCCCACGCAGGGGCTAGTGGTGCCCTCTGCTGGCAGATGCAGGGAGTGTGACTGGGGCTCCCTGGCTTGCTGCGGGGTCATCTCCAGAATCCCAGGCTTCTGCTATGAGAGAGGTCTTTTGTAGCCTGAATCAGGAGCTGCCTTGGACAGCATGAAGGCGCTGGAGCTTGAGAGTTGTTGTGTGTCATGACCTCGTGTGTAGTCTTCACAGTTTAACAGCCACCCTGGCCCCTGTGACCTATGCACCCATTCTACGAGTCAGACTAGTGTGTTGGGCACTGATGAGTTTCTAGCTGCATGGCCACTTTTACCCCCAGGATTCTGTGGGTGTGGGTGTGTGTGTGCACGCACGCGCGTGCGTGTGCATCTGTGTCATTTCCCACTGAAACCCAGCTGACTGTGGCCCAATTTCCGGTGGGGTGGGGTTGGGGGGCAACCACACTAGATGGTGACATTGCTGCCCTCCCTTTCCTCAGGGTCCTGTCCTTCAACAACCTGACACGGCTGGACGAGGAGAGCCTGGCCGAGCTGAGCAGCCTGAGTGTCCTGCGTCTCAGCCACAATTCCATCAGCCACATTGCGGAGGGTGCCTTCAAGGGACTCAGGAGCCTGCGAGTCTTGTACGTCTCCCACTACTGACAGGATAAAGGGGTCCCCAGTGGGGAGAGCAGAATAGAGCAAACCATCTGCTTTGTTGAACTCCATTTGCGTTGGCTTCGAGTCAGAATTGGATCCAAAGCTGGCTTGCTCTATGTGCAGAGTCTCAAACTTTTATGTAATCAACTGAAAAAGAACTGGTTAAGCAGAAAAATCTCTCATTTCCCCAGGATGGTGCCTAGAGAGGGATGGCAGCTCCTAAAAAGTAGTTGTTCTCAAGCAGTGATGCCCACGTTGTGCTGGACAGGATGCTGGCTCCTAGTGTTGGAAAAAGCTTCCCCACGCTGAGCGCCTGGTGCAGCCTCCAGTTCGGCAGCCGTGGGTCAGTCTTTCCCATCTTGAGTCTTCAGCTGCAACTTCCAAGTCCTGAATATTTTTTCTCTAAACCATGGGAATACTGCAGTGCATCTCTCGTCTGAGCATTTGAACTTCTTCAGCATAACCTGTACCAAGATGCCTCCTTTCCAAAAGCAGCACTTAGGGAATCCTGTGTCTCTCCTTGTACCTCGTCGGGGGTCAGTTAACAAAGTGGAGGTGCTAATGCCATTTCCCTTGAAGTCCCTAATTAGATGGGGTTGGCAAAAGTGGCTGCAGGATGCTTTTCTGAGGCTTGTATAAAACTTTTCCATGGTTGGCTTCATAGAACTTCCAAGCAGCTGTCAGCATAAAACCCCCAGAGAGGGGCATGCAGGTTTCAGAGGACAGTGGTGGCGGGTTCTAGGGTCTCCTTCTCAGGCGTAATCCACTGCACAGAGAGGGATCTGTTCCAGTGTGACAGGGAGGGAGGCCTTTGCACTTGCACCTGGCAGAGCCGGCTTTAATGTGGAGCCATTGCCAGGGAGTGTGAAAGAGGCCGGAGCCAAGCTATTCAGGCCAGGTCAGCCTGTGAGCCCATACAAGGCCCAAATAACAAGGCTGGGAACATTCAGACTGAGCGGGCCAGAAAGGAGAGAAAAACTTTGGCAGCCAGGGCTAGGAGCAGAGAGACAGGCACACAAAGCCACAGCCCCGGGTCCCTGGTTCCTGGTTTTTTCAGTATGCAGATGATAGGAAGGAACCCATTGAGAGGAGAAGTCCCTTCCAGCAGCAGAATCTCCACTATTTGACCTTCCTGCTGTGACAAGAAAGGTCACCGCCAGCATTTCACTCTTCAGTCAGAGCTGCCCTCTCTGCTGGCAGCATTGATTCCTGCTGCAGCTTCTCACAGGAGACAAGAGTTCCTTTTCTCTCCCTGGCCTGTGTCTGCAAGGGCTCGGGGGGAAAATTTAAGAACCAAGAACCTTGTGGAAAGTTGGAGAGGGCAGGATGGGGGCCTGGTCTCCAGGTGTGATGTCTCGCCTGGGCACTGTGACCTGCTCCTGGAAGCTGGGAAGCCATTGAGTCATCGGCCATGGGATTTGCATTGTTGGAGGGGCCTGGGCTGAGTTGGCCTCATCCCTCTGATCCTGGCGAGTGGGTCACAAGTCTGACTCAGCACCCAGATGTCCTCCCTGGCTCAGAGTCAGCGCCCTGCAGGCCTTGGGAGGAGATGGGCTCCGGGCTCCAGACCCACTGGCTGGTACGGAGGCGCCCACGGGCCGGCCCTGTGCCGGGTCTCTTTCTTCCATGTGCTTTCTGCAGTTTCTCGGTCATGTCCAGAAAAGGGACTCTGGTTGGTATGAGAGCAGACGGGAGCCTTAAGGAACCTTTTGGGTTGATTCTCAGTGCTGGGGCCAGATGTCCGCTCTCTCGGGGCAGAATACAGACTGGGCTGTCTGCACCACCTCCCTTCCCTTGAGTGTGGCCTCCGCAGACAGGGAGGCAGGTGGAGCCCAGGGAAGTTTCTTGTCTAAGGCATGTGTCATCTTGGTTGGAAGGCTGAGAAACAGGGCTTCCCTCCCAGGGCCACGTGTCTCTTCACCCTACGTCCCGGCTGTGCCTCCAGGGTGCATGCACCCAGGGGACTTCAGCTTCCGAGCAGCAGGCTGGGTGAGAGTTTGCTTTCCCTTCACGCCCCGACTGCTCGGTGAGCTGCTTTCTGTCCTCTCCCCAGGGATCTGGACCATAACGAGATTTCGGGCACAATAGAGGACACGAGCGGCGCCTTCTCAGGGCTCGACAGCCTCAGCAAGCTGTGAGTATCCGCCGCACGGAGCTCCGCCGGCAAATGCGCGGGACACACTTGGGTGGGAGATGTTTCTGTGGCGCCCCCCGCGCCTCTCTGCTCTGGGCCCAGGCGGAAGAGGAGCTGGCTTTTGTTTGGGGCAGAGCTTGTTTTGTTTGTGGAGAAGAGTTTGAAGAAGAGGGTGGGGGACACCCCACTCCTTGATGGCCTGGGTGTTGGGTTCTTGGGGGCTGGCAACCCGGCGTTTGGCGGCTGGTGGAGCTTCTCTTGGGCTTCACTCACAACTCACATGAAAACTGCTGAATTTGCTGTTGCCCTTTGTACAAAGGAGTCTTGCCCTGTTACTGGGTTTCTCAAAGTTGTGTAAAGGTCAGTAAGGTGTGAGGGCGGTGGGGCTCCTGTCAGTACTTTCGTCATTAACCATCATCTCAAATAACCACGTCATTTCCAAGGGTCGTAGTAGCAGCTATTTTGAATGTATGGTTTGGGGTCTTTTTCTTTTTTTTCCTAGCTAGCTCCTAGATTTTGCCAGTTAATCTGCCAAGCACCTGTGTGTGTTGTACCTAATGATCTCATGAGGGCAGGCTCTGTTAGGCAACCTCTTTATTAGTTGAGGAAAGAGAAGTGAGGGGATTTCGCCCAAAACTACACGGCTGGCAAGTGGCAGGCTCAGGATTTGCTTGTTTGGCTCCAAAGCCCACGTTCCCTTCCCCTTGGCCCGCCCTGTTTTCTCTGCGTGTAACCAGCACTTTCTGCAGATGCCACCCAAGGACCGTGCAGGAAGGGGACGAGAGTCATTATTACTGTTTACTAGCAGCTCGGAGGGAAGACTGGAGGAGGGCAAGACAGAGAGGACGGCTGCCGCTCGATTCCCCCAGCCCGTCCCCAGTGACGGGGAGCTCAGCAGAGTGCGAGTGTCAAGTAAATATTTGGAAAGCCCTAGTGGAGCTCGATGATAGAGGAGAGCCTGTGGTAGGGAGAGTCTTTTTATATAGTAGATGCTTCTGATTTGTTTTGAAAAGCGTGGCTTTTTGCACCTTTTATATACAAGGGTCCTGCTTAGGAATAAGCTCTGTTGGCTGTCTGAAGAAGGTACTTCTTGAGCGTCCTGTACTCCAGCAGCATGTCGGAGATGCTTATCAGTGATTCTTCTCCTTATTGTCCCTAAAACAATGCTGATTTTCCCCAGCCTTTAACCCATACGTGACCCCTTTTTATCCCATACGGGGCAAACCTGGGAAGAGCCAGAAGTACCAAGTGGGGTGGGGCAGAGGCCTTCTTAGCAAGAAGAGCTCCAGGCCTGGGATGTGGCTGCTGAGGTGTTCAGCACTGGCGCCACCACTCAGCATAAGCCTCCCTGACCTCGGCCATAACCGATTGAAGGGTGAGGGTGGTGAGAGTGGGCAGCACTGCCAGGTTCCTCGTGGGGCGTGTCAGTCCGGAGGAACCTGGAGCCGTTTCCTGGGTGTCATGGCTTCCAGGAGGCTCTGTCTCAATACAGAAGGCCCGTGAGGTGTGCCTGGCCCTGGGTCGCCTGGGCTTCCAGTGCTGCATGAGTCCGCCACTGCCTTCCTGAGTGCCCGCCCTCTGTGCCCTGGTGCTTTCTCCTTTGTCCCCCTGCTGGACTAGGCTCAGCTCTTCCACCTGAGCCCCAAGAGGTCAGCCCAAGCCCCTGCTTTCCTCACTCACATAATGTTGTTTGTAGTGAGCTGGTCCTGAGACTCCTGGGAACTTGTTAAAATCGAAGCCTCACCCCACCCAGCCACTGAGTCAGCATCTTGGGGCTGGAGACTCTGTGTATGTTTGAAAAAGGGTGAGAGAGAAAGACATGCATCCAAGTGGGGAAGCTGGGACAATAAATAAACAAGAATTCCTTAATATGATTAAATATATGCAATCACTTATTTAAGTGTGATGCTATCATGGTTATGTGGCAAAAGAAAAAAATGAATCATTTTCTTCTTGGATAAAGAAAATGGTATGATGCCTATGATTTGGATTCCATAAACTCCTGCTGGGTTTGAGAACGGGCAGTGGCTAGAGGTAGAGATGAGGTGAGATTGGCACGACCGGAGGAGGATTGGCACTGTGTCACGGGCACTTGGGGTTCAGGATACTACTCCGTCTACCTAGCATGGTATGTGCAAATTTCCACATTGAAAGGGAACCGGAGAAGTAAATGCTTCTCATATGATCATGGTACACAGGGCTATGTAAAAACTGCTGTGTTTGGCCTATCACAGGTGTTGAGTCGATGTTTGTTGAATGAAGGGAGGGACAGAGGAAGAACCCAGTGCCTCTTTGGTCCCCTCCCCACCCGCCTACTCAGAACATTCCAGGAAAGTTCTGCGCTGTGGCCCTGGCTGAGAGAAGTGACCACAGACAGCACTGTGTTGCTCTGTGGGAGTGGCCCAGTGCCGGCCTGTTAGGATCCACTGAGAAGTGGGGTGCGTGTTAGCACAGAGAAGAGCCGCCCCTCTAGAGCAGCTGATCCGTCCTGTGGGGAGTGCAGCCAGTGCCTGAGTCCCTTCATTTGGTGTGGGTTTGTTTTTGGAGAGCTCAAGGAGCTTGTGTTCAGGGTCTGCCCTAGGATGGGAAGGTAGAGACCCCTGCCTTCGCTGAGTTACTCAAGGACCTTGGGTCCTTCCCACCATGCAAGAGGTCAGACCTAAATTAAAATGTTTTCCAAGAAAGGGAGATGTGAGTAGCAGAGCCATAAACGGCCTCTCTGTGAATTTGGGGTGGATGCTGACCTGCCCTTAATTTTTCCAGCTTACGCACACAGCTGTGTTGGAGAGTTCCTCACACTGGAGCTTCCCAGCAGGGTGGGAATGTTCCTAGACCCCAGCGCATGCCTTTCTTCCTAACTGGTCTGGGATTCTGCTGTAGACCCACTCCAGGGCCTGTTTCCAAATGGTTGTGCGGTTCCCGGGCTGGGGCCTGCACGATGGCACAGAGTCAGTACGCGGGAGGGAAGGGAGAATTTCTGGATCCCAAATTACAGGCAGAGAGGAGCAGTTAGTGACCTGGGTATGCGACTTCCTGCCCAGTGGTTCCAGCTGGCTCCATGGCATTCCTCGGAGGGAGGGGCAGAGTCCCACACAGGGCACATGGGAAGGGGCATGTTTGGGGGATCTTGCAGAGCTGATGTGAGCGCAGCCTCCATCCCTGCCTATGTGGGGGCCGGGCCTGCAGTGGAACTCATTGTGTGTGTGGGTGGGAAGCGGGGGCTAGTGCACATGTCGCGGCTACTTCCAAGGACATGAGTACAAGGACCCATGTGAGCATTGCCCCCAGTACCTGCCACTTGATTTGGCAAGCGCTAACCAGGCCTTTGGAGCTGTTGGCTGGGTTGGCCAGGAGATGGATGGGAGGTTTGACAGGTGACTCCCGCAGGTCGCTTTCTGTTCCAGGTTGGTGCTGGGGAGGTCAGGCCAGGTGTTCCTTCTGAAAGGGAGCCCGGCTGTGGTACAGAAATAGTGTCCTCCCAGCCCATAATCCCGCCTCTCCTTTCTCCTGGCAGCAGCCTTTTATTAGAGCCATCCCAGTCTGCTGGCTGCAGCTCCCCGTCCCAGCCCCATATGTCTGCTGGGGGAAGGTAAGGACCCTGCCTAATCTACCAACAAGATGATTAGCCCCTGCATAATTGAGAATTTGAGAATTTATTTTATTGCTATTGTCACCGTTAAAAATAACAGCCTGCCCTCATTGTAAAACAGGTCAATGTGACTAATATTTAATGGATGAAATAAAGCGCAGCTTTTTCCTGGATCTCATTTACAGGAGATTTCACTAAACAGTTCAATGCGTTTTTACTGGGACCTGGGGCACACAGTGCCTGGGCGGGGGGATCTGAGTAAGAGTAGAAGTTGGCAGTGCTCTCTGAAGCGCTCGGGGTGCAGTGCCCCATGAGCTGTTACTTGCTGGCGAGTTTTGTGGTTAAAGCGCCTAAGTTAGCATGGCCATCAGCTTTTCTGTGTGTTTGGTTTATTTGTTTTAAAATAAAAGTTTCAGACTGAAGAGAGGTGTGGAAACGCTTTCAGAATGCGATTGTTTTCACATTCATGCAGACGGCCTGAAAGAAAGAAAACGCAGAGGGTCTCTGGCCCGTTTGCCCCTTCACCGTCCGGAGGCAGGAAACAGAGCTGGCTTTGTCTGAGGGCTGAGCTTGCAGTTAGTGCTGGGGTCATCCTGAATGGTGGCCCCCAGGGAGGGAGTCTGTTTCTGATGAAACGGAGGGTCAGGCAGCCCCTGTGGAGTGGCTGCCCTGGAAGCTGGCCACACGGACTGGTGGTGCCTCCCTCTGGCTCTGCTGTGAGCCTGTGTTTCCAGGAGGCAGCCTCCTGGTACCTGCCCAAGCGGTTCCCAGGAGGCCTGTTGCAGTCAGGAAGAAGCAGCGGCCCGTGTGGTGGGCAGGTCCCAGGCTGCCCTGCCATCTTTGGTTTGCTTCAGGGCTTATATTTCCTTTCTTTTCCTCCTTTCAGGAAGGGGCTGGGGCTTCTTGTTTTCCCTTATGGGTCCCAGTCTTAATGCAGGCTGAAGGTGGAGATGGCTTCTAGTCCGGTCTCTTCCCCGATGCTAGGTGAGATCCTGGACCAAGAGTCCCCTTCCCAGTAGGGGGCTGGGCCAGATGGGCTTTCTCCAGGGGCTTCCTCTCCTGCCCACCTGCACCCCATTGCCTTGGACAGACCTGTTGACGCTGAGAATCACCAGGAGTTGGCTCCCAGCAATCGGTATTCTTAGCCAGCCTGTTAGATCCTGGTGTACCTTAAGATTGACAAGTCCACGAAGCTGATGGTCAGCACTGCCTTTGGTTGTTCCCTGGTAGTCTCCTGTGCCATCAGGATTAGAGGGAATGCCTTTGGTGGGTTCTCATCAGAGAACATGATAACGGGGAGGGGAAAACTCGATTCTCTTCATTCCCAGTGTCCACCCTAGGGGCTTCCCTGCAGAGAGACAAGCTTCCCTTTAGATCACACAGTGTGGTGGAGGAGGCACTCATTTCTTCCATGTGTTCTGCAGGGGCGCAGACTTTGGTTTCTGGGAGAACTCTTAACAGTTACTGCTAAGGCTGGGATCAGAGTTGCCTGGAGGCAGGAACCCCTTTTTATGAGCAGGCAGTCCAGGAAGGGGACAGGCACTAGCGATAACGTTGGAGGTTGGCCCACTGACATCATGTAACGTCTGGGGTCTGGCTTAAGAGCCAAAGCACTGGGGCATCTCCTGCAGGCCCTGAGGGGTCCCTCTCGTAGGCAGGGACACAGCTCACCATGGCTGTGTGCTGGCTGCCAGGACATCTCAGGTGCAGACAGCTGTGGAGCCAGCTTGATGGATGCCTATTTTACTGTCCTCTTCTTGCCTCTTTTGGGAAGCTTTATTCCCAGAATGCACTTTTCAGAAGTGGGTGGCAGTTTGGGGGTTTTTGTTTGTTTTTTGTTTGAGACAACATCCCGCTATGTTGCCCAGGCTGGAGTGCAGTGGCGCAATCATGGCTCACTGCAGCCTCCACCTCCTGGGCTCAAGCAATCCTCCCACCTCAGCCTTCTAAGTAGCTACGACTACTGGTGCGTGTCTCCATGCCCGGATAATTTTTTAGTTTTTGTAGAGACAAGGTTGCCCTATGTTGTCCAGGTCTCAAACTCTTGGGCTCAAGTGATCCTCCTGCCTCAGCCTCCCAAAGTGCTGGGATTACAGGTGTGAGCCACCATGCCCAGTCATGGTCAGCAGTTTTAATTCCGAAGATTTTTCTTTCCTTTTTTGACTCAGCTTCCTCTCACTGAAACCATAATCAGTCTCATCTCTCCATCACTAAACTTCACCACCCAAGGGTTGGTGGTCCTTGGAGAGAGACTGGGCCAGACAAGGTGATTTCTGCCTAACACTGGGAGGGGCCTTTTTTAGGCCAGACGGCACATGCAATTCCAGCCTATCATCACTATTAAATTCTAATAAAGATAAAAGTATTTCATTTCAGAAAGGGGAAGGCCTGCGTGCCTCAAACCCGTAATCTCAGCGCAGGTCAGCTTTCCACCTGCCCCTCACTGGACAGACTTATCAGGTAGCACTACCTTAATTGTGTGTTTTCTTTTTCTTTTTCTTTCTCTCAACCCTTCCTGTTTCGCTTTCCTTCCCTGGCCTTAATTTCTGGATGTTTGGAAACTACAGGACTCTGTTTGGAAACAAGATCAAGTCTGTGGCTAAGAGAGCATTCTCGGGGCTGGAAGGCCTGGAGCACCTGTGAGTATCTCACCAGCCCTGCCCTGAGGCACAGCCTGCTGAATGCGGCTGCCGGGGAGTTCTGCTAGCAATTTAATCGCATCTTTGTAAACTGAGAAACAGGCTATTTGGAAACACCAGCTGCTTCCTTCTCATTATGTCAGCTTCAGCTTTGGCCTTTATGTTGCCTATGCCAGGAACAGTTACAGAACATATGGCCAGTGGATGTGCTCCCAGTTAATTCAGTTGGTATTTGGATAAATACCCTCCCCCCTCCTGCTGCGCAGCCTAACCCCTGCACTGGCTCCTTCATGGACCCCTGGCCTCATTGCCTCTTCCACCAACGCGCTTCCTCCTGGCCAAGCCTGTTGCCTCCATTAAAGCAGCTTAACAATGCAGAGTAGGTGCTGGGCTGAACCAGTTTGGTGTGGTTGCTTCTGAGACCCTGGGAGGAAGGGAACAGAGCCACCCGAGACAGTCATGCTGTTGCCATCTGGGGAGGATGCCTCATGTATGTGATTCTTAGTTTGTTTCCTCTTTGAATCAAGTTTGACTCTAACTCTGTTGGGAAAGGTTTTGCCTTGCTGAGCAGGCCTCAGCCCAGCTTTGATGGTGCCCTAAGGCTGGCTTGGCTCCTGAGTCATTCCATGGGCTTGTGTTGCGATTTGGGAAACAACAGCCACTTATAGTAGTTAGGACACAGGTCTGGCTAGTCCCTGTGGGTCATCTGTGAAACCAGGACTGTCCTGAAAACCCCTCAGGTGTACCTAGGGTTTCTTTGCATAAGTAATGTATGTTCTGTTTCAGGAACCTTGGAGGGAATGCGATCAGATCTGTCCAGTTTGATGCCTTTGTGAAGATGAAGAATCTTAAAGAGCTGTAAGTATCTGGATTCCCTGGGTCTGATTAATGGTAGTGGAGACTTTCAGAGTAAGAAACTTCTGCAATTGCATTATGCTCACTTGTTAAAAGTTCACATGGTACATATTTTGGATTTTGTGGGCCACAGAGTCTCTGTCATGACTACTTGATTGCATCATTGCAGCAGAAAGCAGCCATAGACATTACATAAGCAGGTGGGTGTGGCTATGTGCCCATAAAGTCACATTGACAGAAGCAGGCAGTCGGGCCGCAGGCTGAAGCTTGCTAACCACTATTCTAGGCAATGTGAAATATACTCTCCTCTATAAAGTGGATAATCACCCCTTCAATTATGTCAGGGCCAAGTTTTCATCTTTTGGGCTTGCTTACGATAAAGGCCTGTGTTGAGAGGGTCTACTTCAGAGCCTGGTGGGCTGTGAGCAAGGCAGAGCTCTGGAGGGGATGGGATGCTTAGGGGTGCAGTGGTGTCTGCCCATACCATTTCCAAGCTTTCTGGGCACGGTTCACAGGTGGTGGTGCTGCCACTGTGGACTTGGACTGTGGGCTCTTGGGTGACAAGGTTGGAAAAGCTTCCCTGTATCCTACTCTGGCAGGGGAGCTAGTCTGGGTCCTCAGGTGTAACACCCAAGTTTTCCTTTCTGGTTTTTTTTTTTTTTTTTTAGCTAGACATGAATCTGATTCTACAGCCAGTAAGTTCTAGCCATGATATCAGTTCCCTGAAGGGGTAACTTTTGGTTCCTAGAAGTGCTGACAGAATGGCAGATGCCACAGGACAGTCATCTTTGTGCCCTGACCTCATCCCCATTCCCCGAGGCCACTCTTGATGAACCCTCAGTTGGGGCAGGGAGGCTGGGACTGGGGAAATGAGGTGCATTCCCCATAGCTGGGAACTGAAGCGGGCCGGGTGACACCAGACTGAGTGAGGAGGGAAGGTGGCCTGGGCACTTGCCCTGTGATGTTCAGCATGCTGTGAGCCTCAGGCCTGCTGAATAGATACCGTCCTTGCAAGGGTTGGATCTTGGAGCGGGTGTCTGTGACGGGTTCATGGAGCTCAGGGCTCTGCAGACAGCTGCTCCGTGCCCAGGGCCTTCCCTCTTCCAGCCTCAGCAGCTCTGCCTCCATCTGTCGGGTGAGACGGAACATACAGAAAGGATTCCATGGCTCTCCTTCCAGAGCAGGGGAGGAGATGATTCCAGACCACCGTGGAAGGGAAGGCTGGACTCAGAGGTGGACTCGCAGTAAAGCAAGTGGAATGAAACATTGGTTGTAGAAGACAAGCGGTGGGGCACAGGAGCATTCACTGTGGAATTCTTTCACCTTTTCTGTCTTTGAAACTTTCAGATATGATGTCAGGACTGAAAAATACCTGATTCAATTTAAACGGGAAGAAGGTATTTTGAGAGAAGGAGGGAGGAGGATAAGATTTTCCTTGGGAAGTTGGGAGGAACTGGACCCTTCCAGAAGCTTGGACCTCCAGCGTGCTTCTGCATGGTTCTGGAGGCTCAGCCTCGGTCTCCTGCCTGGGTTTCCCATCGTTGCTGCATATACCTCGCTGGAGCCGGCCCTGTGCCCAGTCCTCAGATGAGAGAAATGGTTAATTCCACTTGGTCGTCTTTTTCTCCATCAGATCAAGTCAGGTTGTACTGTGCACTTAGTCATCCTCTGGGTAAATTTCCACAAGTGATGATTAGAAACACACTTTGAGTTGGAATCGTGAAAATGCACCATGTGAGCCAGCAAAGCCCTGGGATGGCAGCAGAAGGCAGTAGAGCCGATGGCGCTGTGCTCTCCACGGGTGGAAGAAGGGCGGCAGGAGCCTGCAGAGCCTAGGGGTTGGAATCCTCGCTACTGCCTGGCCCCAGGCCCTCCCCATGTATCCTCTCAGTCCTAACTTGCTGTTTAGGAACATGCTGTCTCCACCCTGAGTACCCACTGTCTTCCTGGAGTCTGGCCTCCTGTCTGAGGTGGGTTTCATGGTGGAAGAAGTAGGAAATCCTCAAAGGCGTTAGCCCCACACGTCCAGGGCGTGTGTAGGATGAGGCTTAGCCCTTTCTACATGTGTCTGATCAAAGATAAATGTCAAATTTGTTTTCCCGTTTGTTCCTGTGGTTCAAATGGAATATGTCCTTGTGTCCTGCACAAATGCTTAACGTCGCACAGGGATGGCCCAGCCTTCTCTCCTAGGCTTTCGTGAACAGTGCCCAGGCTGTTCTGCCTGACTGCACGGAAGTGCCCTCTTGCTGGGGAGCTGGAGGTGCTTCTGACAGCGGAGAGTTCTCCATCCAGGCTGAGTTCCCCCCATGCCTGGCGCAGCCAGCCCTGACCCCCATGCAGGGTGCACTCCTGGGAGCTGCCCTCCCCAAACACTGCATGGGAATTGACCATTTCCTCAGGGATGGCCGTTACAGCCCTTCCGCCACCTGCAGTGACTCCACAGTAGGACAGCCCTCCAGATGGCTCTCAGCAGAACGCTACCTGCCCGTGAAATAAAAATGCAAACTCTCATGCTGATTTTAAGATCTAATATGGGCCAGCATCCCAGTTATAATGGCCTTGAGATAAGTTATTTCTGTTTTTGGAAAAGCACTTTCCAAAATTATAATTATTTTAATAAGATGCCCAACTCATCTAGGGGTGATGGGGAACATGAGGAAGAGTGGATTTTACTTAATTTAGCCTTGGGTCATCTGCTTACACTTCATTCTTCCTTGCTGTGACAGTTTCTCTGCTCATTAGAAATCTGGAGAGAAACAGAAGAAAATGGAAGGCCAGTCCATTTGGTTGCTTTGTTGATGTCTGAGGACAGTGGTGGGTGGAGAAGGCAGCCAAAGTCGTGCTCTTGGCCTGCATGATGTTTTTGGAATTTCTGCGCATACCTGTGCCTCCTGTTTGTCACCATGTACCAGAGACAGTGTATTGCAGGGAAGCCTGTGTGCTCTCTTTCCCAGTCTTCCCTTATCGTGGGCCAGCCATCATTCTTTAGCTCACAGCTCTGAGGTCTTCCAGGAACAAGGCAGCTAGACTCTTGGTTGACTTATCTTCAAGTGACTCCTCAGGAAGGAATGTCCGCTGAGATGGCGATTCCGATTTCTGTTTAAAAAGCTTATCCTTAGTTGCTGAGAAATGAAAAAGAAAATATTCTCTGTTTTGGTTGGAGCCCCACAAAGCTAAAGTTGTGCATTCTCATGCTCCCTGGGCAGTGGCAATTAACTAACAAGCACTATTTAGGGAGCAGAGCCGAATTCTGCCGGCCCCCTGAAGAATACTGGTGCAAAGATCAAGGCACAAACAAGAGGGTGGCACAGTGACGGGGCTTATTACATTTGGAAGTAAGAAAACATGCAGCTTTGCCAAATGGAAAAGGAACAGCCATGAGGCAAAAGAGCCCTCCTCGGAACTTGTTGCAGAATTTGGATCAAAGTCTCAGGCCGAGTTTGGAAGCTCCAAGTAGTTTATCAGGAAAGTGGGAAAAACCAGAGGGGGGATGGTGGCAGCATAGCACTGTTGGATGTATCAGAGGTCAGGAGAGGTCAGAAGGCAGCCCAGGGTCACACAGGAACAGTGTCTGTCCCAGAACATGGCATGGATAAGCTCCACGTTGCTGCTGCTCCAGTTGCGGTCCTTGGGTCAGCAGCCCCAGCATGATACGTGAACTTGTTAGCAGAGTCGTGGGTTCCACTCCTGACCCACCCAATCAGCAACTGCATTTTTTCAAAATCTCCAGGTGGGTTATATGCACTGCCCTGGGAAATTGGAGAGGAAGTGTGAGAAAAACCATTTCCCCCTTCCAGCTTGCTGATGTTCACTTGAGAAGCTGATTGGAGGCGACTGATCATTGTGTGTGTGAAGGGAGTGTCCCTCCTTTGCGGCTGCACCTGAAGCATCCACTGTTGTGTTTCTTTCAGCCATATCAGCAGCGACAGCTTCCTGTGTGACTGCCAGCTGAAGTGGCTGCCCCCGTGGCTAATTGGCAGGATGCTGCAGGCCTTTGTGACAGCCACCTGTGCCCACCCAGAATCACTGAAGGGTCAGAGCATTTTCTCTGTGCCACCAGAGAGTTTCGTGTGCGGTAAGACTGTCTTTGTAACTTTTTCTCTCCTTCATGAAGGACAAGGAAGCCAGGAGGTACTCTTCATTATGGGAGTAATTCCTGTGATCAGAGTAAACCCCAGCCCGTGGTTACAGATCAGCTGCTGGATGCAATTTATTTCTTGCTGAAACCACACACAGTATTTACCGTAGAGTTGCCTCATTATGTGGTTCTTGGAGGACATGCATTTAATCAGAAGGGAGTATAAGTTGGTTCAGTTACAAATCAGAATAATCAGTTACAGGAAGATAGTTCTGTTGTTTCAGAAGGGCTCTGGTGCCCGGGTTTAGCTGCGAATGTACTCCGCGTACGAGGCTGGCGTTTTAATGTGTGTTTCTTTCCGACCCCAAGAATGAAAGGTTAAATACAGGAAGAACAAGTCTCAGGAGAACAGTTGCTGTAGTAAAAATAATTCCTTGATGTTGACTTGTACTCTTGCTGTTTCTCCAAACCACTGAAATCTGCACTTGCAGCTTTACATTCTTTTTGCCTTCTGATTCCTGGAGCGTAGCTCTTGCCATCTTTTTGACTGGGAGTCGGGATCCAAGTTTGGTTGCAGAGAGCACAGAAAATGCTGAACAGCTGAAAACACACACGCAGGCTAGCTCAGACAGGACTGACACAGGCTCACGGTCAGGAAGACATGGTCAAAAAATGAGATGAATTTTGAGTTTTTCCTGTTTGCTTGCTCTAAGCAGGAGCAAGAGTGGGATTCCCAGGCCTGACTGGAACTGCTGGGCAGGTGTTAAGTCCCTCCTGCCTTTTGTGCTCACTGGTCTCCCTTGAGCCTTGAGATCCCTGCTGTGAGGATCCTAACCAGGAACTCACCCATCCATATGGCAACCCTTGTGGGCCACTTCTGTCTCCTACTTTCTGGCCATAGCAATAGCCATTGTGCCTGCTGGAGTAGCCAGTGTGCCTGCTGGAGGCAAGATGTGTGTGCCCTCTCCATGCATCCACCCCTACCTTCACCATCACCACTTTTGAGAACAGGCCTGCTGAACTTCCTCTGGATCCAGACCAGGGACACGTCTTAAACCCACTGCGAACATGGCAGCAGCTCTCCAAACTGACTTTTCATACCGATCTGTCTTATGGAGCCTTCTGTGTGGAATCTAATGCTCGCACAGCTCCATTATCCAGGCACAAAATGGCTGTATAATCCATTGTTCATTGGCCCATTGTCATCAAGTCCTTGACCCTTAAATTGTTTATAGACCTCCCTCAAATAAAGCTTTCCATCGCTCCCTCCCCTTTCCTGCCATAGGGCAGGCTTTCCCTCTGGGTGAGCCAGGTAGGACTTTGGTAAGTTCACCTAGCCCCCAGCCTGTGGCCCTGGCATATTCTGGATTGCAAGAGTTGTTTATTTCACATCTGTCATCCCCACCCCCACATTTTAGCTCAAGCTTCCCCCCCTCTAAAAACGTCAGGTGTTAATGGGAATCATGAAAACACTTGGCAGAAGATCAAGGTTTCAGGCTTTATGGGAGTCTCCCACTCCTTTTTTAAAAACGGAAACATAAGCACTCCACATCCACTAGGACAGCTAGAATCCAAAACTCAGATAATAACAAGTGTTGCTGAGGATAGGGAGAACCCTCCTACACTGCTGGTGGGAGTGTAAACTGGGGCAGCCACTTTGGAAAACAGTCTCGGCAGTTCCTCAGTTCAACATCCAGTTACGACATGACCTGGCAGTTCCACTCTTGGGTGTATACCTAAGAGAAATGAATGTATATGTTCACACAGAAACTTCTTCATGAATGTTCATAGCAGCATTATTCATAATGGCCAAAATATGGGCACAACCCAGGTATCAGTGGATGACTGGATAAACAAAAGGTGGTATAGCCATACAATGGAATATTCATTAGGCTGTGAAAGCAATCAGTAGTCCTGCAACATGAATGAACTTTGACAATGTCATGCTAAGTGGAAGAAGTCAGCCACAAAAGACCATTAGATTATATGATTCCATTCATAGAAATGTCCAGAATGGGGAAATCTGTGGAGGTAGAGATTAGGTTAGTAGTAGTTTAAGGATGGGGAGGGATGGAAAGAGAGGGGTAATAGCTAAAATGTACAGCATTTCTTTTTGAAGTGATGAAAATGTTGTAAAATTGACTGTAGTGATGGTTGCCCATATTGGTGAGTATACTAAAAACCATTGAATTGTATACTTTAGATGAGTGAGTTGTAGTGTAGATGAAGTATTCTCAATAAAGCTGCTTTTAAAAAGAAATATAATTTATATATCATAAAAATTTACCCCTTTAAAATATATAAATTGATGGTTGTTATAATAGTCACAACTGTGTAACCATCACTATTATCTAATTTTAGAACATTTTTATCACCACTAGAAGGATCCCCATACCATTAGTAATCACTCCCTATTCTCTGCCCCCAGGCCCTTGATAGCACTAATCTCATTGTGTCTCCATCATTTGCCTATTCTGGGCATTTAATATAAATGGAACCATACAGTATACGGTCTCTTGTAACTGGCTTTTCTCACTTAGCATAATTTTTAAGCATGTATCAGTACTTCATTCCTGTTTTTCATGGCTGAATAAATGGGTTTACATTTTATTTATCCGTTTATCAGATGATGGACATTAGATTGTCCCCACTTTTTGGCTATTATGAATAATGCTGCTGTGAAAATTCATATACAGGGTTTTGTGTGATTCTCTTGGGTACAAACCTAGGAATGGAATTGCTGGGTCATACGCTAACTCTGTGCTCAGCTTTTTTGAGGGACTGCCAAACTGTTTTCCAGAGTGGCTTCATGATTTTACATGCCCATCACCAATGCATGAGAATTCCAATTTCTCCCCATTTTTGCTAGCATGTGTTATTAACTGTCTTTTTTATTTTGGATGTACTCGTGAGTGTAAAATAGAGTCTCATGGTGGTTTTGATTTGCACTTCCCTAATGATTAATGATGTTAGGCATGTTTTCACCTGCTTATTGGACATACATATATATATATATCTTCTTTGGAAAAACAGCTATTTAAATCATTTGCCAGTATTCATTTGTCTTTTCAATGTTTAGTTGTAAAGTTCTTTATGTATTCTGGATATGAGACCTTCATAAGATACATGTTGTGCCAATATTTTCTCCCAGTCTGAGGGAGGGCTATTTTTCATTTTCTTGATAGTTGAAATGCAAAAGTTTTTAATTTTGGTGAAGTTCAATATCTCTATTTTTTCTTTTATTACGTATGCTTTTGATGTCATATCAAAGAAACTATTTGCCTGAGATAAGGTCACAAAGATTTCCTCCTTTATTTTCTTCTAAGAGTTTTATAACCTTAGTGTTACAAAGCCCTTTGATTTTATTCTTTTTCAAAATTGTTTTGTCTATTATGGATCCCTTGCCATTTCCTTACAATTTTTTGGATCAGCTTGTCAATTTCTGCAGTAAAGGAAAGTGGGATGTGGGTTGCATTGAATCTATAGACTAATGTGAGAAGTATTGCCATCTTAACAGTATTAAGTCTTCCCAATCCATGAAGATGGGCTGTCCACCCTTTTTTCTTAGCTTCTTAAAAATTTCTTTCAGTCATGTTTTGTCACTTTCAGTGTACACATCTTCAACTACTGTTAAAGGTATTTCTGTTTTTATTCTTTTTGCTATTGTAAATGAAATCCTTAATTTCACTTTTGGATTTTCAAAAATGAAATATTTATTGCAAGTATACAGAAATGTAATTGAATTTTGTATCTTGATCTTGTATCCTGCATATATGTTGACATCATTTATTCTAAGTTTTTCAGTAAATTTCTTAGGATTTTCTTTATATGTGATCATCATGTCATTTGCAAAAAGGTAGTTTCACTTCTTCATTTCCAGTCTGGGTGGCTTTCATTTCTTTCTCTAGCCTGTTGCACTGGCTAGAAGCTCTAATACAAAGAAGAGTGAATTTGTGAGAGTTTTGGTGGGAAATCATGAGACATCCACCTAAAAGTCCTAATTTGGCTCCATCTGACTTCTTTTTAGTTATTATCTTTAAAAATCTTTAAAGGGCACCCAATTTTCTTCAATTAATAATGTAAAAAAGACTGCATTGATATGTCCCAGGACCCTCAGTTCTTTAGGGATGGACTAAATGGCTGGTATCATCACTCAGGAGAGTTTCAAACTTGATGGAGGTTATGTTGAGAAATAAAGTTTATAATTCGGTTTTCCATGAACTTTTTGAAGTCCCCTCATAGTGTTGTTGAAGTCTTCTGTTTCCTTGATCTTCTGACTAGTTCTATCCGTTGTTGAAAGTGGGGTATTGAAGTGTACAAACTATTATTGTTGCACTATTTCTTCCTTTAATCTGGTCAGATTTTATGTTTTGTGGCGCTCCATTAGGTATATATGTATTTATCATTTTTACGTGTTTCTGATGCATTGACCCTTTTACATTATAAAATATTATTCTGTCTCTGTAGTAAAAACTCCTGTCTTAAAGCCTATTTTGTCTGTTAGTAGTATGGACACTTTAGTTCTCTTTTGGTGACTGCTTATTTGTATCTTTGAATCCACACTGTGTCTCTTGTAGGCTATAGCTGGATCATAGTTTTTTTTATCCATTATGGTAATCTTTGCCTTTTGATTGGAGTGTTTAATTCATTTTCCTTTAATGCATTTACTAATAAGGTAGAGTTTGCCCCTTATTTCTTCTATGTGTCCTATCTTTTTGTTTCATTGTTTTTCCAATACTGACTAGTTTTTTTATTGAAAAGATATTTTCTGTTGTACTATTTTAATTCCCTGTTTTTTAAATACACGGGTATTTTTTAGTTATTTTCTTAGTTTTGCCCATAGGAATTAAAATTAACATCTTACAACAATCTAGTTCAAATAAATAATGAAATTAACTTCAGTAATATGCAAAAATTATGTTCCTATTAAGATCCAGTTTTATTCCTTTGTGTTACTGTTGTCGTACACATTACATTTTCATTAAGCCCATCAACACAGCCTTATAATTACTGGTTTATGTAGTTGTCTTTTAAATCAGGAGACGCGAGTTACAAAAATACACGTATCCTGTGTGTTGTATTACCTGTGTAGTTACCTTTAATGGGATTTTTTATTTCTTGGTGTGGATTGGAGTTGCTATATGATGTCCTTTCATTTCAGCCATACTAAATACTCTCCTGGATTTCTTGTGGGGCAGGCCTGATAACAGTCAACTTGCTCTGTGTGTGTTTAAAATAAAAACATCGGAATGTTTTAATTTCCCCTTCATTTTTGAAGGATAGGTTTTTTAATACATAGAATTCATAGTTGAACGTTTTTCTTTCAGTAATTTGAATATCTTCCTACTGCCTTCTGTTCTCTGTGGGTTCTGGTAAGAAATCAGCCGTTAATAATAATGAAGATCCCTTGAATGTGATGAGTTGCTCCTCTTTTGCGTTTTCAAGATTCTTTGTCTTTGGCACCTGACAGCTTGACTATGATGAATCTGCGTTTGGATCTTTGAATTTACTCTACTTGGAGTTCATTAAGATTCTTGGATGTGTGGCTGCACATTTTTCATCAAATTTGGGGCCATTGTTTTGCAGATACTTTTTCTCTTCCTTTTTCTTTCTTCTCCTTCTTGGACTCCCATGATTTGTATGTTGTTGTGCTTGATGCTGTCCCACAAGTCTCTGTGGTTCTTTTCATTTTACCTCATTCTTTTTTCTTTGTTTCTCAGACTACATAATCTCAGTTGACTGTCTCAAGTTCCCTGCCCCCTCCTTCTGCCAGCTCAGTTCTGCTGTCAAGCCCCTCTAGTGAATTTTTCATTTCAGTTATTGTACTTCTAAGTTTCAAAATTTCTACTTGGTTCATATCTATAATTTCTCTTTATTGCTATAAAATTTTCTCATACTTTATCCTTTTTTTTTTTTTTTTTTTTTTTTTTGAGACAGAGTCTTGCTCTGTCACCCAGGCTGGAGGGCAGTGGCGTGATCTTGGCTCACTGCAAGCTCCGCCTCCTGGGTTCATGCCATTCTCCTGCCTCGGCCTCCCTAGTAGCTGGGACTACAGGCACCTGCCACCACACCCGGCTAATTTTTTTTTTTTTTTTGTATTTTTAGTAGAGACAGGGTTTCCCCATGTTAGCCAGGATGGTCTTGATCTCCTGACCTCATGATCCTCCTGCCTCAGCCTCCCAAAGTGCTGGGATTATAGGCGTGAGCCACCCCACCTGGCCACTATCCTTCGATATTTTTTTTAAGACATGGTTTCCTTGAGGTGTTTGAATATGCCTATAATTGCCGATTTAAAAAGTTTATTTAGTGAATCTAAGTCTGGGCTCCCTCAGAGACAGTTTCTGTTGACTGCTTTTTTTCCTGTTTGAGTGTTTCATAATATTTTGTTGAAAATTGGGCATTTAAAATAAAATAATGTGGCAACTCTGGAAATTGGATATTCCCTTTCTCCTCCCCCAGGATTTGCTGCTGTTGCTGTTTATTGTTACAGCTTGCCTAGTGACTTTTCCTGGACAAAGGCTATATAAAGTCCGTCCCCTTAAGTCCCTGCTTGTTTAGTTTAGTGGTTAGCTAATGGTTGGACAGAGAAGTCACCACAACCACTGTCTCCTATCCTTTACCGACGGCTTGTGTGTTTGTGTTGGGGTGTGCCATCACTTCCTATTTGTGTAGACAGTCATGCTCAGCCACAGGTGACAAATGAGGACCCCCTCACGTCTTTCCTGGGTGTGCACATGGCCTTGCACCTGCATGTGGCTGTCTAGATCCCCAGGAATGTATTGGACCTTTTCAAAGCCCACCATTAACACTGTATTCCCCACATTTTCCTTTATAGTTTTTTGGCCAGCTGCTTGTTTGCCCCATGGGTATTGTCCCCTCAGACAGCTGCGCTGTTGAACAGTGGCTACTGATTGTTGTAGTCATGTGCCCTGGGGCTAGGGCTTCTCCTGCTCGGCAAACTAGATCAGGGCAAATCAATGCAAATCCTGTGAATGGGGCTTTCCGTGTTGCTGCCAGATAGGCCACATGGTGTCAGTTCTGAGGATGGGGCTTTTGGGGAGCCCATTCTGACCCTTGAGTGGTTGCTAGGCTGCTGGGTTTCAAGGCTACCATGGAGCTGGGGAGGGAAGAATGGGGCTTTGGATAAGTTAAAATACCACAAAGCTCACATTTCTGAGATGTTGCTATTTGCTTGAATCAACAATCCATGGATTGTTGTAAGCCTTTGGTTTTCCAGAATTCTGAAAAAGTTGCTTTTGACCATTTTTCCAGGTGTTTTCCTTGTTTTAATGGAGGTGCAGATTTTTGGAGGTCCTTATTCTGACATTTTGGAAGTGTTTTACACCCCCTCCTTTTGGAGTAAGGTTTGTGGGTAAGATCTCTGCAGTCATGACCAGTGGTGCCTGACTGTTTTGTGTGAAAGTCAGCAGGCAGAGCCAGTTGTCTTAAGGAAACTGCCGGCTGGCTGGTTTGAGAACTGAGAAGTGGTGGGTTAATTTCTAATCAAGGAGTGTGATCATAAAGGTGATCAGTACTCACAGACTTCTAATTAGATGAGGTCAGATGTCCATGGTGCAACTCTTACGGCATCTGGTTGGTGGGGCTGAGGATGCACAGGGACCTCAAGCTCTGGTTCCTGCTTGGTGTCTGTGTCAGTTTCTGTTAGCATGAACAGCAGCTGGTTCCTCTGTGTACCAAGAACCCAGCGCTTTACAGTTGACCCTTCTCTCCCCAGATGACTTCCTGAAGCCACAGATCATCACCCAGCCAGAAACCACCATGGCTATGGTGGGCAAGGACATCCGGTTTACATGCTCAGCAGCCAGCAGCAGCAGCTCCCCCATGACCTTTGCCTGGAAGAAAGACAATGAAGTCCTGACCAATGCAGACATGGAGAACTTTGTCCACGTCCACGCGCAGGACGGGGAAGTGATGGAGTACACCACCATCCTGCACCTCCGTCAGGTCACTTTCGGGCACGAGGGCCGCTACCAATGTGTCATCACCAACCACTTTGGCTCCACCTATTCACATAAGGCCAGGCTCACCGTGAATGGTATGGAAACACCATCTTTGTTATAGTACCAGAATCCTACAAAGCACACTCCTGATTGCCCTTTCAGCTTTCCATGTAGAGATGACTGAGACAGGACACACACATGCTTCTGTGGGGCACTGTTAAATCCTATTGTTGCCTGGGTTTGCCCCAGAGCAAGTTTTGCAGATTTCAAGGGTTATTCACAATGAGTTACTTGTTTTTGGTGAGTTTTAAAAATCTAGTTATTGGCCGGGTGCTGTGGCTCATGCCTGTAATCCCAGCAGTTGGGAGACTGAGGTGGGCAGATCACTTGAAGCCAGGAGTTCGAGACTAGTGTGGCCAACATAGTGAAACCCCGTCTCTACTAAAAATACAAAAATTAGCCAGGTGTGGTGGCACATGCCTGTAATCCCAGCTACTTGGGAGGCTGAGGCACAAGAATTGCTTGAACCCAGGAGGTGGACGTTGCAGTGAGCCGAGATCACTCCACTGCATTCCAGCCTGGGTGTCAAAGTGAGACTGTCTCAAAAACAAAACAAAAACTAGTTATTAAGTCAAATTGTGGAGAGCTAAGCCTTGTTTTGTCCAGTTCTTATCCTCTATAAGCCAAGAGATCTGGCTTCCAAATTCCAAATACCCCTTAGCCTGGGGAAGCTGCTGTTCTTTGAGTAGATGGCACAGCATTGGAGTCAGAGGCTAGCTACTGCTCCAGAGACTGTGGAGTGCAAGGCTGGTGTGAGCCCTGGCCTGAAAGACACAGTGTCCTGGCAGTTGACAGGTTTTTACTCATTAACCAGCCTTGGAGCTTGTCAAGGGGACCATGTGTTATTGTGTGTTTGGAGGAGGGGGGTGGGGAGTAGATAGCTTGAAGAGTTTACTGTCCCACCCCAGTAACCTAATGGGGTTATCCTGATTACTAACTCTCTAGTTAAAAAGAATTGGCTTGAGAATCATCAGAATGGTGGATCTGCTTTGCTCTTTAAGCCCCCACAGATCACAGCGAAACACCTTCTTTACCACACTGTAGTGGGGTTGTCTTGGCTTATTCCAAGTCCTCACAGCTTCCGAAAGACTCAGCTGTTTGTTAGACTCTCCCCAAAATTGACGTTGACAGGAACTCTGGTGGTGCCTGACACGTGGCTGGATGCGTCCCACTCTGTCAGGACATCGATCTTTAGGCTGAGCAAGCTAGCAAGCTGAATGCTTCCTGCCTGGGTATACGGCAGTGGGCAGGAACAGCCTGGGTGAACAACCATCCAAATGGATGAGCCATCCCATTCATCCCATGAACACCCATCCAAACGGATGAGCCATCCCATTGCTCTCCCAAGGTGGAGGCATGCCCACCTTCCCTCTGTAATTCCATCTCCACAGCCTCTCTCTTGGTGGGTAAAGCAGGCAAGCATCAGGCCTACCTAGTGTGGATGGGCACCCCCTGCAACTCCCGTATAGGCACTGCCATGTAGAGTAAAAGCCTTTGCTTTGAAGGGACTATAGCCAGCCTAGGGTGTACAATGCAAGGCTGATGGGATGGAAGTGTTCCAACTGTGGTGGGAGAAGCTGGGGGTTCCTGATTCACAGGTGGCAGGAGTGGTCCTGGGCAGACATTGGGAGAAAAGAAGTGAACTGGCACTGGGCACAGTGACAGGTAGGTGTTTGCCAGAGGACTTCCTGGTTTTGCATCTAGCTGTCCCGTAACCCGACCCTGTATACGTATGTTTTCCAGTGTTGCCATCATTCACCAAAACGCCCCACGACATAACCATCCGGACCACCACCATGGCCCGCCTCGAATGTGCTGCCACAGGTCACCCAAACCCTCAGATTGCCTGGCAGAAGGATGGAGGCACGGATTTCCCCGCTGCCCGTGAGCGACGCATGCATGTCATGCCGGATGACGACGTGTTTTTCATCACTGATGTGAAAATAGATGACGCAGGGGTTTACAGCTGTACTGCTCAGAACTCAGCCGGTTCTATTTCAGCTAATGCCACCCTGACTGTCCTAGGTTTGCCTATTGCTCTACTGTGTGTGTGTGTGTGTGTGTGTGAGCGAGAGAGAGAGACTCTCAAATGCTCTGTGTGGCCAGGGGTGGTATGCGTTGTGGGCCTTTCGACCCTGTTTGAAATTTGGGGCTGCTTTTTGAGTTGAGTTAATTTTTCTTAAACAAGTGTTTCTATCTCTTTAAAAGAAATGATAGCTGGTGAATTAAGAGTCTTCATAGGGTTTAGCTACAGAACATTTTAAGAATTGGACAGGATGGATGTGGGCTTGGTCAAGAGCTACAGAACATTTTAAGAATTGGACAGGATGGATGTGGGCTTGGTCAAGAATAAGGACACAGGCCTGACACAGGACAGTTAGGGAATAGCAGGGGCTTTTGTCAGCAGAGGTTCACTGTCCCTGTGGAAGCCACTCCCAGCATGGAGATGACTCAGTCAATGAGTTGAAGGGTCTTCTCCAAAGCTTGCCACTCTGAGACAGAATCTCAGATGCATCTCATTGATATGTTGGATTGTCCGTTGTCCAGAAGACCGGGCAGAGCCAGAGCAACGGAGGCCCTGAGAATGACTAAGATCTCTGTTGCTCTCTTGTAGAGACCCCATCCTTGGTGGTCCCCTTGGAAGACCGTGTGGTATCTGTGGGAGAAACAGTGGCCCTCCAATGCAAAGCCACGGGGAACCCTCCGCCCCGCATCACCTGGTTCAAGGGGGACCGCCCGCTGAGCCTCACTGAGCGGCACCACTTGACCCCTGACAACCAGCTCCTGGTGGTTCAGAACGTGGTGGCAGAGGATGCGGGCCGATATACCTGTGAGATGTCCAACACCCTGGGCACGGAGCGAGCTCACAGCCAGCTGAGCGTCCTGCCCGCAGCAGGCTGCAGGAAGGATGGGACCACGGTAGGCATCTTCACCATTGCTGTCGTGAGCAGCATCGTCCTGACGTCACTGGTCTGGGTGTGCATCATCTACCAGACCAGGAAGAAGAGTGAAGAGTACAGTGTCACCAACACAGGTCAGGCCCTGCCAGCGGAGCTGACTTTCAAGGAGGGAGGAATGGCAGTGATGCTGGGGAACTGGGCCGGGTTCCAGTGGCTTTTGAAAGAATTGCACTGTGTTCAGAACTCCTGAGGGTTTAGTCCCACTAATTCCATTTTAACTTTGAGGAACTTAACCTTAAACAGGAATACTCTCAAATTTAACCTTAAACAGGAATACTCACAAATACAAGTAACTGACGCACCATGCAGTTTTCCCTCTCCTTGCTAACTCAGAGGCCGCCTATGCACAGGCCCTGCTGCCACGTAGTAGGTTGTTCCTGAAACAGTGCGGTACTTCTGTGAGCCCCGGCTTTCCATCACTGGTCTCCACTTCTTGTGGCGTCTGGCATCTGCTGGCTGCGCTCTTCACGCTGGGTGTAGAGTAAAGCTGAGCAGGCTCTGGGAGGGCCTGTTGCGTACATGGACTCCATGTCATCTCTCTGCACAGCGCTGATGGTCGTCACTGGGAGGATCCCCTTTCTGAGCTTGACAGTGAACGTGTGTCTGCATTTCTTGTCACTGAGACCCTGGTGTTCTATTTGTTCTGTCTCCTTGCAGATGAAACCGTCGTGCCACCAGATGTTCCAAGCTACCTCTCTTCTCAGGGGACCCTTTCTGACCGACAAGAAACCGTGGTCAGGACCGAGGGTGGCCCTCAGGCCAATGGGCACATTGAGAGCAATGGTAAGGCCTCAGTAACTGTGAAGCAGAGCTCTGCTGTGACTGTGTCTCTGGGTGCTGGAGGTGGCCTCCAGGTCTTTACAGGGCAGGTACCTGGCATTAGATGGGGCAAACTTGGTGAAGTAGAAGGCGGTATGACTAAGGGCTGCTATTTTGGACCCAGTCTTCATGAGTTCTGCAAGGTTTTAAAGTCCTGTCCCCTCAGGAAGCCACTGGATTGGGCTTAGCATCTCCCTGGCAGGATAAAGTAGGCTTGCCTGGAGTAGCAGCTGGAAAGGGCATTACGGTGCATGAACCCAGCCAACCCATTCCTTACATGGGGAACGTGCCCAGGTCTGCTCTGTGATCCAGTCTTACACTGGAAAGCTGTCACCAGGATGAGGTACTTCCAACGGTGGGGGCCTCTGAGCACTTGCCTGAGACTGTAGAGGCTCACCCTGAGACAGCTGCTCATTTCACAAGGCCAGCCTGCCTGCTGGGAAGTAGTAGCAGAAAACACGCTGCTTGCCAGACCAGCAGCCCCACCGCTCTGAAGAACTTTTTAAAAAAAATGACTGTTCTAGCGGCCTTGCTCATTCCTTTCATAAGGCTTACTGTGAAATACCAAGCCCAGAGTTTCTAATCGTGTTGGAATCCACTTGCAGGTGTGTGTCCAAGAGATGCAAGCCACTTTCCAGAGCCCGACACTCACAGCGTTGCCTGCAGGCAGCCAAAGCTCTGTGCTGGGTCTGCGTATCACAAAGAGCCGTGGAAAGCGATGGAGAAAGCTGAAGGGACACCTGGGCCACATAAGATGGGTATGAGATGCTTCCCATTGGAAGTAGTTTCTTTCTGAAATGGAAATTTGGGCTGACCTAGTCACTACATCAAAGGGGGAGACACATTCCTAGTCCACAGCTGTCTCCAAATTTGGTATTCAGTATATACAGGGGAAGCTCAGGCCTGGCTCTCTTAATTCCAGGATAGTTTCTCCTAAATAAATCTACGCCATGGTAAGCCTGAGCATGAATTTTCTAGATGTATAAGCAACTTAAATAAGGGGCAAGGCACAAACGAAGTATAGAGTTTCAGTCAGCACTTTTTCACCAGGGCTATTTTGAGGCTTATTTCTAATTGTTGAAAAGACCCAACACTGCATGGTACCTAAGGCTAATGGCTTTTCCCCCGTGAAGCAGTAAGACTACATTGTCTATGAAATTCACTGTAAACACGAAAGACCCCACAGTTCATGAGTGACTTGGTGTTTGCCCAGTCCTTTCTCTGGGGACATAGTTGGGGAAAAGAGGAAGCATGCATACAGTGTTTGCAGTCAGGGTTCTCACCTTGCACAGTGGAGCTGAGCAGCCTGTCCTCTGTGTGGGGACGAAGACTCCCACAGCAGTGACTCTAACCCATCTTTGGCGCTGTCCTTCAGAACACGGTGGCCGGGTCGTATGCAGTGACTGCAACACCGAAGTGGACTGTTACTCCAGGGGACAAGCCTTCCACCCCCAGCCTGTGTCCAGAGACAGCGCACAGCCAAGTGCGCCAAATGGCCCGGAGCCGGGTGGGAGTGACCAAGAGCATTCTCCACATCACCAGTGCAGCAGGACTGCCGCTGGGTCCTGCCCCGAGTGCCAAGGGTCGCTCTACCCCAGTAACCACGATAGAATGCTGACGGCTGTGAAGAAAAAGCCAATGGCATCTCTAGATGGGAAAGGTAACTTTTGACTGTCTTCTAACAGGTGGGTTGGGAGCTGCTTAAACGGTCAAGTGGGGGTCTGACAGGTTCGTTCTTTCCTTGTAGGGGATTCTTCCTGGACTTTAGCAAGGTTGTATCACCCGGACTCCACAGAGCTACAGCCTGCATCTTCATTAACTTCAGGCAGTCCAGAGCGCGCGGAAGCCCAGTACTTGCTTGTTTCCAATGGCCACCTCCCCAAAGCATGTGACGCCAGTCCCGAGTCCACGCCACTGACAGGACAGCTCCCCGGGAAACAGAGGGTGCCACTGCTGTTGGCACCAAAAAGCTAGGTTTTGTCTACCTCAGTTCTTGTCATACCAATCTCTACGGGAAAGAGAGGTAGGAGAGGCTGCGAGGAAGCTTGGGTTCAAGCGTCACTCATCTGTACATAGTTGTAACTCCCATGTGGAGTATCAGTCGCTCACAGGACTTGGATCTGAAGCACAGTAAACGCAAGAGGGGATTTGTGTACAAAAGGCAAAAAAAGTATTTGATATCATTGTACATAAGAGTTTTCAGAGATTTCATATATATCTTTTACAGAGGCTATTTTAATCTTTAGTGCATGGTTAACAGAAAAAAATTATACAATTTTGACAATATTATTTTTCGTATCAGGTTGCTGTTTAATTTTGGAGGGGGTGGGGAAATAGTTCTGGTGCCTTAACGCATGGCTGGAATTTATAGAGGCTACAACCACATTTGTTCACAGGAGTTTTTGGTGCGGGGTGGGAAGGATGGAAGGCCTTGGATTTATATTGCACTTCATAGACCCCTAGGCTGCTGTGCGGTGGGACTCCACATGCGCCGGAAGGAGCTTCAGGTGAGCACTGCTCATGTGTGGATGCCCCTGCAACAGGCTTCCCTGTCTGTAGAGCCAGGGGTGCAAGTGCCATCCACACTTGCAGTGAATGGCTTTTCCTTTTAGGTTTAAGTCCTGTCTGTCTGTAAGGCGTAGAATCTGTCCGTCTGTAAGGCGTAGAATGAGGGTTGTTAATCCATCACAAGCAAAAGGTCAGAACAGTTAAACACTGCCTTTCCTCCTCCTCTTATTTTATGATAAAAGCAAATGTGGCCTTCTCAGTATCATTCGATTGCTATTTGAGACTTTTAAATTAAGGTAAAGGCTGCTGGTGTTGGTACCTGTGGATTTTTCTATACTGATGTTTTCGTTTTGCCAATATAATGAGTATTACATTGGCCTTGGGGGACAGAAAGGAGGAAGTTCTGACTTTTCAGGGCTACCTTATTTCTACTAAGGACCCAGAGCAGGCCTGTCCATGCCATTCCTTCGCACAGATGAAACTGAGCTGGGACTGGAAAGGACAGCCCTTGACCTGGGTTCTGGGTATAATTTGCACTTTTGAGACTGGTAGCTAACCATCTTATGAGTGCCAATGTGTCATTTAGTAAAACTTAAATAGAAACAAGGTCCTTCAAATGTTCCTTTGGCCAAAAGCTGAAGGGAGTTACTGAGAAAATAGTTAACAATTACTGTCAGGTGTCATCACTGTTCAAAAGGTAAGCACATTTAGAATTTTGTTCTTGACAGTTAACTGACTAATCTTACTTCCACAAAATATGTGAATTTGCTGCTTCTGAGAGGCAATGTGAAAGAGGGAGTATTACTTTTATGTACAAAGTTATTTATTTATAGAAATTTTGGTACAGTGTACATTGAAAACCATGTAAAATATTGAAGTGTCTAACAAATGGCATTGAAGTGTCTTTAATAAAGGTTCATTTATAAATGTCAGTATAGTTGGTGGTCCTTCTTTTACAAACGCAGTCATTCTGCCTTTAATTATCTTCCCCCAAAAAAGAAAAAAAAAATAGGCGAAGCAAAATCACATACTGTTTGTTTGCTCCAGGGCAGACAACACTGCTAGATTCCTGACATTTTGTTTTGAATTTTTCTACACCTGGAGCTTGTTAGTCAAGGTCTAAAATCCCTAAGTGTGGTGACCTTTCCATTTCATCCTGCCTTTTCAAAGCTGGCCCAGGCCCTCCTTTCAGTCTGACATGAGAATGGCGAGAATGGCTCACCCACCGTGCCCTCCTGCACGAAGCCAGCTGGGCCCACCTAGTCACTTGAGTTGCAGCTGCTTTCTCTCACACACCACAGGGGGCGCTGGACACATCTCTGTAAAATAATACAATTGTGCGTTTTTATGGGTGAAATCTGAGGGTAATTAAAACCAGCAGCCTAGTTACCCAGAAAGAGTGCTTGCTATGCACCTGTAGTTCAATCTTTCTTTCTTTTTCAACAAAGCCTACCCTTACACAACAGGAATTAACTAGGGGGAGAAACACCCACATACACAACTCTTCCCCAAGTCTCCTTTTCCCAAACAAACAAACAAGCTATTCTTTTAGAATTATAACCATCTTGCCTTCTGCTGAATCCACCATCAGGTGGCAGGAAATGAAAGATCAGATACAGATCAAATGAAAGCTCTAAAAGGCCTGGCCTCAGCATTACCAAACTTATTTATTAAGAGGTTCTGAGGAAATTGTTCAGAGTACCGCCACAGACCCCGTTTTCTTCTCTTAGCTCTCTGGCATACAGGCCAATGACTTCATACCAGCCAGCCTATACCACGGATGGCACAATCTCCATGCCGGTATCTTAGCACAACTGGTCTTCAGCACTGGGGCCTATAGTTCAGACAGCTGCTCAGCGGAAGAGGGTTTGCACTGCAGGCCCCTCTCTTGACAGAAGTGGAGGTGAGGCTTGTCTCTGCTTCAAGGACTCTTTCTGCCAACTTCCAACAGCAAGCTGTGCGTTCGGTCATAAGCCCCCAGAAAGATGAAACCTCCCAGACTGATGGCTGCCATTCGAGGGAAGACACCTGCAAATAATCTAGGGGAAAAAACAGGATTTTTAATGTTGTGCGTATTTTAAAAAAAGGTTAAATTCCAATACCCACAGCTTGCTCAGCTCAATACACCATGCTCATTAGTGGCTAACTACCAAACAGCTTGTGAACGCTCCCAAATAAGGCAAGTAATAGCTGTGTCCCAACAGTAGTTCTAAAACTTTCATGCCATTTTTCCCTTTGAAACATGAAATTGATTTTTTTTAAAAAGGTGTTAAAGAGCTGAATCCTAGGTAAGGCTGGAAGGCACTTCCAGCCCACACCTCTAAAGTGATCTCCAGGGGTTGCTCAGTGAAGAGATTTTTGGGCAATGCTGCCGCTCCACCCACTGACTCAGTTGCATTTTGTCCTTCGAGACCCCAAAACATGACGTCACGACAACGAGTTGAACCTCCATGGATTCCCTGTGTTCCTTTTCTGTCTAAAGGCATGAAAGGCAAATGGGCTGTGGCTGTGAAGGGGGCAGCATGCCTCCACCTGCACAGTCCCCTTGGTATCACAGAAGGTGCTGCTAACCAGCCAAGGTGCAATGTAGAATAATCAGAGCAATGCAAAGTAAAACTACAATGCCACGAGGATACAAATTGGGGATTCATTCTTTAAAACTGCCCCCCCTCCCCATACCTACTCAGATATTTGTTCAAAAATTTTCATTGTGGCATTGCTGATGGTGATATAAGTTATGGCACAGTATAAACATACAGTGGATGATTATGTAGCTGATAAAGATGAGGAAATCTACAGATGCCAACATAAAAAAATTACAAAACAGGTTTAAAAAACTAAGTCCAAGGACTATGATTCCATATCTAAAAGGCAAGCCAGGGATGTGTCTTAAGCCCTAAACTGAATGCCTGCTGCCTGTGGATTATAGGACACATTCCTGGCCCACGCTTCCATAACCTTTGAACCTTTTCACCAAGAGTACAGGCATGACTCAGAGATATTTCAAGTTTGGTCCCAGGCCAAGTTTGGCCACCATAATAGTGAATATTGCAATAAAGCAAGCCATTCAAATTTCTTCGTTTCCCAGGGCACAGAAAAGTTATGTTTCTACTACAGTCTATTAAGTATGCAGTAGCAATTATGTCTAAAAATTGTACATACCTTAATTTTAAAATGCTTTATTGCTAAAAAATGCTCATGAGCATCTGAGCCTGCAGTAAATTGTAATCTTCTGGCTGATAGAGGGTCTTGCTTTGAATGATGGCTGCTAACTGACCAGGGTAGTGGCTGCTGAAGGTTGGAGTGGCTGTGGAAATTTCTAAAAATAGTAATTGTTGCATTGATGGACTCTTCT
Source organism: Homo sapiens (assembly GCF_000001405.40). Taxonomy (NCBI): domain Eukaryota; kingdom Metazoa; phylum Chordata; class Mammalia; order Primates; family Hominidae; genus Homo; species Homo sapiens. The sequence continues at coordinate 66,376,373 of NC_000003.12, read as the reverse complement.
TTTCATGAAAGATTTCTCTGTAGCACACAATACATTTTGCCCACAGTAGGACCTCTTTCAAAATTGGAGTCAACCGTCTCAACTCTGCCACTGTTTTCTCAACTAAATTGATGAAATATTCTAAATCGTTTATTGTAATTTCAACAGTGTTCACCGTATCTTCACCAGGAGTAGATTCATCTCAATAGATCACTTTCTTTGCTCACCCATAAGAACCAACTCCTCATCCGTTCAAGTTTGATCATGAGATTGTGGCAATTCTTTACATCTTCAGGCTCCACTTCTGACTACGGTGGTCTTGCCATTTCCAGTACATCTAGTATGTGTTTCCCTCCACTAGTCAGCCATGAGGATTGGAATCAACTTCTTCCAAAGTCCCAGCATGGTCAATATTTTGACCTCCTATGAAGCCACTAATGTTCTTACTGGTATCTAGAATGGTGACTCCTTTCTAGAAGGCTTCCAATTTACTTTGCCCACATCTAGCAAAGGAATCACTGTTGATGCAGCTGTAGCCTTATGAAATTTAATAAAACCTGAAAGTTAAAGTAACTCCTTGATCCACAGGCTAAGGAATGGATGTTGATAGTAGGCATGAGAACAACATTCATCTCCAGCAGAACTCCAGGGTGACCAGGTACACTGTCAATGAGCGGAAATATTTTAAAAGGAATCTTTTCCTCTGAGCACTAGGTCCCAGCAGTGGGCTTAAAATATTCAAGAAAGCATGCTGTAAAGAGATGTGCTGTCGCTCAGGCTTTGTTGTTCCATTTCTACAGCAGAGGCAGAGTCGATTTAGCACCATTCTTAAAGGCTCTAGGATTTTCAGAAGAGTCAATGAGCATTGGCTTCAACTTAAAGATACCAGCTGCATTAGCCCCTAACAAGAGAGTCAGCCAGTCCTTTGAAGCTTTGAGGCCAGGCATTGATGTCTCCTCTCTAGCTAGGAAAGTCCTAGATGGCATCTTCTTCTAATCGAAGGCTGTTTCATCTACCCTGAAAATCTGTTGTTTAGTGTTAGTGCCTTCATCGATGATCTTAGCTAGATCTGGGTAACTTGCTGCAGCTTCTCCATCAGCACTTGCCACTTCACCTTACACTTCTGTGTTACAGAGATGACTTCTTTCCTTAAACTTCATGAATCAACCTCTCCTAACTTCAAACCCTGCAGCTTCCTCACCTCTCTCAGCCTTCAGGGAAGAGAGTTAATGCCTTGCTCTGGATTAGGTTTTGGCTTAAGGGGATGTTGTGGCCGGTCTGATCTTCTATCCAGACCAAACTTTCTTCGTATGTGCAATGAGGCTGTTACACTTATCATTTGTGTATTCACTGGATAGCACTTTTCATTTCCTTCAAGAACTTTTCCTTTGCATTTACAATTTGGTTAACTGTCACAAGAGGCCTAGATTCTGGCCTATCTCAGCTTTCCACATGCCTTCCTCACTAAATTTAATCATCTCCAGCTTTTATTTTTAATTAATTAATTTTTTTTTTTGAGATAGGGTCTTGCTGTTACCCAGGCTGGAGTGCAGTGGCACGATCGTGGCCCACAGCAACCTCTACCTGCTGAGCTCAGGTGACCCTCCCACCTCAGCTTCCCAAGTAGCTGGGACTACAGGCACACACCAACATGGCCAGCTAATTTTTGTATTTTTTGTAGACAGGGTTTGGCATGTTGCCTAGGCTGGTCTTGAACTCTTGGGCTCAAGCCATCTGCCACCTTGGCCCCCCAAAATCCTGGGATTACAGGTGTGAGCCACCATGCCCGGCCCGAGTTTTTTATTTAAAATGAGAAAGGTGTGATTCTTCCTTTCACTTCAACACTTAGAGGCCACTGGAGGATTATTAATTGGCCTAACTGCAATATTGTGTCTCACAGAATAGAGGCCTAAGGGAGAGAGAGAGGGAATGGCTGGTTGGAGACACAGCCCGAACCCACACCACATTTGTCGATTAAGTTTGCCGTCTTCGGTGGACACAGTGGGTGATGCCCCAAAACAATTACAGTAACATCGAAGACGGCTGATCACAGATCACCACAGCAGATATGATAATGAAAATATTTGACAGGTGAGAATTACCAAAATGTGACACAGACACAAAGTCATCATGTGCTATTGGAAAAGGGCTCTGCAAGACTCGCTCAACGCAGGGTTGCCACAAACCTTCAATTTGGAAAAAAAGTGCACTGAGAAGTGCAATTAAACAAAATATGCCTGTATTACTTCTGTAAGCAGAAAGAGTTAATGAAGGCAAAACTAGTGCATATGCCAGTGAAAAGACTTCTGGTCAGGTCTATGGAAGAAAACTGAAAATGGTCAAGTATGCCAACAGTAGCTATGCATCCTTTAAGATACAGGAAAAGCCTCCATGACAAGCAAGCTGGTGGCCTGGAGAGAAACATGGCAGGAAGACGGTCCCTGCAGGCTGCTCCCAGCACCTGACTGCATCCTTTCTCCCAACACCTTTGAGCTGTTGGGGGAGGCTGAGCAGCCTCCCTCTGTTTGCAGCACTTGGCACTTCTAAGGAAAATGAGACACTTAAGAAGAGTTTTGTGGGCCCTTTTTAGTTAGCTAGCTATGGGTTTAAATCATTACAATACTGCACATAAAATTAAGGACCACGATTACTTGTCCAAAAATAACCATGAAAATTGTATTGAAAACCAAACTACACTTGCTTAAAAAAAAAAAAAAAATCAGCATCATGCAAAGGGTGGGTGGTGAGGACAGAAACT